>NC_000023.11:73068602-73371632 GCF_000001405.40 Homo sapiens | reverse complement strand
TGATTGTGCTCTGTTTGCACTGCAGTTAAAAGGACACCAGCCTACACAGGTAAAAAAAGTGCCAGGACTCTGGCAACTAAAAAAGCCAGAGTGCCTTCTTTTCTCCAAACAACCACACTAGTTCCCCAGCAATGGTTCTTAACCAGGCTAAAATGGCTGAAAAAAGACATTGAATTCAGAATATAAATAGAAAAGAAGATCATCAAGATTCAGGAGAACATGAAAACCCAATACGATGAAGCTAAGCATCAGAATAAAATGGTACAGGAGCTGATAAACAAAATAACCATTATAAAAATAACCAAGCTGATCTGATAGAACTGAAAAATACACTACAAGTATTGCATAATGCAATTGCAAGTATTAACAGCAGCATAGACTAAGCTGAGGAAACAATCTCAGAGCTTGAAGAGTAGCTCTCTGAAATAACTTACTCAGACAAAAATAAAGAAAAAAGAATGAGGCCAGGCACAGTGGCACATGCTTGTAATCCTAGCACATTGGAAGGATGAAGCAGGCAGATCACTTGAGGTCAGGAGTTTGAGACCAGTCTGGTCAACATGGTGAAACCCCATCTCTACTAAAAATACAAAAATTAACCAGGTGTGGTAGTGCATGTCTGTAGTCCCAGCTACTCAGGAGGCTGAGGCAGGAGAATCACTTGAGCCCAGGAGGTGGAAGCTGCAGTTAGCTGAGATCATGCCACTGCACTCTAGCTTGGATGACAGCATGAGACCTTGTCTCGAAACAACAACAACAACAACAACCACAAAAACCTCTGAGAAATATATTATGTAAAGAGACCAAATCTACAACTCATTGGCAATCCTGAAAAAGACAGGGAGAAAGCAAGAAACCTAGAAAACATATTTCAAGATGTCACCTGGGAAAACTCCCTCAACCTTACTGGAGAAGCCAACATCCAAATTCAGGGAATGCAGAGAAGTCTTGTGAGATATTATACAAGAAGACCATCCCCAAGACACATAATCAGCAGGTTCTTCAAGGTCAAAATGAAATTAAAAATCTTAAAGGCAGGTAGAGAGAAGGAGCAGGTTATCTAAAAAGGGAATCCTATTAGGCTAACAGCAGTCCTTTCCAGCAGAAATCCCAAAAGCCAGAAGAGATCAGGTCCCTATATTCAGTATTCTTAAAGAAAAAATCTCCATATAAGAATTTTATATTCAGCAAAATGAATCTTCATAATTGAAGAAGAAATACAAACCTTTTTAGACGGAAAATGCTGAGGGAGTACATTGCCACCAGAACTGCCTTACAAGAAGTCCTGAGAGGATCACTAAATATGGAAAGAAAAACCCATATAAGCCACTATGAAAACACTCTTAAGTACACAGACCAGTGACACTGTTAAGCAACCACAAAAATATCTGCATAATAGCCAGCAAACAATGCAATGACAGGACAAAATTTGCACATATCAATACCAACCTTGAATGTAAATGGGCTAAATACCCCACTTAAAAGGCAGAGAGTGGCAAGCTGAATACAGAAGCAAGACTCAATGATATGCTGTCTCCAACAGACCCATTTCACATGCTATGACATCAATAGGCTCAGAATAAGGGATTGGAGAAAAGTCTACCAAGCAAATAAAAAACAGAAAAAAGAAATAAGGTTGCCATCCTAATTTCAGACAAAATGGACTTTAAACCAACAAAGATTTAAAAATATATAGAAGGGCATTATAAAATGGCAAAGGGTTCAATTTAACAAGAAGACCTAACTACCCTAAATATGCATACATCCAACACAGAAGCACCCAGATTCATAAAACAAGTTCTTAGAGACCTATGAAGAGGCTTAGATAACCATAAAATAATAATGGGAAATTTCAACATTCTGCTAACAGTATTAGAGAGATCATGAATGCAGAAAATTAACAAAGATATTTAAGACCTGAACTCAGTACTTTACTAAATAGACTTAATTTATACCTACAGAAGTCTCCAGCCAAAAAGACAGAACATACGTTCCTATCGTTACCACATGACACATACTCTAAAATTGACCACGGAGTCAGACATAAAATGATACTCAGCAAATTACAAAAAAAGATCCCTGAAAACATACCAACCAAACTCAAACCACAGCACAATCAACAAAGAAATCAATACTAAAAAAAACACTTCAAATCATACAATTACATGGAAATTAAACAACCTGCTCCTGAATGACATTTGGGTATATGAAAATAAAATTAAGGCAGAAATCAAGAAATCCCTTGAAACGAATGCAAACAAAGATGTGAAATACCAGAATCTGTGAGACATAGCTAAGTCAGTGTTAAGACTAAATGCCAACGTGAAAAAGTTAGAAAGATCTCAGATTAACAACCTCCCATCACAACTAGAAGAACTAGAGAAGAAAGAGGAAACCAACCACAAAGCTATCAGAAGACAAGAAATTATAAAATCAGAGCTGAACTGAAAAAACTGGACACAAGAAAGCATTAAAAAATCAGTGAATCCAGGAATTGGTTCATTGAAAAAATTAATAAGATAGAAACACCACTAGCTAGACTGATAAAAGGAGAGAAGATCCAAATAAACACAAGTAGAAATTACAAAGGGATTGTTACCACTGACCCTACAGAAGTACAAAAAACCCTGAGACTACTATGAACACCTCTGTGCTCACAAACTGGAAAGTCCAGAGAAAATGGATAATTTCCTAGACACATACAACCTCCCAAGACTGAACCAGGAACAAAATTGAATTCCAGAACAGACCAATAATGATTTTTGAAATTGAATCAATAATAAAAATTCTACCAATCAAAATAAGCCCAGGACCAGTCAGATTAATGCCAATTTCTACCAGATGTATAAAAAGGAGATGGTACTAGCTTTTCTACTAAAACTATTTCAAAACATTAAGGAGGAGGGACTCCTCCCTAGCCCAATTTCTGAAGCCAGCATCATTCTGATACCAAAATCTAATGTGTGCACACCCACACACACACACACAAAACCCCAGGCCAATATCCTTGATAAATACAGATAAAAAATTCTCAACAAAATACTAGCTAACCAAATCCAGCAGCACATTGAAATGCTAATCCACCATGACAGCATATGCAAATTATTAAATGTGATTCATCACATAAACAGAACTAAGGACAAAAACCATATGATAATCTCAATACATGCAGAAAAGACTTTTGATAAAATTCAACATTTCTTTATGTTAAAAACACTAAATAAACTGGGTATTAAAGGAACATACTTCAAATAGTAAGAGCCATTTTTTATAAGCCCACAGACAACATCATACTGAATCGGCAAAAGCTGGAAGTATTTCCAGTAAAAACTGGCTTAAGACAAAAATGCCCTCAAAACTCTTATTCAACATAGTATTGGAAGTCATGGCTAGAGCAAACAAGCAAAAGAAAGAAATAAAAAGCATTCAAATAGTAAGAGAAGTCAAACTATCCCCATGTGCAGGTGGCATGATTCTATATCTTAAAAAAAAAACAGATTTTCTGCCTAAAAAACTCCTTGAGTTGATAAAGAACTTCAGCAAAGTCTCAGGATATAAAATCAATGTCAGTAGCATTTCTAGTCACCAAAAACATCCAGGCCAAGATCCAAATCAGGAATGCAATTCTATTCTATTCACAATTGCCACAAAAAGAACACAATACTTAGCAATACAGCTAAAGAGGGAGGTAAAATATCTCTACAGTGAGAATTAAAAAACACTGCACAAAGAAATCAGAGAGGACACAAACAAATAGAAAAGCATTCCATGCTCATGAATAGAAAGAATCAATATTGTTAAAATGGCCATACTGCTAAAGTAATTCACAGATTAAGTGCTATTCCTATTAAACTACCAATGACATTCTTCACTTAATTAGAAAAATACTATATTAAAATTCATGTGGAGTTGGAAAATGGTGGTTAGAAGGCAGGACTAACTTGCAGCTCCCCCTTGGACAGAGAGAAGAGCATGTGGAGATGCAAATTGTAAATTTTTTCTCCAAGAACTCCCACAGGAACATACCAGGAAAGCTGAGAGAATCCACAAACCCTTTGAAGAAAGCAGATTGCTCCTGCAGGCACTGCAAGACAGCCAGAAATCTGTGAGTGCCCAAAGTGTGAAAGAGTGAAAGGGGGATTGTCCACCCTTGAACACACATCCTCACTAGAAACCTGAAGTTCCAGATCACGGGAGAATAATTTATCCTGACCTGGAGCTTAGACAAGTTTAGAGAGCTGAGCAAAATGCAAGGGGAGAGGAAGCAACAAGAAGAGTCCTGTGGGCTCTCTAAGTCCCCAGGGAAGCCATTTCCGACTTTGACTCACAGAGGTCCTTGTGGAGGGCTGCCAGAGGAACTGGGAAAAGACCACTGGAAAAAGAAAACTTCCAACTGAACTTCGTAGCAATTTCAACTGAATGTAAAGTTTCCTGGGTAGAAACCAGGGGAGGGGGTGAATCAGACATTCAGATGCAGCACAGAAGCGATGGCAGTTGGGAAGGCACAAAACCTGAAAGTTCTTCTTGCTTCCTCAGCTGGGAGGCTGGTAGCCTGAGGCAAGTTCTCAGCTCTGGTCAATGGTTGCCTGGGGATAAATTCGATGCTGTTGGGGGGAGGCATGGGGAGTGAGACTGGCCTCTTGGGCTGCATGGGAGCTGGGTGAGGCCTGTAACTGTTGAGTTTTCTCCACTTCCCTGGCAACTTGCATGATGCAACAGAAGCAGCCATAATCCCCTTGGAAACATAACTCCATTGGGCTGACATCCACACCCCCATCCCACACAGCAGCTGCAGGAAACCCCACCCAAGGAGAGTCTGAGCTCAGACACACCTAACCCTGTCCCCATCTGTTGGTCTTTCTCTACCAGCCCTGATAGCTGAAGGCAAAAGACATAATCTCTTGGGAGCTCTAGAGCCTATCCACCACCTGATCCTCCTTATACTAACCCAGCTGATGCTCTCTTGAAAGCACCACCTCCTGGCTGGAGGTCAACCAACACAAAACTAGTGCAATAAACAAAACTACAACTAAGGACCCTCACAGAGTCCATTTCACAACCACCTCCACCAGAGCAGGAACTGATATCCACAGGTGAGAGACCTGAAGACAGTTCACATCACAGGACTCTGTGCAGATACTCCCCAGTACCAGCCCAGAGCCCTGTAGCTCTGCTGGATGGCTAGATTCAGAAAAGAAAAAACAGTCACTGCAGTTTGGCTCTCAAGAAGCCACATCACTAGGGGAATGGGGAGAGCACTACATCAAGGGAGCACCCCATGGGACAAAAGAATGTGAACAGCAGCTCTTGAGACACATCTCCCTGACATAGTCTACCCAAATGAGAAGGAACCAGAAAATAGTAATATGACAAAACAAAGTTCTTTAACACCCCCAAAAGATCACACTAGCTCACCAGAAATAGACCCAAACCAAGAAAAAACATCTCTGAATTGTCAAAAAATTTCAGAAGATCAATAATTAATGTAATCAAGGAGGCACCAGAGAGAGGTGAGGCACAATTTAATGAAATTTTTAAAATGATACAAGATATGAAGGGAAAAATCTGCAGTGAAATAGATAGCATAAATAAAAAACAATGACAGCTTCTGGAATGGAAGGACACACTTTGAGAAATGGAAAATACACAGAAAAGTCTCAGCAGTAGAATTGAACAAGCTAAAGAAAGAACTGAAGAGCTCGAAGACAAGATTTTTGAATTAACGCAATCTAACAAAGACAAAGTAAAAAGAATCAAAAAATGAATAAAGCCTCCAAAAATTGGGGAGTATGTTAAATGGCCAAACCTAAGAATAATTGATGTTCTCAAGAAAGAAGAGAAATCTAAAAGTTTGGAAAACATATTTGAGGAAATAATAATGAAAACTTCTCTGGACTTGCTAGAGATCTAGACATCCACATACAAGAAGCTCAAAGAACACATGAAACATTAATTGCAAAAAGTCATCACCTAGGCACATTGTCATCAGGTTATCTAAAATAAAGACAAAGGAAAGAATCTTAAGAGCTGTGAGGCAAAAGCATCAGGTCACCTATAAAGAAAAATCTGTCACATTAACAGTAGAATTTCAGCAGAAATCCTACAAGCTAGAAGGATTGGGGCCCTATCTTTAGCATTCTTAAGCAAAACAATTATCAGCCAAGAATTTTGTATCCAGCAAAACTAGGCATTATAAATGAAGGAAAGATACAGTCTTTCCCAGACAAACAAATGCTAGGAGTATTTGTCACTACAAAGCCAGCACCACAAGGATTGCTAAAGGAGGTCTAAATCTTGAAAGAAATTATCAAAATATAACAAAATAGAACCTCCTCAAAGGATATATCTCACAGGACCTATAGAACAATAACACAATAAATTTTAAAAAACCCAAGGTATTCAGGTAACCAATAGCACAATGAATAAAACAGTACCCCACATCTCAATACTAACATTGAATGTAAATGGCCTAAATGCTTCACTTAAAAGATACAGAGTGGCAGAATGGATAAGAATTTCCTAACCAAGTATCCACAGTCTTCAAGAGACTCAACTAACACATAAAGACTCACATAAATGTAAGGTAAAAGAGTGGAAAAAGATATTCCATGCAAGGGGGACACAAAAAGTGAGCAGGTGTAACTATTCTTACATCAGACAAAACAAACTATAAAGTAACAGCAGTTAAAAAAGACAAAGAGGGACATTATATAATGATAAAAAGACTAGTCCAAAAGGAAAATATCATGATCATAAATATATATGCACCTAACATTGGAATTCCCAAATTTATAAAACAATTACTAGTGGACCTAAGAAATGAGATAGACAACAACACAATAATAGAGGGGAACTTCAATACTACACTGACAGCACTAGACAGGTCATCAAGACAGAAAGTCAACAAAGAAACAACAGACTTAAACTATATCCTAGAACAAATGGACTTATCAGATTTTTACAAAACATTCTATTCATCAATTGTTGAATATACATTCTATTCATCAGCACATGGAACATTCTCCAAAATAGACCATATTGTAGGCCACAAGACAAGACAATAAAATTAAAAATTCGAAATTATAGCAAGTACTTTCTCAGATCACAGTGGAATAAAATTGGAAATCAACTTCAAAAGGAACCCTCAAAACCATGCAAATATGTGGAAATTAAATAACCTGCTCCTGAATGATCATTGAGTCAACAATGAAATCAAGACGGAAATTTAAAAATTCTTTGAAGTGAATGATAATAGTGCCAAAACCTATCAAAACCTCTGGGATACAGAAAAGGTGGTGCTAAGTGAAAAGTTCATAGCCATAAATGCCTACATGAAACAGTCTGAAAGAGCACAAATAGACAATATAAGGTCATACCTCAAGGAACCAGAAAAACAAGAACATTCCAAACCCAAATCCAGCATAAGAAAAGAAATAACCAAGATTAGAGCAGAGCTAAGTGAAATTGCAACAAAAATACAATAGATAAATGAAAGAAAATGCTGCTTCTATGAAAAAATAATGAAAATTGATAAACCTTTAGTGAGATTTACCAAGAAAAGGAAAGAAAAGAGCCAAATAGGCTCATTTAAAAAAGAAACAGGAGATATTACAACCAATTCCACAAAAATAAAAAAAAGATCATTCAGGGCTACTGTGAACATTGTTATGTGCATAAACTAGAAAATCTGGAAGAGATGGATAAACTCTTGGAAATATACAACCCTCCTAGATTAAAACAGGAAGAAATATAAACTCTGAACAGGCAAATAAAAAGCAACAGGATTGAAATGGTAATAAAAGAATTCCAACAACAAAAAAGTTTAGGACCAGATGGATTCACAGCTAAATCCTACCAGATATTTAATGAGGAATTGGTACCAATCCTATTGACACTATTCTACAAGATAGAGAAAAAGGAATTCCCCCTAAATCATTCTATAAAGCCAGTATCACTCTAATACCCACACCAGGAAAGGACATAACAAAAAAAAGAATGCTAGAGTCCAGTAACCCTGATAAATATAGATGCAAAAATCTTTAATAAAATACTAGCTAACAGAATTCAACAGCATATCAAACAAATAATTCACCATGATCAAGTGGGTTTCATATCAGAGATGCAGAAATGGTTCAACATCCACAAATCAATAAATGTGATAGAACACATAAACTGAATTAAAAACAAAAATCACATGATCAGCTCAATAGATGCTGAAAAAGCATTTGACAAAATCCAGCAGTTCTTTACGATTAAAGCCCACAGCAAAATCAGTATAGAAGGGACATAACTTAAGGTAATAAAGCCATCTATGACAAACCCACAGCCAACATAGTACTAAATGGGGAAAAGTTGAAAGCATTCCCTCTGAGAACTGGAAAAAAATGAGAAAGCCCACTGTCACCACTTCTATTCAACATAGTACTGGAAGTCCTAGCTAGAGCAATCAGACAAAAGCAAGAAATAAAGGGCATCCAAATTGAAAAAGAGGAAGTCAAATTGTCACTGTTTGCTGATGACTTGATTATATGCCTAGAAAACCCTAAAGACTCATCCAAAAATCATCTAGAACTGATAAATAAATTCAAAAAAGTTTCTGGATACAAAATTAAAGTAGACAAATTAGTAGCATTGCTATACACCAACATTGCCTAAGCTGAGAATCAAATCAAGAACTCAAGCCCTTTTACAATAGCTGCAAACAAACAACAAACAAAAACTTAGAAATATACTTAACTAAGGAGGTGAAAGACCTCTACAAGGAAAACTACAGAACACTGCTGAAAGAAATCATAGATGACACAAACAAATAGAAACACATCCCATGCTCATAAATGGGTAGAATCAATATTATGAAAATAACGACACTGCCAAAAGCAATCTACAAATTCAGTGCAATTTCCATCAAAATTCCACCATCTTTCTTCACAGAACTAGAAATAAATCCTAAAATTTATATGGAACAAACAAACAAACAAAAGCCCACACAGCCAATGCAAAACTAAGCAAAAATAACACATCTGGAGGCATATTACCTGATTTGAAACTGTGCTATAAGGCCATAGTCACCAAAACAGCATGCTACTGGTATAAAAATAGCCACATAGACCAATGGAACAGAATGAAGAACACAGAAATAAAGCCAAATACTTATGGCCAACTTATTTTTGACAAAGCGAACAAAAACATAAAGTGGGAAACGGATACCCTATTCAACAAATGGTGCTGGAATAATTGGCAAGCCATTGTAGAATAATAAAACTCGATACTTATCTCTCATCTTATATAAAAATCAACTCAAAATGGATCAAAGACTTAAATCTAAGTCCTAATACTATAAAAATTCCATAAGATAACATCACAAATACCCTTCTAGACATTGGCTTAGGCAAAGACTTCATTACCAAGAACCCAAAATCAAATGCAACAAAAACAAAAATAAACAGATGGGACATAATTAAACTAAAAAGCTTCTGCACGGCAAAAGAAACAATCAGCAGAATAAACAGACAAGCCACAGAGTGGGAAACAATTTTCACAATCTATACATCAGACAAAAGACTGATATCCAGAATCTACAAGAAACTTAAATCAGCAAGAAAACAACAAAGAATCTCATAAAAAAGTGAGCTAAGGGCCGGGCGCGGTGGCTCACACCTGTAATCCCAACATTTTGGTCAGCCAAGGTGGGTGGATCACGAGGTCAGGAGATTGAGATCATCCTGGTTAACATGATGAAACCCCGTCTCTACTAAAACTACAAAAAATTAGCCGGGAGTGGTAGTGGGCACCTGCAGTCTCAGCTACTCGGGAGGCTGAGGCAGGAGAATGGCGTGAACCAGGGTGTTGGAGCTTGTAGTGAGCCGAGATCGTGCCACTGCACTCCAGCCTGGGTGACAGAGTGAGACTACATCTCAAAAAAAAAAAAAAAAAAAGTGGGCTAAGGACATGAATAGACAATTCTCAAAAAAAAAGATATGCAAATGGACAACAAGCATGAAAACATGCACCACATCACTAATTATCAGAGAAATGCAAATCAAAACCACAATGTGATATCACCTTATTCCTGCAAGAATGGCTATAATCAAGAAATAAACAAATAATAGATATTGGCATGGATGTGGAGAAAAGGGAACACATTTACAATGCTGGTGGGAATGTAAACTAGTAAAACCGCTATGGAAAACAGTGTGGAGATTCCTTAAAGAACTAAAAGTAGAATTACCATTTGATTCAGCAACTTCACTGCTACATATCCACCCAGCGGAAAAGAAGTCATTATACAAAAAAGATACTTTTCCACAAATGTTTATAGCAGCACAATTAGCAATTGCAAAAATATGGAACCAGCCCAAATGCCCATCAATCAATGATTAGATGAAGAAATTGTGATAAATATATATATATATATATATATATATATATATATATATATATATATACACACACACACCATGGATTACTACTCAGCCATAAAAAGGAATGAAATAATGGCATTTGTGGCAACCTGGATGAAATTGGATGCCATTATTCTAAGTGAAGTAACTCAGGAATGATAAAAACCAAACATTGTATGTTCTCATTCATAAGCAGGAGCTAAGCTGTGAGGATGAAAAGGCATGATACAATGGTAAAAAGGAATGATAACAATGGACTTTGGGGACTTGGGTGAAAGAGTGTGAGGGGTTTAGGTACAAAAGATTATACATTGGTTAGTGTACACTGCTCAGATGATGGATGCACCAAAATCTCAGAAATCACCACTAAAGAACTTACCCATTTAATCAAACACCAGTTGTGCCCCAAAATTGTACTGAAACAAACAAAAAAATAAAGCAGTACCTGGCATATAAAAAAAGTAAAAATTAGAACTCTTTAATGCTCACATGTGATTCTGTAAGCATAATATTAACTATTGGTATTTTTAAATTGCCCTTAAAAAAGGAATGTGTAATCTGAATAAAAATAAAATAGAATAATATAAAATTCATATGGAACAAAAATTAGTCAAAATAGCCAAGGCAATGCTAAGACAAAGAACAAAGCTGGGGGCATCACATCACCTGATTTCAAACTATATTATAAGGCTGCTGTAACCAAAACAGCATGGTACTGGTAAAAAAAACAGACACATCAACCAATGGAACAGAATAGAGAGCCCAGAAATAAGCAGCACACCTACAACCATCTGATCTTTGAAAAAGCTTACAAAACAAAAAAATAGGGAAAGAATTCCCCATTCAATGAATGGTGGTGGGATAACTGGCTAGCCATATGCAGAATATCGGAACTGGATCCATATCTTACACCACATACAAAAATCAACTCAAGACAGATTAAACGCATACATGTAAAACTCCAAAATATAAAAACCCTGGAAAGTAACCTAGGAAATATCATTCTGAACATAGGATTTGTTTAAAATTTTATGATGAAAATTCCAAAAGCAATTGCAACAAAACCAAAAATTGACAAATGGGATCTAATTAAACTAAAAAGCTTCTGCACAGTAAAATAAACTATCAACAGAGTGAACACACAATGTACAGCATGGGAGAATGTATTTGCAAACTATGCATCTGACAATAGTCTAATGTCTGGCTTCTATAAGGACCTTAAACAAATTTGCAAGCAAAAAGCAAACAACCCTATTAAAAAGTGGGCAAAATTTATGAACAGAAACTTCTTAAAAAGAGACATACATGTGGCCAAGAAGCATATGAAAAAATGTTAAGCATCACTAATCATTAAAGAAAGGCAAATCAAAACCACGATGAGATACCATCTCAAACCAGTCAGAATGGTTATTATTAAACAGTCAAAAAATAACAGATGCTGCTGAGGTTTTGTAGAAAAGGGGATACTCATGCACTGCTGGCGGGAATGCAAATTAGTTCAACCATTGTGGAAAACAGTGTGGTGATTCCTCAAGAAACTTAAAAGAGAATTACCACTTGATTCAGCAATATCATTATTGGGTATATACCTAAAGGAATATAAATTATTCTGCCATGAAGACATGTCATGTGTATATTTGTTGCAGCACTATTCACAATAGCAAAGACATGGGATCAACCTAAATACGAATCGGTGGTAGACTCTATAAAGGAAATGTGGTGCATATACACCATGGAATACTATGTAGCCATAAAAAGAATAAAATCACATCCTTTGCAGCAACACGGATGGAGCTGAAGGACATTATCCTAAGGAAACTAACACAGGATCAGAAAATGAAAGACCTCCTGTTCTCATTTATAAGTGGGAGTTAAACAGTAAGAACACATGAATACTAGGAGGGAAACAACAGACACTGGGGCCTCCTTGAGGGTGGAGTGTGGTAGGAGAGAATGAATCAGAAAAAAAATACCTATTGGGTACTATGCTTATTACTTGGGTGATAAAATTATCTGTACACCATACACCTGTGACATGTATTATACCTATATATAAGAAACCTATACATGTATCCCTAAATCTAAAATACAAGTTAAAAATATATTCAATTAGTGAAGAAGGTGTAAATCTGCTGTGAACATTTTTATTAAAAATGTCCCCCAGGTTTATATCTAAATATCTGAAACAGATAAATAAAATATACCAACATTAAAATAAAATATAACAATACATGAAAAATAAGTGTGCAACTGTCTCTTCAGTAGAACCACAATAGCCTCCAAGTTAAATTCACACTCTGCCTCTTGCTATTTATCTGTAAACAAATTACAAAATAATCTTCTTTTACCCCTTTTTACTAGTATTGGCCTTACATTAATGGCAGGAGTGAGGAAAATCAAGTTCCTTCACAGTATAATCAATCTACTGTCTGAGATGCTGGGCATCAATTTTTTTCTGGGAACTGGTGGGATATCTCAAGTGTTAAATCATGAAAGATAACCTGAGATATGAGAAAATGGAGCAAAGCAAAGCAACTATAAGTAGTTTTTCTTTTCTCAATTTTTGATAGTCCCAAAGTCCTGGTCATGTCCTATATTTAGCTGCTGAGTTTTTTTTAAGTACTCATGCAAATCTGAAGAAAATATCTGTCACCCTGTAGGCCAATGTGTAGGACTCTAACTTGTCCTATCTGAGATGAGAGTAACTAGTTGGAGGACTCTGTCCTTTTAATCTCCAGAGCCCTTACATGTGAGGTAAGACAATTTTTTTTAAAGTAATATAGAAAGGGAAGCAAAAGAAACCTCATTTGTAGCTTTACATATTATCTTTTATTGTAGTGCAGATGGAGTCTCTGAAATCAGACAACACTTATTTCAAGTTCTATACTTACTCATGAGCAGTCAGAGAAGATGAGACTTAGCAGAGAGGCTTTAGGGTATCAGATCAATTTTGAGTGGGGAGATAAAACAGTTCTAGGTAGATCTGTGAGAATTTTATACAACATTTTTTTCAAGAAAAAAATGCTGACATTTACTCTAGGTGTCCTGAGCAGCTGTACCAGTAGTTCCACTGGAAGCAGTAGTCCAGTATCCTCTGAACACTGGAAAAGTTTAGGCCTGTGCTTTCTGCCAACCTAGAGTTTCCATGTATAAACAGTTAGTAGGAGTTTGGGGATATTACCTGCAGCTTCTCTCTGGAGAGCTCTAGAAACTATAGTGGAGAAGTCTTAAAGTGGGTGGCTGGAGCCTTTGGGTAACTGCAGGCTCCGGGTGCCTATAATAGAGTCTCATAATATACTACTTATAACATAGTTACAATATAGCCTCAAATACAGTAAACCCTTGAAGATGGTAGACTGCATTATTTTGAGATTGAAGACTGGCCCTGTCCCCAAGCCAGGGACTTTTCTTTAATTATTATTATTATTATTATACTTTAAGTTCTGGGGTACATGTGCAGAGCACGAAGGTTTGTTACATAGGTATACAAGCGCCATGGTGGTTTGCTGCACCCATCAACCCGTCATCTACATTAGATATTTCTCCTAATGCTATCCCTACCCTAGCCTCCCACCCCCCGACAGGCCCCAGTGTGTGTTGTTCCCCTCTCTGCATTCATGTGTTCTCATTGTTCACCTCGCACTTCTGAGTGAGAATATGCAGTGTTTGGTTTTCTGTTCTTGTGTTAGTTTGCTGGGAATGATGGTTCCCAGCTTCATCCATGTCCCTGCAAAGGACATGAACTCATCCTTTTTTATGGCTGCATAGTATTCCATGGCGTATATGTGCCACATTTTCTTTATCCAGTCTATCATTGATGGGCATTTGGGTTGGTTCCAAGTCTTTGTATTGTGAGCAGTGTCATAATAAATATATGTGTGCACGTGGCTTTATAGTAGAATGATTTGTAATCCTTTGAGTACATACCCAGTAATGGGATTGCTGGGTCAAATGGTATTTCCAGTTCTAGATACTTGAGGAATTGCCACACTGTCTTCCACAACGGTTGAACTGATTTACACTCCTACCAAGAATGTAAAAGTGTTCCTATTTCTCCACATCCTCTCCAGCATCTGTTGTTTCCTGACTTTTTATTGATCGCCATTCTAACTGGCATGAGATGGTATCTCATTGTAGTTTTGATTTGCATTTCTCTAATGATCAGTGATGCAGTGATAATGAACTTTTCTTCACATGTTTGTTAGCTGCATAAATGTCTTCTTTTGAGAAGTGTCTGTTCATATCCTTCATCCACTTTTTGATGGGGTTGTTTGTTTTTTTCTTGTAAATTTGTGTAAGTTTCTTGTAGATTCTGGACATTAGCCCTTTGTCAGATGGATAGACTGCAAAAATTTTCTCCCATTCTGCAGGCTGCCTGTTGCCTCTGATGATAGTTTCTTTTGCTGTGCAGAAGCTATTTAGTTTAATCAGATCCCATTTGTCTATTTTGGCTTTTGCTACCATTGCTTTTGGTGTTTTAGCCATAAAGTCATTGCCCATGCCTATGTCCTGAATGGTATTACCTAGGTTTTCTTCTACGGTTTTTATGGTTTTAGGTCTTATGTTTAAGTCTTTAATC
This sequence comes from Homo sapiens, assembly GCF_000001405.40. NCBI lineage: Eukaryota > Metazoa > Chordata > Mammalia > Primates > Hominidae > Homo > Homo sapiens. Next base: position 73,356,653 of record NC_000023.11, on the reverse strand, counting down.
CATCTGAGTTAATTTTAGTATAAGGTGTAAGGAAGGGATCCAGTTTCAGCTTTGATGGACCTTCTATTGTAGCCTGCAGTTTTTCTTCCCATGTAAGTAGATCTTTCCTGCAAATGCTGTCCTCTCTTCTCTACCAGAGGAGTTATCTTCCCCAACTACTGCTCTTTCTATCCCTTAACAGCAAGTCTTCCAGCTTAAATTCTATATATACTTTTCCTTTTAGCCAGGTTTTCTTCTGCAGTTTTTTGGTTTTCTCTCTCAGTCTGTATATATTATCTTTCAGCAATTAGATTCTTAGATATTGAACATGGAATCCCGCCCCCTTGGGAAAGTGAAGTTTTTTGTCTAGTAGGCAAGTGACCTCTTCCAATTGGTTCATTTTTTACCCTGGGAGGGTGGTTATATATTCAAGCTGGTGGCGTCTTCCACTAGGCAGAAAATTGCCATTTCCCCAGACAGGTAAATTCTCTCCTCAGGTTGTTGGGAGGTCTCCGCTCCAATAGTCATTATCTCCCCACAAATTGACGGGGCTCCTCCCTAGGCCTCTGGGGTCTTTTTAAAAAACGAATTGTCAATTTCTCTAAATAGACATTGAAGTCTCCTATTCTGCTAGAAGACCTTCTATCTCCACTATTGGTGCCTTTACACCTTCCAGAGAGCTAATGAGAAGTACTAGACCAAAAAGTCCAAGTTTGCCAGTGGAAAGAGACAAATATCTTTCAGACAGTTGGTGACAAGCATAAGTCTGCAGCCACGGAATTGCAGACAGTTTGTTTGGTGGTTGAAAGCAGCTTCCTTTCCCACCATGGATGTTTTTTGCTTGGGAGGGAAGTTCCAAGGGTATCTTTTCATACATAAAACCTATAAGATTTAGTCTAAAACAGGGCTTATTGCATGTGTAAATGTTTGCATGTGTGTTTTTATGTGTGAGTTGTGATAGGAGATTATGGATTATATGGGACTGACATAAGCTTTTCTTATTTATAGCAGCATCAACCTTTTAAAATATAAGCTCATTGAAAAACTATAACCTAAAGATAGAGTTAGCTAGAAAGATTATTTTTGGTAGTGCAATAAAAATATTTAAACAAATTATGATTTATTAAACCACTTTCAAGAATAATCTTGATGATAACAATAATCATATATTTAATTATACCCCAAACATTATCATAACCAAAATCAATCATATTCACTTATAATCAGCAAAATAATTGATAATCAGTTATTATAACATAATCATAACAACCCCTCAGATTGGTATATTATTCTATACTTTTCAAAGTAACATTATATCTTCTCATTACATCTTTACAACAGTCTTGAGTACCCACATGAGACTAAAGGGATTGTTAAGAAAGTAAAAGCCTGCATATTCTAGTGAGTTATTGTTGTCTGTTAATGTTATCTATAATTTAATATTCAGTCTCTAGATAAAATCAAATAATATAAAGGGTGTGAAATACCATATATATGTGTGCATGTGTATATATATGTATGTATGTATGTGTACATACCTATATACAGAGAATTATGATGGTTACCTGAATTGATTTATTTGCATAAATATTACTTATGGACATTAGAAATTTCCTATGCATAGGCATATGTAGAAAAGGAAACATTAGCAATCTAAACCTACTTTGAATGATAGAGTAATTTTTATTATAACAAAGTGGGGGATGAGAAAAGAGAAGAAGGTTAGTAATAAGAATTAGTATATAGGGACAAATATATTTCTTTAATTTTAATTTTAACTTATTTACTTTCCACTCAAACTTATGTATTTGTTTATTTCAAATTGACAGATAAAATTTCATGTAATTATTGTGTACTTGAAATATTTATTCATGAGACAAAGCCAAGATGGCTGATGCAGCCAGGAGAAACATGTTCCACTGCGAGACTGTGACTTCAGGAACACTAGCATACTCTGAGCAGATCTTCAGAGGGAAAGCGTTGAGAGTGAATGGAGGAAGGATGCAGACACTTAACTGAAGGGGAAGAAATCTTGGAACTCTGCATGGGGCTGCTGAGCATCAGGAGCTGCTCCTGGCCCCCAGTGACTCCTGGGGAAGAAGTGAGTTGAACAGGCAAGAAGTGTCCCACTCTCACCATGGACCTCCAGAATCTTAAATTCTCCAGAATCAGGAGAATCCACACCCCTAGGCACTTGGAATGAAAGTGGGAGCTTCTTAAAGAGGTGGCAGGGGCAAGAATCCAGCCTATGCAGAGCCATGAGAATTTGGCACAAGAAAAGCTGCAGTGCAGCATGGCCAGGGACACCCATCACCCAAGGCTCACCATGCTTCACTTTGAGACTTCAGATTTAGGTTGACTGTTAGACCGGAACAGAGCAGGGCAGTCTTGCTCATGGGATGGGGCAAGTCTGATCTAAGCAGCTCCCATCTGCCAGCCTCTCTTGGGACCCCAGCCTGTGCTACAACCTTCTTGCAGCACAGTCTTGGATGCCCAACCAGGGTGCTTCCTGGGGGCCCTCATCATACCTCTTTCACCAACATACTGCACATAACTGTCAGAGATCCAGCAGACTGGCCCCTCCTGATGCAACCAGCCCACCTGCAGCCTTCCATTATAGCCTCTTCTGCCACTTAGACATCACACACTCACCGATGGCACTATCCACCAACCACTTTGCTGGAATGTGCATGTGGGCAGACCTTGCTTCCCCTACCTCAATGGTGCATGTGTATGCATGCACCCTGCCACCCCACTGCATAGGAGTGAGCACAACTCACCATCCTCCTTACCCCCAGTGGCAATCTGTCCCTGCTGAGGCACAGGCAGCCTGTCACACCACTACTGATGCTACTGCAAGTGCATTTACAAACACCGGAACCCCACTCACAACAGAACCCCACTTCTGCCATGCCACCACCGCCAGTGTGAGTACCTCCATGTATGCCCGTGCCCCCACACCAACAAGCACTCTGGTCTCACTGCACTGTTGCCACCACGAGCACAAATGTGTGCATGGACAGTGGTGCCCCGCCACTACCCCGCTCCCACTTATGCCACACCACTGCCAACAGGCAGACATTTTGCCATGCTGCCAGTGCAAAAACGTACATGAACATCACTGGCCTGCTCCCACTGGTGCCTAGTCCCAGTTGGCACATGTGCACTCCCACATGCCACTGTGGCTGCTGGTATGCATGAGAAAGTTGCAGATCTCACTGCCACTGTCTCCAAGAAGCACATTGGCTTTCATTCTCCATTCAAGTGTTGGGCCAGCAGACCAGGAAGATCTTGGCCCTTCCAGCACAGCAGGTTCCTAACACAGTTCTCTCCCATGGAGCCAGATAACAAAGCTAGAGGCCTGGTATCAGTGCCCAACAGTTACAGCATGCAACCCAGGAGTGCTGAGCTGAGATTTGACTTCCTGAAATCTCTCACAATAGAAGCCAGTCAACTGAACCTACCTTATACCACAATCAAACCACCAAGGACATCAAAAAAGATAAAAGCAAAAAATTATATCCAAAGGAGAGCACTTTCAAAAGTGAAAAAATAAATCAGTTCACACAGATGAGAAAAAACCAGAGCAAGAAACCTGGCAACTCAAAAAGCCAGAGTATATTCTTAACTACAAATGACTGTGCTACTTCCCAGCAACGGTTCTTAACCAGGCTGAAATGACAGACATAAGATTCAGAATATGGATAGGAGCAAAGATGATCAACATACAAGAGAAAGTCAAAGCCCAATCCAAGGAATATAAGGAATACAATAAAACAACACAGGAGCTGAAAGATGCAATGGCCATTTTAAGAAAAAACAAAACTGATCAGTTAGAGCTAAAAAATCCACTACAATAATGTTATAATACAATTGCAAGTATTAGCAGAATAATAGACCAAGCTGAGGAAAGAATCTCAGTGCTTGAAGACTGGCTCTATCAATTAACTCAGACAAAAATGAAGAAAAAAAGATTAAAAAGAATGAAAAAACAGAAATACGGGATTATGTAAAGACACCAAATCTATGATGCATTAGTATCCCTGAAAGAGAGAGAGAAAGCAGGCAACTTGGAAAACATGTTTGAGGATATCGTTCATAAAAATTTTCTCAGCCTCACTAGAGAGGCAGACATTTAGATTCAGGAAATGCACAGAACTCCTGTGAGATACTATACAAGACAACCATACCCAAAAAACATAGTCATCAGATATTTAAAGATCAACATGAAAGAAAAAAAAATAAAGGCAGCTAGCATTCTTAAAGAAAAGAAACTCCAACTAGGAATTTTATATCAAGTCAAACTAAGCTTCCTAAGTGAATGAGAAATAAGATCCTTTATAGAGAAGCAAATGCTGAAGAAATTTGTTACCACCAGGACTACCTTACAAAAGGTCCTAAATAGAGTGCTAAATATGGAAAGGAAAGACTTACTGGCCACCACAAAAACAGAGTTTAGTGCATAGACCATTGACATTATAAAGCAACTACACAATGAAGTCTGCATAATAACCAGCTAAAAACTCAATGGCAGGATCGAATCCACACATATCAATATTAACCTTGAATGTAAATGCACTAAACATCCCAATTAAAAGACAGAGTGGCAAGTTGAATAAGGAAGCAAGACCTAAATGTATGCTGTCCTCAAGAGATCCATCACACATGCAATGACACCCATGGGCTCAAAGAAAAGGAATGGTAAAAACAAACAAACAAACAAACAAACAAACAAACAAACTACCAAGCAAATGGAATACAGAAAAAAGCAGGGATTGTTATTCTTATTTCAGACAAAACATATTTTAAACCAAAATGGACATAAAAGACAAAGAAGGGCATCACATAATAGTAAAGGGCTCAATTCAACAAGAAGACTTAACTATCCTAAATATGTATGCACCCAACCCAGGATCACCCAGATTCATGAAGCAATTTTTAGAGACCTATGAAGAGGTTTAGATAACCACACAATAATAGTGGGAGACTTTAATACCCCACTGACAATACTAGACAAATCATTCAGGCTGAAAACTAAAAAATATTTGGGACCTGAACTCAACACTTGGCAAAATGGACCTAACAGACATGCGCAGATCTCTCCACCCCAAAACAACAGGATATACATTCTTCTCATCTGCACAGCACACATACTCTAAAGTTCACCAAACAATCAGTGATAAAAAATTATCAGCAAATTAAAAAAAACTAAAATCATACCAACCACACTCTCAGACCACAGCAGAGTAAAAATAGAAGCAGACTAAATAGATTGCTCAAAACCATACATTACGTGGAAATTAAACAACCTACTTCTGAATGACTTTTGGGTAAACAATGAAATTAAGGCAGATGTCAATAAATTATGTGAAACTGGTGAAAACAAAAATAAAACATACCAGAATCTCTGGGTCACAACTAAAGCAATGTTAAGAGGAAAGTTTATAGCACAAAATGCCTACGTTAAAAAGGTAAAAAGATATCAAGTTAACAACCTAACATCACACCTAGAGAAACTAGAGAAACAAGAGTAAACCAACACCCAAAGATAACAGAAGGCAAGAAATAACTAATATTAGAACTGAACTGAATGAAACTGAGATGTGAGAAGCTTTTCAAAACATCAGCAAAACCCAAAGTTTGTCTTTTGAAAGAATAAATAAGATTGATGAACTGCAAGCTGGACTAATAAACCAAAAAAGAGAGAAGATTCAAATAAACAATCAGAAATGACAAGGAGGACATTACCACTAATCCCACAGAATTATGAAACACCCTCTGAGACTATTATTAACACCTCTATGCACACAAACCAGAAAACCTACAAAAAGCAGATACATTTCTGAAAACATACAACCACTCAAGATTGAACCAGGAAGAAATTGATACCCTGAACAGAGGTTCAAGATATCCAATGAGTTCCAAAATTGGACCAGTAATAAAAAGCCTACCAATAAGAAAAAGCCCAGGACCACATGGATGCTCAGCTAAACTCTACTAGATATATAAAGAAGAGTCGGTATCATTTCTACTAAAATTATTCAAAAAACAAGTGGAGGGACTCATTTCTAACTCATTTTATGAGGTCAGCATCATTCTGATACCAAAATCTGGCAGAGCCAAAAGAAAAGGAAACTTTAGTACAATATCACTGATGAATATAGATGCAAATATCCTCAACAAAATATTAGCTAACCAAATCCAGCAGTACATCAAAAGCTAAATCAGCTCGATTAAGTAGCCTTTATTCCTAGGATGCAAGGTTGTTTCTACATAAGCAAATCAATAAGTGTGATTCATCACATAAAAAGAACTTAAAAAAATGATAATCTCAATAAAGGGTAATTTATAAAGGAAAGAGGTTTAATTGACTCACAGTTCTGCATGGCTGGGGGGCCTCAGGAAACTTGCAATCATGGTGGAATGGGAAGAAAATATGTCCTTCTTCACATAATGGCAGGAAGGAGAAGTGCCAAGCAAAAGGGAGAAAAGTCCCTTATAAAACCATCAGATCTCATGGGAACTCACTCACTATCACAAGAACAGCAGCATGAGAGTAACCACTCACATAATTCAATTACCTCCCACTGGGTCCCTCCTGCAACACATGGGGATTATGGGACCTACAATTCAAGATGAGATTTGGGTGGAGACACAGCCAAATCATATCATTTCACCTCTGGCCCCTAACTCAGAAGTCCACAGTCCAGTCGCATCTGAGAGAAAGCAAGTCCCTTCCACCTATGAACCTGTAAAATCAGCAAGTTAGTTACTTCCTAGATACAATGGGGTTACAGACATTGGGTAAATGCATCCATTCCAAATGGGAGAAATTGGCCAAAATGAAGAGGCTATAGGCCCCATGCAAGTCTGAAATTGTGTGAGGCAGTCAAATCTTAAAGCTCCTAAATGATCTCCTTTGACTCCATGTCTCACATGCAGGTCACACTGATGCAAGAGATGGGTTCCCATGGTCTTGGGCAACTCTGCCCCTGTGGCTATGCAGGGTACAGCCCCCCTCCAAGCTGCTTTCATGGGGTGGCATTAAGTGTCTGTGGCTTTTCCAAGTGCATGGTGAAAACTGTTGGTAGATCTACAATTCAGGAGTCTGGAGGATGGGGGCTTTCTTCTCACAGCTCCACAAGGCAGTGCCCCAGTGGGGACTCTGTGTGGGGGCTCCAACTCCACATTTCCTTTTTGCACTGCTGTAGTAGAGATTCTCAATGAGGACTCCATCCCTGCAGCAAAATTCTGCCTGGACTTCCAGAGATTTCCATATATCCTTTGAAATCGAGGTGGAGGTTCCCAAACCTCAATTCTTAACTTCTGTGCACCACAGGCTGAATGCCATGTGGAAGTTTCCAAGGCTTGAAGCTTGCACTCTCTTAAGCCACAGCCCAAGCTGTACCTTGGCCCCTTTTAGCCACAGCTGGGATGCAAGGCGCCAAGTCCCAAGGCTGCACAAAGCAGCAACACCCTGGGCCTGGCCCATGAAACCATTTTTTTTTCTTTTGGACCTCTGGGCCTGTAATGGGAGGGGCTGCTATGAAGAATTCTGACATGCCCTGGAGATATTTTCCCCTTTGTCTTGGTGATTAACATTTGGCTTTTTATTGCTTATGTAAATTTCTGCAGCTGGCTTAAATTTCTCCCCAGAAAATGGGTTTTTCTTTTCTATCATATCATCAGGCTGCAAATTTTTCAAACTTGTATGCTCTGCTTTCTTTTTAAACATAAGTTCCAATTAGAAACTGTATCTCTGTGAATACATAAAACTGAATGCATTTAACAGCACGCAAGTCACCTCTTGAACAGTTTGCTGCCTAAACATTTCTTCCATTAGATACCCTAAGTCATCTCTCTCAAGTTCAAGTTTCCACAGATCTCTAGGGCAGGGGCAAAATGCCACCAGTCTCTTTGCTAAAACATAGCAAGAGTCAATTTTATTCCAGTTCCCAAGACTGGAATAAAATTCCTCATCTCATCTCCATCTGAGACCACCTCAGCCAGGGCGACTTCCTTGTGCATATCACTATCAGCATCTTGGTCAAAGCCATCCAACAAGTCTTTAGAAAGTTTCAAACTTTTCCATACCTTCCTGTTTTCTTCTGAGCTTTCCAAACTGTTCCAACCTCTGCCTGGTACCCAGTTCCAAAGTAATTTTCACATTTTTGGGTATCTTTACAGCAGCACTACATTACTTGGTGCCAATTTACTATATTAATTCATTCTCATGCTGCTATTAAGAACTGTCCAAGACTGGGTAAGTTATAAAGAAAAAAGGTTTAATTGACTCACAGTTCTGCATGGCTGGGGAGGACTCAGGAAACTTACAATCATGGCAGAAGGGGAAGCAAACACATCCTTCTTCATGTGATGGCAGAAAGGAGAAGTGCTGAGCAAAAGGGAGAAAATTCCCTTATAAAACCATCAGATCTCGTGAGAAATCACTTACTATCACAAGAAGAGCAGCATGAGGGTAACCACCCCCATGACTCAATTACCTACCACGGAGACCCTCCTATGACAGGTGGGGATTATTGAAGCTACAATTCAAGCTGAAATTTTGGTGGGGACAAAGCCAAACCATATCAATGCTGAAAGGGCTTTCAATAAAATTCAGCATCACCTCATGTTTAAAACCCTCAACAAACTAGGTATTGTAAAAACATACCTCTAAATAATAAGAGCCATCTATGACGAACCCACAGCCAACATCATACTAAATGGGAAAAAGTTGGAAATATCACTCTTGAGAATTGGAACACAACAAGGATGCCCACCTTCACCACTCCTATTCAACATAATACTGGAAGTCCTAGCCAGAGCAAAATACTGGAAGTCCTAGCCAGAGCAATCAGGCAAGAAAAAGAAATAAAAGGCATCCAAATAGGAAGAGAGAAAGTCAAACTCTCTTTTTGTAGACTTTGTGACTCTATACCTCTGACAACCTCCTAGCTGAGGGCAAAATCAAGAATACAATCCCATTCACATTAACCACAGAAAGCATAAAATATCTAGAAATACAGCTAACCAGGGAGGTGAAAGATCTCTATAAAACAATTACAAAAAAATCTGAAAAAAATAAAGGATACAAACAAATGGAAAAACATTCCCATGTTTAGGATAGGAAGAATCAATGTTGTAAAAATGGCCACACTACCCAAAGAAATTTACAGATTCAACGCCATTTCTATCAAACTACCAATGACATTCTTCACTGAATTAAAAACAAAATTATTCTAAAATTCATGTGAAACTAAAAAGGAGCCCAAGTAGCCACAGCTATTGTAAGCAAAAAGAACAAAGCAGGAAGCATCACATTAACTGACTTTAAACTATACTACAAGGCTGCAGTAAACAAAACAGCATGGTACTGGTACAAAAAGAGACACAGGAACCAATGCAACAGGTTACAGAGGCCAGAAATAAAGTGACACCTGTAAAACCATCTGATCTTTGACAACATTGACAGAAGCAAGCCATGAGGAAAGGACTCCCCATTCAATAAAGAGTGCTGGGATGATTGGTTAGCCATATGCAGAAGATTGAAACTGGACTCCTTCTTTACATCATATACAGAATTCAACTCATGATGGATTAATGTCTTAAATGTAAAACGTAAAATTATAAAAACTCTTGAAGAAAACCTAGAAAATACCAATCTGGACTTAAGCTCTGGCAAAGATTTCATGATGAAGATACCTAAAGCAATTATAACAAAAACAAAAACTGACAAATGGGACCTAATTTAACCAAAGAGCTTCTGTGCATTGACTGTTTACTCTGTCAATAGTTTCTTCTGTGCAGCAAAAGAAGCTATTGACAGAGTAAACAGTCAACACACAGAATAGGTAAAAATATTTGCAAACTAAACACCTGACAAAGGTCTAATATTTAGAATTTATAAGAAATTAAATAAATTATCAAGCAATAAACAATCACATTAAAAAGTGGGCAAAGGACATAAACAGATGCTTCTCAAAAGAAGACATACCTGCAGCCAATAAACATATAAAAAATGATTAACATCAACAATCATTAGAGAAATGCAAATTAAAACCATAATGAGATATTATCTCACACCAATCAGAATGGCTATTACTAAAAAGTCAAAAAATAACAGATGCTTGCAAGGTTGCAGAGAAAAGGTAACATTTTACACTGCTTGTGGGACTGTAAATTAATTCAGCCACTGTTGAAAGCAGTTTGGTGATTTCTCAAAAAACTTAGAACTCACATTTGTCCCAGCCATCTCATTATTGGGTATTATTGGGTATCCCAAAGGAATATAAATTGTTCTACCATAAAGACACATGCACACATATGTTAATTGCAGCAGTATTCACAATAGCAAATACGTAGAATCAACCTAAATGTCCATCAGTGGTAGACTGGAAAAAAGGAAATGTGGTACATATATACCATGGAATACCATGCAGTCATAAAAAAGATTGAGATCATGTCCTGTGCAACAATGTTGATGGTGCTGGAGTTTATTATCCTAAGCAAACTAACACAGAAACAGAAAAGCAAATATCACATATTCTCATTTATAAATAAGAGCTAAACCTTGAGTACACATGGACAAAAAGAAGGGAATAGATACCAGGGCTTACTTGTGGGTGGAGGGTAGAAAGAGTGTGAATGAAAAAACTAACTGTTGAGTAACATGGAATTTGACTATATAAAAAACTTGCACATGTACCCCGACACTAAAAGTTAAAAACAACAAACAAAAACCTCAAAGATGTACTTATTTGAAGTAGCATATATACATTGTTAAATGATTAAATCTCGCTAATTCAAATTTGCATTATTTCACATAGTTTTTTTCCTTCTATTTTTAGTTGATAGTAATTATACATATTTATGTGGCATTTCAATACATGTATACAATTTGTAGTGATCAAATTAGTGCAATTTGTATATACATCACCCAGAATATTTATCATTACTTTGTGTTGTGCATATTTGCAATCTTTTTTCTAGCATTTAAAAAATATAAAATAAATTATTATTATTATTATTTTGAGACCGAGTCTCACTCTGTCGCCCAGGCTGGAGTACAGTGGCGCGATCTCAGCTCACTGCAAGCTCTGCCTCCCGGGTTCACGCCATTCTCCTGCCTCAGCCTCCTGAGTAGCTGGGATTACAGGTGCCTGCCACCACGCCCGGCTAATTTTTTTTTGTATTTTTAGTAGAGACACGGTTTCACCATGCTAGCCAGGATGGTCTCGATCTCCTGACCTCATGATCCACCCACCTCAGCTTCCCAAAGTGCTGGAATTACAGGCATAAGCCACTACGCCTGGCCACAATAAATTATTAATCATGTTTACCCTACAGTGCTACAGAACAGAACTTATTCCTCCCATCTAGCTGTAACTTTAAACCCATTAAACAACCACTTCCTCTCCCCTACCCTTCCCAGTCTGTAGTGACCACTATTCTAGTCTCTACTTTCACGTAGTTATCATTTTTGTAATGAGACCATTTAACATAAACTCTCTTAGCATTTTTCAAGAATACGATATGTTGTCATTAACTGTAGTCATCATGCTATACCAGGGATCCATTGAATTTATTACTCCTATCTTACTGTAACATTGTATCCTTTGACCAACATCTCCTCAACCCTCCTCAGCCCCATGACAATTGCCACATCCTCTGATAACCACCCTTATCCTCTCTGTTTCTATAAGATCAACTTTTTTACATTCCACATATGAGTAAGATCCTTGAGTACTTGTATTTCTGTGCCTGGCTTATTTCACCTATATAATGTCCTGTAGGTTCATCTATGTTGTTGCAAATAACAGAAATTCCTTTTTTTATGGCTGACCAGTATTTCACTGTGTATATATACCATAGTTTTTAATCCATTCATCCACCGATGAACACTTAGTTTGATTCCCTATCTTGGCTATCATGAATAATGTGGCAGCAAAGATGAGAATGAAGATATCTCTTTGACATACTGGTTTTATTTCCTTTGAAAATATACCTAGTAGTGGGATTGCTGGATCACTTGGTACTTCTATTTTTATTTTTTTTGAGGAATTACCATACTGTTTCCCATAATGTCTGTACATAATGACTATGCATTATTCCCACCAACAGCGTACTAGGGTTCTCTTTTCCCTAAGTTTTCACCAACATTTGTTATTTTGTCTTTTTGATACTAGCTATTCTAATGGGAGTGAAGTGATAGCTCATTATGGTTTTGATTTGCATTTCCCTGATGATTAGTGATGTTGAGCATTTTTTCACATACCTGTTAGTCATTTGTATGTCTTCCTTTGAGAAATGTCTATTCAGGTCCTTTTTCTATTTTAAAATTGGGTTATTTGTTTTCTTTCTGAGTTGTTGAGTTCTTTGTGTAATATAGATATAAACTCCTTATCAGATGTATACTCGGTAAATATTTTGTGTCATTCTGCAGGCTGTTTCTTCATTCTGTTTATTGTTTCCTTTGCTATACAAGTCTTTGATTTTTTAAAAAAATTGTAAAACAATCTTCTTAAACTCCTGAATCTACCACCATCGGTTTAGTGAGTTCTTTCTTATTTATTTCTCAAGTTATTTATTGTCTCTCTTTGGAAGTATAACTTAATCTTTACAATTATAACTGTACTTTTGGACACTAAATGAAACTTAGAAAAGTGACTATTCACCACCAAGCAGAACTTTTCTCTCTTTTTTACAAATCAAAGATAAGACAACAGTTTGGATGATTAAAATGTATTTTTAAAACTTCACATATCTAAAAAAGTATCATTGCCAGACAGGCTACAGTTCGATACTAGTGTTCTGATTTACATTCTTGATCTTTTAATTTAAAATTTTTTTCTATAGAATTTCTTTATGTTATTGGTCATCATATCATTTTTATTATGATGATGGAATAGCTTAAAATACAGGACTCAGCTACATTACAAGTGTGACTGTTAGGTAGATGATGGCTTCATCGTTGTTTCGTATCTTTTCAGCAATGTTAGAAATAGTGAAAGTTTGCCTGGGTTGTAGTGCATGCACACGTGTGTGTGTGTGTGTCTTTTTAAAAGAAAGCTGTAGACTTGTTTGAAGCAAGAAGTAGTTTAATCATTAAAATTTTAGTGGTCTTCAAGAAACTCTGATATTCTGAGATTGAGGACTCTGGCAGGATGGAGTAATGCCAAAACTCAAGAATTCAGTTCTTAAAATTAAGCATATGGGTAATTGGACTAGGAAGACTTTAAGACATTCTCCAATCCCGAGATTCTATGAGATCGCTCCTGACTTCAAAGAGGATTTGGAGCAGTAGAAAGTCACTGAGTCTATTTGAAGATAAAACTCACAGTGTTGGCCTTCCAATAATAGAGCTCAATTTAATATATTATTACATGTAGAAGAATTGAACACTTATCTTAATTTTAACTGTCTGGCAACAGGCCACACTATTGCTTATTATTTCAACTTTCTTAGCTGCAAAATGGGTGATTTCTCTCAAATTTTCCAGGAGGTACTGTGAGAGGACTCTTCATCACTATGTGGCCCCCTGGGGGTAAGAAGGTGCATTCCCCACTGGGATGTTAAGTCATTTTCCTGCCCCTCTTATTTCCTCATTTATTCAATATGAAGGTGACACTCATCCATTCCCACTAAAGAGCTCTTAAAGACAAGCCTAAGACTAAGCTTCTTTTGAGTGCTAATGTTTCTTTCTTTGTCCAGGAATTATGTGATCTAAGAAAATAGCTTCCGATTTTGTCTAGAGGGTTTGAGGTTTTGCCTATCATATTGGAGCAACAGACTCTTAACATTTCACATGGCTTTGATATGCAGCAGGGTTCCACCCCACTCCTTCTTTCTTCAGAGGTTATATGGCAGGAAAAGGTGAGAATATTCACAGCAAATAAAAAGGGCTATCCTAGTTTTTATTGTTCTCAAGAAAAAACAAAACAGAAGAGAAGTGTTTATGACTCATAGGTTACAATGGAATAAACCCTACCAGTTCCTTTCTCTCATCAATTTGGGCCTCGTCTCCAATGAATACAGAACTGAGGAAGGTCTAACAATCTCCAGAAGATGTGCATTCTGATCTTTTTTATCTGAAGAACACAGAGAGGAGAGAGAGTGGGTTGTTTGGGAAAAAGGCCCTCATATTCATAAGAAAATGAAAAACTGGATGGCAATGTTATCTGCCATACTTTCACAACTCTCACTTGTCTCTATTTTTGCCCTTTGGTGAGAAGGGGGTTGAAAATGATGAAGAATGCCTGTGCAAATGAGTTTGTGAGTTTCTCTGAGTAGTTTTTTTGGTTTTGCTTGTCTGAGTTTTAAGGGTATAAAAAAATTGGGAGATGACTTTAGAGATTCAGGAGAAAGACCATAGATTTTATTGCAAAATCGGAAGGCATTTCCTAAATCAAAAGCATTGTTATAAGGGGAAATCCAAAGAAGCAATACAGCACCCTCGGTTGACCGTTTGCTAAACAAACACTTTATAGTCTCAGGGACCTGAAATCCTTGACAGTTTCTAGATGACTTAAAACTTTATGCAGTGCTTTTCTTGCACCATATTTTTCATAATCTCAGAGAGACTCATATATTAATGGCTTAGGAAGTGAAAGAAGGAAAGAAAAGAAAATGATAGATGGACTGTCATCTGATCTAATACAGAGGTGTGTGCTTCTCCAATTTTACAATGTTTTCTTTCAGCTTTCTCTATTATCTTTCCTGTCTCCCATTACTTTGCTCATTTCTCCTTTCTTTTTCTCTTTACTCCTGCTCCCTTTTAACCTCGTTTCTAAGCCAGGAACTATGCTCAGTCTTTCAAGCTTCCCACTTGTCCTTCAAGGAGAAAGGTCTAGCCCAAGCTCTGCCATTTAGACAATTTTATATTTATGTAACTATCCCAGGTTCCTCATCTATAAAGCAAGGAATTTGGACTTTGAGGGAAATTACCATATAGATACTCTCTGAACATGTGCTTCTGATTAAGGTATGGAATATGTGAAAAAATGAGAAATTAGGGTAAATCAAAATTGAATATATTAGAAGTGCTGATGTGACTACTTTTTCAAACAGGTTGTCTGTACAAGACATAAAAGGCTGGAATTAGAAAAATGATTTATCTACAACTGTATTACTTGCCCAAAGAAGACTTAACTAGTTACCATTCTATGGTTTACTGAGAAGTGGGCAGAGTAAAAATAACATTTATCTTTCAGTATTATAATAGTTGTCACTGGGGAATCAGCAGAGGACTGATGTGAGAGGGGAAAGTTAATAGCAATCTTTAAGTATGTAAATAGTTACCATGTTATCACGGGTAAACATTGAAGTATGCTGTAGTATATTCCTTATAGACTCATTTACAAAAAGAAGGCTCTTATTTGGCTGGGAAATTTATGTGTGCTATGCCTTCGGATAGGGATTTAATGGTTTCTAAACCTGGTCATATATTTGGGATAATTTTATAAAAATACACATTTCTCAACTCCACCTCAGCCCCAGTGAATTGGAATTTCAGGCTTAAAATGAACAAACAAACAGCATCTTGCTATTTTTATGTCTCTGCAGTCTTCTGTTTTTTCTATAGCTTAGGATAGCTGCCAGAGTTGTGTGAAAGTTGTTTCTCCTATTTCTGTACAGGTGAAAGTCTGGTTCCAGAAATGTTGTTTAAGTAAAATTCAAATTAAACTGGATGTCTTGTATTTTATATGGCAACCCTACCATAGCAGCCTCTGTCCTAGAAAGAAACCTCCCAAGTTTATGCTTCTTGTCAATAATTCCAGGGTGAATTCTCATGAAGGTAAAATTCCTAGAATAAATGTTCCTAGAGGTAACGTTTCCAACAACAACATAGTAGTGCAGCTTCTAGAAATAATGCTCTCAGAATCAGTGCCCTGAGAGACAAAGTTCCCAGAATCAGCATTCCAAAAAAAAAAAAATGTTCTTAAGAATAAGATTTCTTAGAAAAATGTTTGATAATTATGTACTTGAGGGAAAAGATTCCCCCAAACAAGTGTAGCTATTGTGGTTATGTCTTAAAATCTGACCAAATGGTGTATTTTATCTGAAATACAATTATCTGGATACAGTTCACCTGAGGAGAGGTGAGCAGTTACCATCTGTCTACTTTTTCTTGTATATGCTTATTGTAGAAAAATAAACTTGTAGTTTCTTTTTCTGAAATGTCTGTTTAAGTCTTTTTCCCTTTTAAATTGTCTGATTTTACTTTGAAGTGTAAGAGTTCTTTATGTATTTTAATACACATCCTTTGTTTTGAATATGTTTAGGGATTATGTTTTTCTGGTCTACAATATTCTTCTTCACTTTCTTAATAGTGTCTTTTGAAGAAATAGATTATTTTAAATTTTGATGAATTTCAATATATCAGTCTTTATAAATGTTTTGCTTCTAAATATCTTACCCTCTCCAAAAATTATTAAGAAATTTATAATTTTTGTTCTGCAAGCTCTACTGTTATACCTTTTATATTTAAGTCTATGAATCAACTCGAATCACTTTTTTGTGTATGGTACAAGGTAGGAATCAAGGTTTATTTAAAAATATAGACATCTAATCCAACACAGCTTACTGAAAAGACAAAACCTTCTCCACTGTAGCGCAGAAGATGTTTTAAGGTAAATAAGTTATCTGTGTAACTATGGGTTTATTTCTGGGCACTATTCCATGACATTGGTCTTTTGTCTCTACTCTGTCTGTTGGTTTCCTTTGGTCTGTTTGTCTCTATTCTGTATACTGGTTTATTCTTCCAACCCCAAACACACTGTTTTAGTTACTGTAGAGTAATCATAACTCTTGATATAGTGTAAGTACTCCAACATTGTTCATTTTAAGATTGTCATGGCAAATGGTTTTGTCATACATAATTTGGAATAAGCTTGATACTTTTTAACAACAGTAATCACATTTAAATTTTATTTGGAATTGCATCAGATATAGAAATCAATTTGAAGAGTATTGACATAATAATACTGAGTTTCAGAATCCATGAACATGATATGTATCTTCAGTTATCGAAGTCTTTTTAAATTTATCTTGGCAATCATTTATATTAATAGTTTTCAGTGTAAAGAGATTATAACTACTAGGTATTTGCTGGTTTTTATTCTTTAGCAAACGGTATTTTTATGGCAATATTAAGGGATAATTGACATACAATAAACATTACATAATATGTACAATTCATGTACTTTGTCATATGCAAACATTCTTGAAATTATCATCACAACAAATTAACAAATTTATAACATTTCAAAGTTCTTTATACTCCTTTTGTACTCCCTCTCTTCCTCCACTCCATCTTTATTCAGCCACAAAACTGCTCTCTGTAATTACATATATTTGTATTTTCTAGAACTTTTATAAATAAACTGATTCAGTACTTTTTTGTGTTTTACTTGTTTTACCCTTTATAGATATTATGAGATTGTCATTGGTGCTCTCACATATATTATTAGTTTGTTTCTTTTTATGCTGAATGGTAGAACATTGTCTGGATATACCACTATTTCTGTACCTGTTTACCTGTTGACAGACGTTTTGAGTTGTATCAATTTTTCAATTATTACAAATTAAAGTTCTTTGACTATCAATGTAAAGTATTAATGCAGACATATGCTTTCTTCCTCTTGGGTAAATATTATTAGTCAAAATATATTGTAAAATAATATAATATAACCAAAGTGTTGGTTGTACGATAAGTGCAATTTAATTTAAAATTGTTTCTTGTAAACCACCAAACTTTACTAAAGTGATTGCAAAATTTTACAATTTCATCAGCAGTGTATTTTTTTTAAAATTTACATTTATCTTCAAATTTTTATTTACATTTTATTATTTTTAATTGACACATAATAATTGTAAATATTTGTGGAATACAGAGTGTAATTGTAATTGTAAATATTTGTGGAATACAAGTTTTGATACTTGTAATGTAAAGTAATAGTAATTATCATATCCATCACTTCAAACATTTATCAATCATTTCTTTGTGTTGAGAACATCAAAATCCTCCCTTCAGCTATCCAAAAGTATATAATAAATTATTGTTAACTGTAGTCATCCTACAGTCTTATAGAATATTAGAAATTATTTCTTCTATCTAGTTGTAATTTTGTGTACTTTAACCAATTTTTTTCTGTCTTCCTTTACCCCTACCTTTCTCAGTCTCTAGTAACTGCTGATCTACTCTCTACTCATATGAGATCAAATTTTGTAGCTTCCAAGTGTGAGAGAGACTATGCAGTATTTATATTTCTGTTCATGACTTATTTTACTGACCTCGAGGCTTATGCATGTTGCCACAAATTCCAGGATTTCATTATTTTTATGGTGGAATAGTATTCCATTGTGTATATGTACATTTTCTTTATCCATTCATCTGTTGACAAACACTTAAGTTGGTTTCATATCTTATCTTGGCTATTGTGAATAATGCAGCAACAGTCGTGAGGTGCAGATATCTCTTGCATATACTGATTTTCTCTTTTTTGGATATATACCCAGTAGTGAAATTATCAGTTCGTAAAGTAGTTTTTTTGTAGTTTTCTGAGGAGCTTCCATGCTGTTCTCCATAAAGCTGTAGTAGTTTACATTCCCACCAACAGTGTGTAAGAGTTCCTTTTCCTCCAAATCCTTGCCCGCATTTATTATTTTTTGCTTCTTTTCTGATAATAGCCATTCTGACTGGGATGAGATAATATCTCATTGTGGTTTTTATTTGCATTTCCCTGAGGATTAGTGATAATGAGCATTTTTCAAATATTTGCTGCCAATTTGCATGTCTTCCACTGAAAAATGTTTATTGATTTTTAAGTAAACAGGGAGAAGAAGGACACACTGATAAAGCTCCTCTGTCTTAAGTGGACTTAGAACTGAGAAAGGTCACTCTAGAAGATGGGTTGGAAGAGAGGGCTGAGAAGCCAGTCAAATACACTATTTAGGAAACAAAGGTTTTGACACATATAGCATTACCCAAGGCCACAACTTCTTGAGTAAGAAACCCGATCAGGATTACAGACGTTTCAGAAGTTGAAGGTAGCTTTTCCAGAGCATAGCCACAACCTCTGAAGTTTCCTTTCTCGGAAACATTGGCCAGGATGGTTTATGATGCAGAATAACACCTGCTTTGCTGCAGCTGTGGGAGAGGAGGGCCCCTTTTCTCCATAGCTGGCTGAAGTTTCTGTTGCCAGAAGTTAGAAGTAGTCAAGTTCCAAGCCAAGTATTGGAGTTATAGCATGAGAGGAAATGAGACAAGGCTGAGAGGCTCCAAATATGTCATAAGGAAGTCCTTTATCTCCCTGTTCACTTGAAAATAAATCACAATATATAATTTTTTTTAAAAAGCCTATTAAGATCCTTTGGCCATTTAAAAATCACATTTATTTTGGCTATTGCATTGTTTGTGTTCCTTGTGTACTCTAGACATTAATCCTCTGTCAGATGCATAGTTTGCAAATATTTTCTTCCATTCTGTACGTTTCATGCTGTTGGTTATTTCTTCTTTGTGCCAAAACTTTTCAGTTTGATAGAGTCCCCTTTGCCTATTTTTACTTTTGTTAAGTGTGCTTTTGAGGTCTTAGTCATAAAATATTCCCAGGCTAATATCCTGAAGTGTTTTTCCTATATTTTCTTCTCATAGATTTATAGTTTTGGGTCTTACATTTAAACCTTTAATTCATTTTGAGTTGACATTAACATAGGGAGAGACATGGAGATCTAGTTTAATTCTTCTTTATGTGGATATCCAGTTTTCTTAGAACCCTTTATTGTAGAGATTAACCATTTCCCAATAAATGTTCTTGGCATCTTTGTCCAAAATCATGTGGCTGTAAATATCTGGATTTATTTCTGGGTTATCTATTCTGTACCATTGGTCTATGTGTCTGTTTTTATGCAAGTACCATGCTGTTTTGGTTACTATAGCCTTGTGTTATATTTTGAAACGTGGAAGTGTGATGCCTCAAACTTTGTTATTATTGTTCAGGATTGCTTTGGCTATTCAGGATTTTTTTGGTTCCATATAAATTTTAGGATGTTTTTCTATTTCTGTAATAAATGTCATTGACATTTTGATATCGATTTTATTAAATCTGTAGATTATTTTGGATAGTATGGCCATCTTAACAATATGAATTCTTCCAGTCCATGTAAAATTTTATCTTAATTGACAAATAATAACTCTATGTATTTACAGGATACAATGTCATGTTTTCACAAATTTTTTAAATTGTGAAATAATTTAATCAAGCTAATTGACCAATACAAATATATGATTTTTCTGTAAAACATTTAAAATCTACATTTTAAGTAATTTTGAAATATACTGTGCATTATTATTATATTCATTGTTTCATGCAATAGATCACTAAAGCTTATTCCTCCTATCTAACTGAAATTTTGTATACTTTGACCCATATCTTCTCTTTCCCCATCTTCCTCCAATAATCACTATTCTACACTCTGTCTATGAGTTAACCTTCTTTAGATTCCATATAAAAGTGATTACACATTATTTGTGTTTTGTGTTGCCTTACATTACTTAGTATAATAGCCATTTCAAGTTTATCCATATTGTCACAAATGACAGAATTTCCATCTTTGTAAAGGATGAAGAGTATTTCATTGTATACATATACCACATTTTCTTTACCTATTTATCTGACAATGAACACCTGGGTTGCTCTCATATGTTAGCTCCTATGAATAATGCTGTAATAAACAGGGAAGTGCATATATCTTTTCAGCATATTGACTTTGATTTCTTTGGATATACACCTAGAATTGGGATTCCTGGATCATATGGTCATCCTATTTTTACTTTTCTGAGGAACTTTTATATATTTCATAATAATGTCTGTATTAGTTTACATTACCACTAACAGTGCACAAGATTTCTCTTTTCTCCACACCCTTCACAACGCTTGTTATCTTCTGTCTTTTTGATAATAGCCATTCTAACAGATGTGAAGTAATATTTCTTTGGGATTTTGATTTTCTGTGTCCTAATAACCAAATACCACATGTTCTCACTTATATGTGGTAGCTAAATATTGAGATCACATAAACACAAAGAAAGGAACGATAGACAAGGTGCTTACTTGCACTTGGAGGGTGTGAGAAAGATGAGCTTAGAAAAATCTATCTATCACGTACTATGCTCATTACCTGGGTGATAAAATAATCTGTACACCAAACCCTTGTGGCATGCAATTTAACCATGTAACAAACCTGCACCTGTACCCCACTCAATCTAAAATAAAAATTGAAAATAAAATTAAGTACACATATTTCACCCAACCAAACAAAATATATTTAAAAAATGTACAACTTGATCAGTTTTTATTTATGTATACACCCTTGACATCACAGCCACAATCAAGATAGGGCTAGCATTTATATTGATAATAATTGCTTTCCTTTTATTGCAAATTCTTCCCAGATTCTAATAAAGACACAATTCTCAAAGAATGTTTTTTAATATAGTACAGAGCTGATTGCTGCTGCAGGCTCTGAAAGACAGCCAGAAAACTTAGCTCCAGCAAGCCCTGTTCAAGGAATCTGTGCTAAGGCATGCCTAACCCTGCCCCCACCTGATAATCTTTCTCTACTCAAGCTGGTAGTCAAAGACAAAGAACATAATCTATTGGGAGCTCCATAGTCTCACCCACCACCTGACCCTAGGACAAGCTTTTATCCTCCCTATACAACCTCAGCTGATGCTCTCCAGAAAGTGCCACCTCCTGGTTGGAGGCCAACGAATGCAAAGCTAGCACAATAAAGAAAATACAACCAAGGCCCCTCACAGAGTCCTACTTACTCCCCTACTACCTCCACTGGAGCAGGTGCTGATATCCATGGCTGAGGGATCTGAAGATGGGTCACATCACTGGACACTGTGCAGACACTCCTCAGTATCAGCTCAAAGCCTGGTAGCTGCATGGGGTGTCTAGATCCAGAAGAGAAATAACAATCACCACAATTCAGCTCTCAGGAAGCCACATCCCTGAGCACTCAAATCCAGGGAGAACCGTATGGGATGAAAAAATAAGAACAGCAGCCCTTAAGACTCAGATCTTCCCTCTGACAGAGTCTACTCAAATGAGAAGGAACTAGAAAAACAATTCTGGTAATATGACCAAACAAGGTTCTTTAATACCCCCAAAAGATCACAGTAGTTCACCAGCAATGGATCCAAACTAAGAAGGAACCTCTGAATTGCCAGAAAAAGAAATCAGAATGTACATTATTAAGCTACACAAGGAGGCACCAAAAAAAAAGGTGAAGTCCAGCTTAATGAAATAAAAAAAGATAGAAAATATGAAGGGAAAAATCTTCAGTGAAACAGCATAAATAAAAAAAAAAAAATCACAACTTCTGGAAATGAAAAACACACTCAGAGAAATGAAAAATACACTGGAAAGTCTCAGCAATACAATTAAACAAGCAAATGGAAGACCTTCAGAGCTCAAAGAAAAGGCTTTTGAGTTAACCCAATCCAACAAAGAAAAAGAAAAAAAGAATTTTTAAAAAATAAACACACCATTCAAGAAGTCTGGGGTTATGCTAGATGACCAAACCTAAGAATAATTGCTGTTCCTGAAGGAGAAGAGAAACCCAAAAGTTTGGAAAATATATTTAGAAGAATAATTGAGGAAAAGGTCTTTGGTCTTGCTAAAGATCTAGGCATCCAAATACAAGAAGCCCAAAGAACACCTGGGAAATTTATCACAAAAACATCATCACCTGGCCAGGTGCGGTGGCTCAAGCCTGTAATCCCAGCACTTTGGGAGGCTGAGGTGGGTGGATCACGAGGTCAGGAGTTCGAGACCATCCTGGCTATCACAGTGAAACTCCTTCTCTACTAAAAATACAAAAAATTAGCCAGGCATGGTGGTGGGCACCTATAGTCCCAGCTATTCTGGAGGCTGAGGCCGGAGAATGGCATGAACCCAGGAGTTGGAGCTTGCAGTAAGCTGAGATCGCACCACTGCACTCCAGCCTGGGCGACAGAGCAAGACTCCGTCTCAAAGAAAAAAAAAATCATCACCTAAGCACATAGTCATCATGTTATCTAAAGTCAAGATAAAGGAAAGAATCCTAAGAGCTGTGAGGCAAAAGCATCAGGTAACCTATAAAGGAAAACCTATTAGATTAACAGAAGATTTCTCAGTAGAAACCCTACAGGCTAGTAGGGATTGGGGCCCTATCTTTAGCCTCCTTAAACAAAACAATTACCAGCAAAGAATTCTGTTACCAGCTAAACTAAGCTTTATAAATGAAGGAAAGATAGTCTTTTACAGACAAATAAATGCTGAGAGAATTCCCCACTAGAAAGGCAGCACTATAAGAACTGCTCAAAGGAGCTGTAAATCTTAAATCTGTGAAATAAACCAAAAAAGAACCTCCTTAAAGTATAAATCTCTCAAGACCTATAAAACAATAACACAATTACAAAAACAAGGTATTTAGGCAACAACTTCCATAATGAATAGAATAGTACCTCATATCTCAATACTACTGTTGAAAATACATGGCCTAAATGCTCCACTTAAAAGATACGGAATGGCAAAATAGATAAGAATCCACCAACCAAGTATTTACTGTCTTCAAGAGACTCACCTAACACATAAAGACTTACATAAACTTGAGGTAAAAGGGTGGGGAAAGATATTTCATTCAAATGGACAACAAAAATGAGTAGGAGTAGCTATTTTTATATCAGACAAAACAAACTTTAAAGCAACAGCAGTTAAAAAAACAAAGATGGGCATCACATAATGATAAAAGCATTTGTCCAAAAAGAAAATATCACAGTTCTAAATATATATGCATGAAACACTGGAGCTCCCAAATTCATAAAAGAATTAATATTAGAACTAAGAAATGAGATAGATGGCAAGGCAATAATAATGAGAATATTCAACACTCCATTGACAGAACTAGACATGTCATCAAGACAGAAAGTCAACAAAGAAAGAATTGACTTAAACTATACCCTAGAATAAATGGACTTAACAGATATTGGCAAAACATTCTATGCAACAACTGCAGAATATACATTCTATTCACCAGAACACGGAATATTCTCCAAGACACCATAAGATAGGTCACAAAATAAGTCTCCATAAATTTAAGAACATGGTAATTATAGCAAGTATTCTCTCAGACCACAGTGGAATGAAACTAAAATTAACTCCAAAGGGAACATTCAAAACAATGTAAATACATGGAAATTAATTACCTTTTCCTGAATAATCATTGAGTCAACAATAAAATCATGACGGAAATTAAAAAATTATTTAAACTGAATGATAATAGCAACACAACCTATCAAAACCTGTGGGATACAGCAAAAGTGGTGCTAAGAGGAGAGTTTATAGCATTAAATGCCTACTTCAAACAGAAAGAGCACAAATAGATAACCTAAGGTCACACCTCAAGGAACTATAGAAACAAGAAGAAACCAAACCCAAATCCAGCACAAGAAAAAAAAATTACCAAGATCAGAGTAGAATTATATGAAATTGACACAGAATAAAAAACATGGAAAAGATAAAGAAAACATAAAATTGGTTACTTGAAAAGATAAAAAAAATGACAGACCATTAGTGAGATTAGTGGGAAAAAAAAGCAGGGAGAAGATCCAAATAAGCTCAATTAGAAATAAATTGAGAAGTTGGTGACCTACAGATGGGGTTTTGGTGTGGATGTCCTTTCTGTTGA
The DNA here is from genome assembly GCF_000001405.40 of Homo sapiens. Taxonomy (NCBI): domain Eukaryota; kingdom Metazoa; phylum Chordata; class Mammalia; order Primates; family Hominidae; genus Homo; species Homo sapiens. Next base: position 73,331,936 of record NC_000023.11, on the reverse strand, counting down.
TGTTGATGCTATTCCTTTCTGTTTGTTAGTTTTCCTGCTAACAGTCAGACCCCTGAGCTGCAAGCCTGTTGGAGTTTGCTGGAGATCCACTCCAGACCCCGTTTGCCTGGGTATCACCAGCAGAGGCTGCAGAACAGCAAATATTGCTGCCTGATCCTTCCTCTGGAAGCTCCATTGCAGAGGGGCACCCACCCCTCCTGTTTGAGGTCTCTGTTGGCCCCTACTGGGAGGTGTTTCCCACTCAGGCTACATGGGAGTCAGGGACCAGCTTGAGAAGACAGTCTGTCCATTCTTGCAGCTCGAACACCATGCTGACAGAAACACTGCTCTCTTCAGAGCTGTCAGACAGGCACATTTAAGGCTGCAGAAGCTGTCTGCTGCCTTTATTGGTGAGTTGACAGTAGTAGGCCTCAGAAGATCGGTAATAACAAACTTCTCTGAGCTAAAGGGGCATGTTCTAACCCATCAAAAGGAAGCTAAAAACCTTGAAAAAGGTTAGATGAATGGCTAACTAGAATAAACAGTGTAGAGAAAACCTTAAATGACCTGATGGAACTGAAAACCATGGCACAAGAACATTGTGACCCATGCACAAGCTTTAATAGACAATTCAATCAAGTGGAAGAAAAGATATCAGAGATTGAAGATCAAATTAATGAAATAAAGTGAGAAGACAAGATTAGAGAAAAAAGAATGAAAAGCAACAAACAAAGCCTCCAAGAAATACGGAACTATGTGAAGAGACCAAATATATATTTGATGGATGTACCAGAAAGTGACGGGGGGAATGGAACCAAGTTAGGAAACACTCTTCAGGATATTATGCAGAAAAACGTCCCTAACCTAGCAAGTCAGGCCAACATTCAAGTTCAGGAAATACAGAGAACACCACTAAGATACTCCTCGAGAAGAGCAGCCCCAAGACACATAATTGTCAGATTCACCAAGGTTGAAACGAAGGAAAAAATGTTAAGGGCAGCCAGAGTGAAAGGTCGCATTACCCACAAAAGGAAGCACATCAGACTAACAGCTGATCTCTCTGCAGAAACCCTACAAGCCAGAAGAGAATGGGGGCCAGTATTCAATATTCTTAACGAAAAGAATTTTCAACCCAGAATTTCATAACCAGCCAAACTGAGCTTCATAATCGAAGGAGAAATAAAATCCTTTACAGACAAACAAATGCTGAGAGACTAAGTCAACACCAGGCCTGTCTTACAAGAGCTCCAGAAGGAAGCACTAAACATGGAAAGAAACAACCAGTACCAGCCACTGCAAAAACATGTCAAATTGTAAAGACCATTGACACTACAAAGAAACTACATTGATTAACAGGCAAAATAACCAGCTTACATCATAATGACAGGATCAAATTCTAACAAAACAATATGAACCATAAATGTAAAATGAGCTAAATGCCCTATTTAAAAGACACAGACTGGCAAATTGGATAAAGAATCAAGACCCATCGGTGTGCTCTATTCAGGATATCCATCTCACGTGCAGAGACACATATAGGCTCAAAATAAAGGGATGGAGGAAGATCTACCAAGTAAATGGAAAACAAAAAAAGGCAGGGGTTGCAATCTTAGTCTCTGATAAAACAGACTTTAAACCAACAGAGATCAAAAGAGACAAAGAAAGCCACTACATAATGGTAAAGGGATCAATTCAACAACAAGAGATAACTATCCTAAATATATATGCACCCAATACAGGAGCATCCAGATTCATAAAGCAAGTCCTTAGGGACCTACAAGGAGACTTAGACTCCCAGACAATAATAATGGGAGACTTTAACACCCTACTGTCAACATTAGACAGATCAACGAGACAGAAAGTTAACAAGGATATCCAGGAATTGAACCAGCTCTGCACCAAGCGGACCTAATAGACATCTACACAACTCTCCACCCCAAATCAACAGAATATACATTCTTCTCAGCACCACATCACACTTATTCCAAAATTGACCACATAGTTGGAAGTAAAGCACTCCTCAGCAAATGTAAAAGAACAGAAATTATAACAAACTGTCTCTCAGACCACAGTGCAATCAAACTAGAACTCAGGATTAAGAACCTCACTCAAAACCACTCAACTACATGGAAACTGAACAACCTGCTCCTGAATGACTACTGGGTACCTAACGAAATGAAGGCAGAAATAAAGATGTTCTTTGAAACCAATGAGAACAAAGACATAATATACCAGAATCTCTGGTACACATTCAAAGCAGTGTTTAGAGGGAAATTTATAGCACTAAATGCCCACAAGAGAAAGCAGGAAAAATCTAAAATTGACACCTTAACATCACAATTAAAAGAACTAGAGAAACAAGCACAAACAAATTCAAAAGCTAGCAGAAGGCAAGAAATAACTAAGATCAGAGCAGAACTGAAGGAGATAGCGACACAAAAAACCCTTCAAAACATCAATGAATCCAGGAGCTGGTTTTTTGAAAAGATCAAAAAATTGATAGACCGCTAGCAAGACTAACAAAGAAGAAAAGAGAGAATAATCAAATACACATCATAAAAAATGATAAAGGGGATACCACCACCGATCCCACAGAAATACAAACTACCATCAGAGAAATGCAAATCAAACTTTGCACATGAACTAGAAAATCTAGAAGAAATAAATATATTACTGACTTAAATGTGAGACCTAACATCATAAAAACCCTAGAAGAAAACCTAGGAAATACCATTTAGGACATAGGCATTGGCAACGACTTCATGACTAAAACACCAAAATCAATGGCAACAGAAGCCAAAATTGACAAATGGGATCTAATTAAACTAAAGAGCTTCTGCACAGCAAAAGAAACTATCATCAGAGTGAACAGGCACCCTTCAAAATGGGAGAAAATCTCTGCAATCTATCCAACTGACAAAGGGCTAATAACTAAAATCTACAAAGAACTTAAACAAATTTACAAGAAAAAAACAAACAAACAACCCCATCAAAAAGTGGGCAAAGGATATGAACAGACACTTCTCAAAAGAAGACATTTATGCAGCCAACAGACATATGAAAAAATGCTCATCATCACTGGTCATCAGAGAAATGCAAATCAAAACCACAATGAGATACCATCTCACAGCAGTTAGAATGGCAATCATTAAAAAGTTAGGAAACAACAGGTGATGGAGAGGATGTGGAGAAATAGGAATGCTTTTACACTGTTGGTGGGAGTGTAAATTACTTCAACCATTGTGAAAGACAGTGTGGCAATTTCTCAAGGATCTAGAACTAGAAATACCATTTTACCCAGTGATTCCATTACTGGGTATATACCCAAAGGATTATAAATCATTCTACTGTAAAGACACACACAAGTATGCTTATTGCAGCACTATTCAAAACAGCAAATACTTGGAACCAATCCAAATGTCCATCAATGATAGAGTGGATAAGGAAAATGTGGCACATATACACCGTGGAATACTATGCAGCCATAAAAAGGATGAGTTCATGTCCTTTGCAGGGGCATGGATGAAGCTGGAAACCATCATTCTAAGCAGACTATCACAAGGACAGAAAACCAAACACCACATGTTCTCACTCATAGGTGGGAGTTAAAGAATAAGAGCACATGGACACAGGGCAGAAACACTACACACCATGGCCTGTCAGGGGGTAGGGTGCTCGGGGAGAGATAACATTAGGAGAAATACCTAATGTGAATGACTTGTTGATGGGTGCAGCAAACCAACATGGCACATGTATACCTATGTAACAAATCTGCATGTTGTACACATGTACCCTAGAACTTAAACTATAATAATAAAAAAAAGAGTTGAGAAATATTACAACCAATACCATGGAAATACAAAACATCATTAAAGACCACTATGATTACCTTCACATGCATAAACTAGAAAACATAGCTGAGATGGATAAATTCCTGAAAATATGCAACACCCCTAGATTAAACCAGAAACAAATAGCAACTCTCAACAGACAAATAACAAGCAACAGGATTAAATGGTAATTAAAATGTTACCAACAAATATAGTCCAAGATTAGATGGATTTACAGCTGAAGATTATCAGACATTCAAATAATTGCTACCAATCCTATTGACACTATTCCACAAGATAGAGAAAGAGAGAGTCCTTCCTAGATTATTCTATGAAGCCATTGTCACCCTCATACCAAAACCAGGAAAGGATATAACAATAAAAGAAAACTACAGACCTGTATATCTGAAGAACATACACGCAAAATTCTCAACAAAATACTAGCTAACTAAATCCAACAGGTACTCTATCAAGATCAAGTGGGTTTCATACCAGGGATGGAAGGATGGTTTAACATATGCAAATCAATAAATACGATGCTCCACATAAGTAGAATTAAAAAAAAGGCACATGATCATCTCATAAGATGCAGAGAAAGCATTTAACAAAATCCAGCATTCCTTTATGATTAAAACCCTCAGCAACACTGGCATAGAGGAGACATACCTTAATGTAATAAAAGCCATCTGTGACAAACCCACAACCAACATAATACTGAATGGGAAAAAGTTGAAAGAATTCCCCCTGAGAACTGAAATAAGACAAGGATGTCCAGTGTCACCACCTCTATTCAATATAATACTGGAAATCCTAGCCGTAGCAATCAGTTAAGAGAAAGAAATAAAGGGCATCCAAATTGGTAAAGAGGAAGTCAAACTATTGCTGTTCAGTGATATTATCATATACCTAAAAAAATCTAAAAGCTCATCCAAAAAGTTCCTAGAACTGATAAATGAATTCAGCAGGGTTTCAAGATAAAAAATCAAAGTACACAAATCAGTAGTACTGCTACCACCAACAATGCCCAAGCTGAGAATCAAGTCAAGAACTGAAGCCCTTTCACAATAGCTAGAAAATATACTTAACCAAGGAGGTGAAAGACCTCTGCAAGGGAAACTACAAAACTCTGCTGAAATAAATCATAGATGACACAAATAAATGAAAACACATCCCATGCTCATGGATGGGTAGAATTAATATTGTAAAAATGCCACACTGCCAAAGCAATCTACAAATTCAATGCAATTTTCATCAAAATACCACCATCTTTCTTCACATAACTAGAAAAAAATTCCTACAATTCATATAGAACCCCAAAAGAAGCCCACATAACCAAAGCAATACTAAGCAAAAAGAACATATCTGGAAGCATCACATTACTCGACTTCAAACTATTCTATAAAGGCCTACTTACAAAGACAGCATGGTACTGATATAAAAATAGGCACATAGACCAATGGAAGAGAATAGAGAACCCAGAAATAAATCCGAATACTTTTAGCCAATTGATCTTCAACAAAGCAAACAAAAACAAAGTAGGGAAAGGACACTCTATTGAAGAAATGGCTGGGATAATTGGCAAGCAACAGGCACAAGAAGTAAATTCGATACTTATCTCTCACCTTATACTAAAATCAACTCAAAATGGATCAAGGCCTTAAATTTAAGTCCTGACACCATAATAGCTCTATAAGACAACATTGGAAAAACCCTTCTAGACATTGGCTTAGGCAAAGACTTTATGAGCAAGAACCCAAAAGCAAACTCAACAAAAACAAAGATAAATAGATGAGACTTAAACTAAAAATCTTCTGCACAGCAAAAGAAACTATCAGGAGAGTAAACAGACAACTTACACAATGAGATAAAATCTTCATAATCTATACACCTGACAAAGGTCTAATATCCAGAGTCTACAAAGAACTCAAACATATCAGCAAGAAAAAACAATCCCATCAAAAATGGGCTAAGACCATGGAATAGGCAATTCTCAAAAGTAGACATACAAATGGCCAACAAACATATTAAAAATGATTAACATCACTAATTATCGGGGAAATGCAAATCAAAATCACAACACCACCTTACTCCTGCAAGAAAGGCCGTAATCAAAAAATTTTTAAAAAAAGATGTTGGCATGTTTGTAGTTAAAAGGGAACACTTTTACACTGCTTGTGGGAATTTAAACTAGTACAACCACTATGGAAAACAGTGTGGAGATTTCTTAAAGAACTAAAAGTAGATCTACCATTTGATCCAGCAATCCCACTACTGTGTATTTACCCAGAGCAAAAGAAGTCATTATACAAAAAAGATACTTGCACATGCATGTATAGTGGCACAATTTGAAATTGTGAAAATATGGAACCAGCCCAAATGCCCATCAATCAATAAGTGGCTAAAGAAATTGTGGTAATTATGGAAAGACATACTATAGAATACTACTCAGCCATAAAAAGGATTAAAATAATGATATTCACAGCAACCTGGATGGAATTGGGAACCACTATTTTAAGTCAAGTAACTCAGGAATGGAAAACCAAACATGGTTTGTTTACATTTATAAGTGGGAGCTTAAGCTATGAGAATGCAAAGGCATAAGAATAACACAATGGATTTTGGGGACTCAGGGAAAAGAGTGGTGGGCTCTAAGGGATGAAAGACTGGGTAAAATCGGGTGTAAGGGATAAAAGATTGGGTACAGTGTACACTGCTCAGTTAATGAGTGCACCAAAATCTCAAGAACTACCACTAAAGAACTTACTCATGTAACCAAACACCACCTGTTCCCCAAAATCCTATTGAAATAAAAAATAAAAATTACATGAATTAAAAAATAAAAGTAAAAAAAAGTAGTACATATGCACCATGGAATACTACAAAGCCATAAAAAATAATAAAATCTTGTGCTTTGCAGCAACATGGACCCAGCTGGAGGCTGTTATCCTAAGCATACTAACACTGAAACAGAAAACCAAATATTACATGTTGTTGAGAGCAGGCCCCCCAAAATCTGGCCATAAACTGGCCCCCAAACTGGCCATAAACAAAATCTCTGCAGCACTGTAACATGTTCATAATGGCCCTAATGCCCAAGCTGGAAGGTTATGGGTTTACAGGAATGAGGGCAAGGAACACCTGGCCCGCCCAGGGTGGAAAACCACTTAAAGGCATTCTTAAGCCACAAACATAACATGAGTGATCTGTGCCTTAACTGCAGCATGCTCCTGCTGCAGTTAACTAGCCCAATCTATTCTTTTAATTCGGCCCATCCTTTGTTTCCCGTAAGGGATACTTTTAATTAATCGAATATCTATAGAAACAATGCTAATGACTGGCTTACTGTTAATAAATATGTGGGTAAATCTCTGTTCGGGGCTCTCAGCTCTGAAGGGTGTGAGACCCCTGATTTCCCACTTCACACCTCTATATTTCTGTGTGTGTGTCTTTAATTCCTCTAGCACCAATGGGTTAGGATCTCCCTGACCGAGCTGGTCTAGGCAAGTGGCGTCCATTGTGGGGGCTCAAATCCAGGTTGAAGGGTTGCCAGAGCAACGGTTGGAATGGAAAACTAGCTGGAGGACACCCGAGTACTCTTAAAGTAATCCCTGTGGTGAGTCAGAAGGGGAGCTCGGAAGCATCAGGGTGACAATGGGACAGGTGTGGGGTCTGGTTCGTTTCACCTTGGAATTTTTTCACACTGATGGTGAGGAGGAATGAGAGTATAACAAAGTAACAGAAGAGGTTACAGACCAGGTTTATTTGCCAGCTAAAGCTAAAGCGGCAAAGGAAGGAGAGGTTCATCCCTACCCTTCTGCACCCCCTCCTTATTATTTTGAAGAAAAAGACCCTCCAGATCTTTCTTTTCTGGAGGACACTGGGTGAAAAGTAGTTGCCCCAGTGACTGTTTGAGCAGTGCCTCGAGTGACCGCTCTTAGTTCTAGCTCAGGCAGGAATTCAGCAAGCTAGACGAGAGGGTGATTTAGAAGCTTGGCAGTTCCCTGTTAGAATACACCCCCCAGATCAACAAGGAAATATTATAGCTACATTTGAGCCTTTTCTTTTTAAATTACTCAAATAATTTAAACAAGCTATAAATCAGTATGGACCAGGTTCTCCTTTTGTAATGGAACTGTAAAAGTATGTTACTGTTTCCAGACAGATGATTCCTACTGACTGGGATGCTCTTACTCGAGCTTGTCTAACTCCTGCTCAGTTCTTAGAATTTAAAACTTGGTGGGCAGATGAAGCTTCCATTCAGGCTGCTCACAATGCCCAGGCCTAACCTCAAATTAATATAACTGCAGACCAACTTTTGGGGGTTGGCGGCTGGGCTGGTTTAGATGCACAACTGGTCATGCAGGATGATGCCATAGAACAGCTTAGAGGAGTGTGCATTAGAGCTTGGGGAAAAATCACTTCAGGTGGAGAACAATACCCTTCCTTTAGTGCTATAAAACAGGGACCAAGAGAACCATACATTGATTTTATAGCTTGGTTACAGGAGTCTCTTAAAAAGATGATTGCAGATTTGGCTGCTCAGGATATAGTAGTGTTGCAGTTATTAGCTTTTGACAATGCTAATCCCAATTGCCAGGCTGCTCTGTGACCTATCAGAAGGAAAGCACATTTAGTTGATTATATCAAGGCCTGTGGTATTCGAGGTAATCTGCATAAAGCTACTCTGCTAGCACAAGCAATGGCAGGACTGAGAGTGGATGGAGGAAATACTCCATTTCCTGGAGCTTGTTTTAACTGTGGGAAGCATGGTCATACTAAAAAAGAATGTAGAAAAAATCGGTGAGTCAGGCCGCCAGATAAGGGAAAAAAGAAAACTGTTGAGCCTGAAATATGTCCAAAATGTAAAAAAGGAAAACATTGGGCTACTCAGTGTCACTCTAAGTTTGATAAAGAAGGGAACCAGATTTTGGGAAATGCCATGAGGGGTCTGTCCCGGGCCCCATTCTAAACTGGGGCATTTCCAGCTCAGGCCATTCCCTCACCCCTGTACAATGTCTCTCCCCCACCACAGCTGGTAGTGCTGCAGTAGATTTATGCTGCACAAAAGCTGTGAGCCTTCTGCCTGGGGAACACCCATAAAAGGTCCCAACAGGAGTCTGTGGACCCTTGCCAGCGGGGACAATAGGATTACTTTCAGGAAGGTCTAGTTTAAGTTTAAAAGGTGTATAAATACATACAGGAGTCATTGCTTCAGATTATAATGGGTAAATTCAAATTGTTATATCTACTTCCATTCCCTGGAAAGCAAAGCCAGGAGAGGGCATAGCACAGCTCCCGATTGTGCCATATGTGGGAATGGGAAAAAGTGAAATTAAATGAACAGGAGGATTTGGAAGCACAAATAAACAAGGCAAAGCCGCTTATTGGGTAAATCAAATTGCTGATAAACACCCTACTTGTGAAATAACTATTCAGGGAAAGAAATTTAAAGGTTTGGTAGATACAGGAGTGGACATTTTAATCATTTCTCTACAGCACTGGCCATCCACATGGCCAATTCAACCCACTCAATTTAACATAGTTGGAGTTGGTAAAGCCCCTGAAGCATATCAAAGTAATTATATTTTGCATTGTGAAGGCCTGACAGACAACCTGGGACTATTCAACCAATTATAACTTCTGTACCTATAAATTTATGGGGAAGAGATTTATTACAACAAAGGGGAGCACAAGTCCTAATTCCAGAACAATTATATAACCCTCAAAGTCAACATACAATGCATGAAATGGGGTATGTCCTTGGTATGGGACTAGAAAAAAATTTGCAAGGTTTGAAAGAACCGCTTCAAGCAGAAAGACAAAATTCCCACCAAAGATTAGGATATCATTTTTGATGGCAGCAATTGTTAAGCCTCCAGAACCTATACCTTTAAAATGGTTAGCAGATAAGCCAATTTGGATAGAACAATGGCCACTAAGTAAAGAGAAACTGGAATTCTCGTTTTCGTAATTAAAAAAAAGTCAGGTAAATGGAGAATGTTAACTGACTTAAGAGCTATCAATTCAGTTGTACAACCTATGGGAGCATTACAGCCAGGATTGCCTTCTCCTGCTATAATTCCAAAAAAAATGGCCTTTAATAGTCATAGATTTAAAAGACTGTTTCTTTACTATCCCCTTAGCTGAGCAAGACTGTAAACGGTTTGCATTTACAATTCCTGCAGTAAACAGCCTGCAGCCTGCTAAGCATTATCATTGGAAAGTGTTGCCACAGAGCATGTTAAACAGTCCCACAATTTGCCAGACGTATGTGGGGCAAGCAATTGAACCTACTCATAAAAAATGTTCACAGTGTTACATTATTCACTATGTGGATGATATACTTTGTGCTGCCCCCACTCAAGAAATATTACTCCAATGTTATGATCACTTGCAAAATTTGATTTATCATGCTGGTTTAATTATAGCTCCTGACAAAATTCAGACTACTACTCCTTACTCCTACTTGGGGGCCTTAGTAAATGACACTACCATTGTGCCACAGAAAGTAACCATATGTAGGGATCAACTAAAAACATTAAATGACTTTCAAAAATTACTAGGGGACATTAATTGGATATGACCTCCTCTAGGCATTCCTACCTATGCCAAGAGTCATCTGTTTTCTATCCTTAGAGGAAATCCTAGTCTCACTAGCCCTTGGCAGAGTTACAACTAATTGAGAAGCAAGTCCATAAAGCTCAAATAAATAGAACAGACCCAGAGAAGACTCTAGATGTGCGAATTTTTTCAACTCAGCATTCACCTACTGGTGTTATTGTCCAAGAACAGGACTTAGTAGAGTGGTTTTTTCTTCCACATACTGATTCATGGACTCTAACTCCTTATTTAGATCAAATCACTACTATGATAGGAATTGGGAGAACTCGGATTGTTAAATTACATGGATATGATCCTGGAAAAATTATTGTCCCTCTCATGAAGGCACAAATACAGCAAGCTTTTATAAATAGTCTTACTTGGCAAACCCATTTAGCTGACTTTGTGGGTATTCTCGATAATCATTTTCCTAAAATGAAGCTGTTTCAGTTTCTGAAATTAACTAATTGCATTCTCCCCAAAATAACTAAATTTAAACCAATTGAAGGTGCTGAGAATGTTTTTACAGATGGGTCTAGTAATGGTAAAGCATCTTATTTTGGATCAAAACGTAAAGTTTTCCAGACACCCTATACTTCTGCTCAAAAAGTGGAGCTTGTAGCTGTAATTGAATTATTGACTGCTTTTGATATGCCTATTAATGTGATTTCTGATTCTTCACAGTGGTTCATTCCACACAGTTAATTGAAAATGCTCAGTTATGATTTCATACAGATGAACAACTGATGACTTTATTTACCAAATTGCAAACAGCAGTTAGAAGTAGAATGCACCCTTTTTACATCACTCACATTAGGGCTCATACACCTCTTCGAGGACCTTTGGCTGAAGGGAATCAAATCGCTGATTGCCTAGTTGCTAATGCAATATCTAATGCTAGAAACTTTCACAATTTAACCCATGTTAATGCCTCTGGTCTCAAATGCAGATACAGCACTACCTGGAAAGAAGCTAAAACTATTATCCAGTGATGCCCAACTTGCCAAATGGTACATTCCTCATCTTTTACAGGAGGAGTTATTCCTCGAGGACTGGAACCTAACTCTCTTTGGCAAATGGATGTCACACATGTTCCCTCGTTTGGGAGACTAGCTTATGTACATGTATGTGTGGACACCTTTTCTCACTTTGTCTGGGCTACATGCCAATCAGGAGAGTCTTCTGCCTGTGTTAAATGTCATCTTTGCAGTGTTTTGTGGTGATGAGCATTCCAGCTTCTATTAAAACAGATAATGCCCCAGGCTATACTAGCCAAGCTCTAGCCACATTTTTCTCCGTGTGGAGTATTAAACACATTACTGGTATCCCATAAAATTCTCAAGGACAAGCCATAGTGGAAAGAATGAATCTCTCCCTAAAACAGCAGTTGCAAAAGCAGAAAGGGGGAGACAGAGTATATGGAACCCCACAGATGCAACTGAACCTAGTATTATTAACTTTAAATTTTTTGAGCCTGCCCAAAGGACAAATGTTATCAGGAGCTGAACAGCATCTACAGAAACCAGCAGCAAAAATAGAAGCAGAACAACTGATTTGGTGGAGAGATCCAATAACAAAAAGTTGGGAAATGAGGAAAATAATAACTTGGGGTAGAAGTTATGCTTGTGTTTCTCCAGGCCAAAATCAACAGCCAATTTGGATACCATCAAGACACCTAAAACCTTATCATGAGCCAGATGCCAAGGAAGAGATTCCAGGAGGATCCCGAGGATCCCTGGGTTGCAGCCATGTCAAGACTGACACTGAGGAGGACCCCAACTGTCATGAGCTACACCTGTCAAACACAGTCACCCACCTGGGGACAGATCAAGAAGCTGTCACAGATGGTGGAAGAAAACATGAGGAAAGAAGGACAACAAGTCACAATGAATAATTTAATGGTACCTATGATAGCGGTTATCACCACTGCTGTGACTATTCCTTCAATAAGGGCTGACACAGAGAACAATTATACTTATTGGGGATATTTATCAATCTTGGCTGGCAATAATGCCTGGATGCAATCACTCTGTGACACAGTTAACACATGTTTTCTGATCTCAGTATTTACCATAATAAATCTGCTCTTATAATTGAGGCATACTACTCTCAAAAACCTATTTGTAAACAGGATTGGACCCAGTTAGAAAAAATAAACGTACTTGTTTAGGAAGATTGCATTGCAGAACAGGCAGAGGTGCTGCACAACGATTCCTATGGACTCATTATTAATTGGTCCCCTAAGGGGATGTTTAGCTTGAATTGCACCTCTCAGTCTGTGTGCCATGGCCACACTATGTTCAGATGATCTGAACAAAATGGTCAGATGGTAGAAATGATAAGAAGTATGGCAAAAGTTCCTATTATCTGGAACCATGGCAGTATAGTGGCTCCTCAACCTCAAATGATATGGCCCACTCTAGGAGCTTAACATAAGGATTTAAAACAAAAAGAACAAATATTTAAAGCATCCCAGGCACAACTGACCTTAATGCCAGGAACTGGAGTGCTTAAAGGAGCTGAAAATGGATAAAAACACTTGGAAGCTCTGTGATTTCAATGACGATTGTGCTTTTAATCTATGTTGTTTGTCTTTGTATAGTCTGCAGATGTGGATCCTGACTCCTGTGAGAAGTAGGTCACCATGACAAACCTGTCTTTGTTTTGTTGATTTGCAAAACAGAAAAGGGGGACATGTTGGGAGCAGGGCACCCACAATCTGGCCATAAACTGGCCCCCAAACTGGCCATAAGCAAAATCTCTGCAGCACTGTAACATGTTCATAATGGCCCTAACGCCCAAGCTGGAAGTTTGTGGGTTTATGGGAATGAGGGCAAGGAACACCTGGCCCGCCCAACGTGGAAAACCACTTAAAGGCATTCTTAAGCCACAAACAATAGCATGAGTGATCTGTGTCTTAAGGACATGCTCCTGCTGCAGTTAACTAGCCCAACCTATTCCTTTAATTCAGCCCATCCCTTTGTTTCCCATAAGGGATACTTTTAGTTAATCGAATATCTATAGAAACAATGCTAATGACTGGCTTGCTGTTAATAAATATGTGGGTAAATCTCTGTTCAGCTCTCTCAGCTCTGAAGGCTATGAGACCCCTGATTTCCCACTTCACACCTCCATATTTCATGTGTGTGTCTTTAATTCCTCTAGCGCCACTTGGTTAGGGTCTTCCCAACTGAGCTGGTCTTGGCAACATGTTCTCTTTTACAAGTGGGAGCTAAATTGTGGGTTCACACAGATTTAAAGTTGGGAACAATGAACACTGGGGACTCCAAAAAAAGGGAGGGGCTTTCCTGGCTAACACGGTGAAACCTCATCTCTACTAAAAATACAAAAAATTAGCTGGGTGCAGTGGTGCATACCTGTAATCCCAGCCACTCAGGAGGCTGAGGCAGGAGAATCACTTGAACCCAGGAGGCAGAGGTTGCAGTGAGCTGAGATTGCACCACTGCACTCCAGCCTGAGGAGCAGAACAAGACTCAAAAAAAAAAGGTGGAGATGAGGGGATGGAGAACCAAATACCACATGTTCTCACTTATAAGTTGGAACTCAATGATGAGAACACATGGGCATATAGAGGAGAACAGCAAACACTGGGACCTACTGGAGAGTGGAGGGTTGGAGGAGGGAGAGAATCAGGTAAATTAACTAAAGAGTACTTGGTTTTATACCTGGGTGATGAAGTAATCTGTACAATAAAACCTCTGTGACAGAAGTTTACCTACATAAGAAATCTGTACATGTACCTTTGAACTAAGTTAGCAAAAACAGAACTACCATTTGACCCAAAAATCCCACTAACGAGTATAGACCCAAAGAAATATAAATTATTCTATCATAAAGACACATGCACACATAAGTTTTCTGCATCAATATTCACAATAACAAAGACATGGGATCCACCTAAATGCCCTTCAATGGTAGTCTGGATAAAGAAAATGTGGTATATATTCCCCATGAAATACTATGCAGCCATGAAAAGGGAGATGATGCCCTCTGCAAGAACATGGATGGAGCTGGAGATCATTATCCTTAGTAAACTAATGTAGGAACTGAAAACCAAATACCACATGTTCTTACCTACAAGTGGGAGCTAAATGATGAGAGCACACAGACACATAGAGGGGAACAACACACGTTGGGGTCTACCAAAGAGTGAAGGGTGGGAGGAGGGAGAAAGTCAGAAAAAATAACTAACTGGTACTAGGATTAACAGGCTTAATCCTTAGGTGACAAAATAATCTTTACAACAAACCCCTGTGACACAAGTTCTGTTTTGAAGTATCATCAAACTGCTTTCCACAATGGTTGAACAAATTTATACTTCCACCAGCAGTGTATAGGCTTCCTTTTTTCTCCTCAATCTCGCCTACTTCTGTTATTTTTTGACTTTTTAATAAAAGCCATTCTCAGTGGTATGAGATGGTATCTCATTGCGGTTTTGATTTGCATTTATCTGGTGACCAGTAATGATGAGCATTTTTTCATGTGTCTGTTGGCTGCATAAATGTCTTCTTTTGAGAAGTATCTGTTCATACCCTTTGCCCACTTTTTGATGGGGTTGTTTGATTTTTTCTTGTAAATTTGTTTAAGTTCTTTGTAGATTGTGGATATTAACCCTTTGTCACGTGACTAGATTGTAAAAACTTTCTCCCATTCTGTAGGTTGCCTGTTCACTCTGATGGTAGTTTCTTTTGCTGTGCAGAAGCTCTTTAGTTTAATTAGATCCCATTTGTCAATTTTGGCTTTTGTTGCCTTTGCTTTTGGTGTTTTATTCATGAAGTCCTCGCCCATGCCTATGTCCTGAATGGTATTGCCTAGGTTATCTTCTAGGGTTTTTATGGTTTTAAGTCTAACATTTAAGTCTTTAATCCATCTTGAATTAATTTTTGTATAAGGTGTAAGGAAGGGATTCAGTTTCAGCTTTCTACATATGGCTAGCCAGTTTTCCCAGCACCATTTATTACATAGGGAATCCTTTCCCTATTTCTTGTTTTTCTCAGGTTTGTCAAAGATCAGATGGTTGCAGATGTGTGGTATTATTTTTGAGGTCTCTGTTCTGTTCCATTGGTCTATATATCTGTTTTGGTACCGGTGCCATGCTGTTTTGGTTACTGTAGCCTTGTAGTATAGTTTGAAGTCAGGTAGCATGATGCCTCCAGCTTTGCTCTTTTTACTTAGGATTGTCTTGGCAATTCAGGCTCTTTTTTGCTTCCATAAGAACTTTAAAGTAGTTTTTTCCAATTCTGTGTAGAAAGTCATTGGTAGCTTGATGGGGATGGCATTGAATCCATAAATTACCTCAGGAAGTATGGCCATTTTCATGATATTGATTCTTCCTATCTATGAACATGGAATATTCTTCCATTTGTTTGTGTCCTCTTTTATTTCGTTGAGCAGTGGTTTGTAGTTCTCCTTGAAGAGGTCCTTCACATCCCTTGTAAGTTGGATTCCCAGGTATTTTATTCTCTTTGAAGCAATTGTGAATAGGAGTTCACTCATGATTTGGCTCTCTGTTTGTCTATTATTGGTGTATAGGAATGCTTGTGATTTTTGCACATTAATTTTTTATCCTGAGACTTTGCTGAAGTTGCTTATCAGCTGAAGGAGATTTTGGGTTGAGAACGATGGGGTTTTCTAAATACACAATCATGTCATCTGCAAACAAGGACAATTTGACTTCCTCTTCTCCTAATTGAATACCCTTTATTTCCTTCTCCTGCCTGATTGCCCTGGCCAGAACTTCCAACACTATGTTGAATAGGAGTGCTGAGAGAGGGCATCCCTGTCTTGTGCCAGTTATCAAAGGGAATGCTTCCAGTTTTTGCCCATTCAGTATGATATTGGCTGTGGGTTTGTCATAGATAGCTCTTATTATTTTGAGATACATCCCATCAATATCTAGTTTACTGAGAGTTTTTAGCATGAAGGGCTGTTAAATTTTGTCAAAGGTATTTTCTTCACCTATTGAGATAATAATGTGGTTTTTGTCTTTGGTTCTGTTTATATGATGGATTATGTTTATTGATTTTCATATGTTGAACCAGCCTTGCATCCCAGGGATGAAGCCCACTTGATCATGGTGGATAAGCTTTTTGATGTGCCGCTGGATTTGGTTTGCTAGTATTTTATTGAGGATTTTTGCATTGATCTAAAAATTCAACACAACTTCCATCAAAACACCACCATCATTCTTCACAGAACTAGAAAAAGCAATCCTAAAATTCACATGGAACCAAAATCAAGCCCGTATAGCCAATGTAAAACTAAGCAAAAAGAATACATCTGGAGGCATCACATTCCCTGATTATAAACTATACTCTAAGGTCATAGTCATTAAAACAGCATGGTACTGGTATGAAAATAAGCAAATAGACCAATGGAACAGAATAGAAAACCCAGAAATAAACCCAAATACTTGCAGCCAACTGGTCTTTGACAAAGCAAACAAAAACATAAAGTGGAGAATAGATACCCCATTCAACCAATGGTGCTGAGTTAATCGGCAAGCCACATGTAGGAGAATGAAACTGGATCCTCATCTCTCTCCTTATACAAAAATCAAATCAAGATGGATTAAGGACCTAAATGTAGGAACTGAAACTATAAAAATTCTGGAAGATAACGTTGGAAAAACCCTTCTAGACATTGGCTTAGGCAAGGATTTCATGACCAAGAACCCAAAAGCAAATGCAGTAAAAACAAAGATAAATAGCTTGGACTTAATTAAACTAAAGCGCTTTTGCACATCAAAAGAAATGGTAAGCAGAGTAAACAGAAAACCAACAGAGTGGGAGAAAATCTTCACAAATTGTACATCTGACAAAGGACTAATATCCAGAATCTACAACAAACTCAAACAAATTAGCAGGTAAAAGAAAAAGAATCACATAAAAAGTGGGCTAAGACCTGAGATCAGGAGTTCAAGACCTGCCTGACCAACATAGAAAAACCCCATCTCTGCTAAAATTGCAAAATTTGTTGGGCATGGTAGCACATGCCTGTAATCCCAGCTACTCAGGAGGCTGAGGCCAGAGAATTGCTTGAACCTGGGAGGCAGAAGTTGCAGTGAGCCAAGATCACACCATTGCACTCCAGCCTGGGCAACAAGAGTGAAACACTGTTTCGAAAAAAAAAAAGTGGGCTAAGAACATGAATAGATAAATCTCAAAAGAAGATATACAAATGGCCAACAAGCATATGAAAAAATGCTCAGCATCACTAATAATCAGGGAAATTAAAATTAAAATCACAATGTGATACCACCTTACTCCTGCAAGAATGGCTATAATAAAAAAAATAGATGTTGGCATGGATGTGGTGAAAAGGGAACACATTTACAGTGCTGGTGGGAATGTAAACTAGTACAACCACTATGGAAAACTGTGTGGAGATTCCTTAAATAACTAAAAGTAGAACTACCATTTGATACAGCATTCCCACTACTGGATATCTACCCAGAGGAAAAGAAGTCATCATACAAAAAATGATACTTCTACATGCATGTTTATAGCAGCACAATTCATAATTGCAAAAACGTGAAACCAACCCAAACGTCCATCAATCAATGAGTGGATAAAGAAACCGTGGTGTATATGTATGAAGAAATATTACTCAGCCTCCAAAAGGAATAAAATAATGGCATTTGCAGTGATCTGGATGAGACTGGAGACTATTAGTGAAAGTGAAGTAACTCAGGAATGAAACACTGAACATCATACGTTGTCACTCATAAGTGAGAGCTAAGCTATGAGGATGCAAAGGCATAAGAATTACGTAATGGACTTTGGGGACTCAGGGCAAAAGGGTGGGAAAGGGGTGAGGGATAAAAGACCACAAATTGTGGCCAGGCACGGTGGCTCACACCTGTAATCCCAGCACTTCAGGAGGCCGAGGCTGGTGGATCACCTGAGGTCAGGATTTTGAGACCAGCCTGGCCAACGTGGTGAAACCCCGTCTCTACTAAAAATACAAAAAATTAGCCGGGCATGGTGGCGGGCGCCTGTAATCCCAGCTACTCCGGAGGCTGAGACAGGAGAATCGCTTGAGCCCAGGAGGCAGAGGTTGCAGTGAGCCAAAATCATGCCATTGCACTCCAGCCTGGGCAGCAAGAGCAAAATTCTGTCTCAAAAACTAAAACAAAAACAAAGCAGACAAACAAAAGACCGCAAATTGGGTGCAGTGTATACTGCTTGGGTGATTGGTGCACCAAAATCTCACGAGTCACCACTAAAGAACTTACTCATGTAAGCAAACATCACCTGTTCCCCAATAATCTATGGAAATTAAAAATAAAAAATAATAATAATAAGTGAAATGAAATAAAATAAATTGTATAATCCCCTAAAAAAAGTTTTTTGCTCTTCTAGGAATTTCTTATACTTTTTATGTATTAACCCTTTATTAGAAAATAGTTCTAAAGTATTTTCTCCACTCCAAAGTTTGCTTTATTTATTTTGTTGATTATTTCTTTTGCTGTACAGAAGCTTTTTACTTTGATGTAATTCCATTTGTTTACTTTTATTCTTGTTTCCTGTGCTTTTGAGTGTCATATCTAAATCATTGCAAGGGTCAATGTCAAGAAGTTTTTCTTCATGTTTTCTTCTAGAGTTTTACAGTTTCTTGTCTTACATCTATGCCTTTAACCTATTTTAAGTTGATGCTTATATATAAAATAAAATATTGTTTAATTTATTCTTGTGTATGTGGACATGCAATATTTATAACACAATTTATTGATGAGACTATTCTTTTCCATTGTATATTCTTGGCACATTTGTTGAAGATCTGATTACCGTACATGTATGGGTTTATTTCTGGCCTCTGTATTCTGTTTCATTGATCTATATATCTGTTTTTATACCAGTATCATACTGTTTTTATTTCCATGGAAGGCAATATATTTGAAAGCCTCCAACTTGTTCTTGCTGAAAATTGCTGTGGTTACATGGGGTCTTTTGGTTTCCATATAAATTTTGGAATTCTTTATTCTATTTCTGTACAAATACCATTGGAATTTTGATGGAAATAGAATCTGTATATCAGTTTGAGTAGTGTAGACATTGTAACAATATTAATTATTCAAATCTATGAACAAGAGATATATTCTCAATTATTTGTGTCTATTTTACTTTTTTTTAGTGTTTTATAGCATTCAGTGAACAAGTGTTTACCTTCTTGAATAAATCTATTCCTATTAAATAATTATTTTGATGCTACTGTAAATGAAACTTTTCTAAATTTTCTTCTTGTATAGTTTGTTGTTAGTGTACAGAAGCACATATTTTTGTTTGTTGATTTTGTATCCTGCAACTTTACTAAATTTGTTTGTTGGGTGTTAAGTTTTTGTTTATTAATTCTAACAGTTTTTGATAAAGTTTCTAAGTTTTTCTAAATATAAGATCATTTCCTTTGCAAATAGTGATAATTTTACTTTTTTTCTTTTTAATTTGGATAACTTTTATTTATTTTTCTTGGCTAATTTCTCTGACTAGATTTCTTTTACTATGTATTCAACATTTTATCATTAAACTATTTATTCAAGAAGTAGTGAGAGTGGGCCTCCTTGCCTCATACCAAATCTTAAAAGAATAGGTATTTTTGTTAATTGATTATGATGTTAGCTGTGGGCTTTACATATATGATCTTTATTGCATTGAAGTAAGTTCCTTCTATACTGAATTTGTTGAGAGGTTTTGTCACAAAAGGGGGTGGAATTTTGTCAAATTTTTTTTTGCATCTATTGAGATGTGATTTTTAAATCCTTCATTTTGCTAATGTGGTATAACTCTTTTATTGATCTGTGTACATTGAACCATCCTTGCATCTCAGGAATACATTCCCTTTGTTTATGGTGTATGATTGATTATTTTTATAAACTGTTGAATTATGTTTGCTAATATTTTGTTAAAATTTTTTTCCATTCATATTTATTTCCAAAACTATTTACCTGTGGTTTTATTTTCTAGGGTGTCATGGTCTGGCTTCAGAATCAGGTCTTTCTGATGCTGTGAAATGAGTTTGGAAGTGTTTCCACTTTTATTTTTTGTAAGAGATTAAGATGTATTGGTATTGATTCTTCTTTAAATGTTTGGTAGAATTCACTTTTAGGGCCATCTGGTCCTGAGCTTTTTGTTGTTGTTGTTGTTGTTGTTGAGAGTTTTTTTATTACTAATGTAATCTCATTTCTTTTTCTTCTGTTTAGGCTTTTCTTTTTATTCAGTCGTGGTAGGTTGTATGTTTCTAGAAATTTATCCATTTCTTGTAGGTTGTCCAATATGTTTGCATATAGTTGTTCATAATATTTCCTTCTGATCATTTTTATTTCTGTGGCATCAACTGTAATGTTTCTTTTTCCATTTCCAATTGATTTATTTGATTCTTTCATCTTTTTGGCTAAGGATTTAGTAATATCTTTTCAAAAAGCAATTCTTCATTTTGTTGCTTTGCTTTTGTTTTTTTGTTCTCTATATCACTTGTTTCTGCTCTAATTGTTTTTATTATTTTACTTAAAGTTCTGAGATACATGTGCAGAACGTACAGGTCTGTTTCATAGGTATACATGTGCCATGGTGGTTTGCTGCACCTATCAACCCATCATCTAGGCTTTAAGTCCCACATGCATTAGGTATTTGTCCTAATGCTCTCTCTCCCCTTGACCCCTACCTCCTATCAGACCCCAGTGTGTGAAGTTCTCCCCAGCTGTGTCCTTCAGTTGTCATTTTTCAACTCCCACATATGAGTGAGAACACGCAGTGTTCAGTTTTCTGTTCCTGTGTTATTTCGCTGAGAATGATGGCTTCCAGCTTCATCCATGTCCCTGCAAAGGACACAAACTCATCCTTTTTTATGCCTGCATAGTATTCCATGGTATATATGTGCCACATTTTCTTTATCCAGTCTATCAGTGATAGGCATTTGGGTTGATTCTAAGTCTTTGCTATTGTGAAGAGTGCAGCAATAAACATAAATATGCATGTGTCTTTAGGGTAGAATGATTTATAGTCCTTTAGGTATATACCCAGTAATGGGATTGCTGGTTCAAATAGTATTTCTGGTTCCAGATCCTTGAGGAATCACCACACTGTATCCACAATGGTCGTACTAATTTACACTCACACCAACAGTGTAAAAATGTACCTATTTCTCCACATCCTCACCAATATTTTTTTCCTGACTTTTTAATGATCACCATTCTGACTGGCATGAGATGTTATCTCATTGTGGGTTTGATTTGCACTTCTCTAATGACCGTGATGATGGCTTTTTTTTCATATGTTAGTTGGCTGCATAAATGTCTTCTTTTTTTTATTATACTTTAAGTTCTAGGGTACATGTGCACAATGTGCAGGTTTGTTACATATGTATACTGTTGATATCCTTTGCCCTCTTTTTCATGGGGTTGTTTGTTTTTTTTTCTTGTAAATTTGTTTAAGATCCTTGTAGATTCTGTATATTAGAACTTTGTCAGATGGGTAGATTGCAAAAATTTTCTCCCATTCTGTAGGTTGCCTGTTCACTCTGATGATAGTTTCTTTTGCTGTGCAGAAGCCCTTTAGTTTAATTTGATCCCATTTGTCAATTTTGGCTTTTGTTGCAGTTGCTTTTGGTGTTTTAGTCATGAAGTCTTTGCTCATGCCTATGTCCCGAATGGTGTTGCCTAGGTTTTCTTCTAGGGTTTTTACGGTTTTAGGTTTTACATTTAATTCTTTAATCCATCTTGAGTTAATATTTGTATAAAGTGTAAGGAAAGGGGCCAGTTTCTGTTTTTTACATATGGCTAGCCAGTTTTCCCAGCACTACTTATTAAATAGGAAATTTTTCCCCATTGCTTCCTTTTCTCAAATTTGTCAAAGATCTGATGGTTGCAGACATGTGGTGTTATTTCTGAGGTCTCTGTTCTGTTCCATTGGACTATATCTCTGTTTTGTTACCAGTACCTTGCTGTCTTGGTTACCATAGCATTGTAGTATAGTTTGAAGTCCAGTATTTTATTGAGGATTTTCACATTGATGTTCATCAGGGATATTCGCCTGAATTTTTTTTTTTCATTTTGTCTCTGTCAGGTTTTAGTATCAGAATGATGCTGGACCCATAAAATGAGTTAGGGAGGAGTCCATCTTTTTCTACTGTTTGGAATAATTTCAGAAGAAATAGTACCAACTCCTCTTTGTACCTCTGGTAGAATTTGGCTGTGAATCCATCTGGACTTGGGCTTTTTTTGGTTGGTAGGCTATTAATTACTGCCTCAATTTCAGAGCTTGTTATTGATCTATTTACGGATTCGACTTCTTTCTAGTTTCATCTTGGGAGGGTGTATGTGTCCAAGAATTTATTTATTTCTTCTAGATTTTCTAGTCTATTTGCATAGAGGTGTTTATAGTATTCTCTGATGGTAGTTTGTATTTCTGTGGGATCAGTGGTGATATCCCCTTTATCATTTTTTACTGTGTCTATTTGATTATTCTCTCTTTTTTCTTTTTTAGTCTGACTAGTTTTCTCTTTAATTTGTTAACCTTTTCAAAAAACCAGCTCCTGGATTCATTGATGTTTTGAAGGGTTTTTTGTGTCTCTGTCTCTTTCAGTTCTGATTTGACCTTAGTTATTTTTTGTTTTCTGTTAGCTTTGAAATTTGTTTGCTCTTGCTTCTCCAGTTCTTTTAATTGTGATGTTAGGGTGTCAATTTTAGATCTTTCCCACTTTCTCTTGTGGACATTTAGTGCTATAAATTTCCCTCTAAATACTGCTTTAGCTGTGTCCCAGAGATTCTGGTACATTGTCTCTTTGTTCTCACTGGTTTCAAAGAACTTCTTTATTTCAGTTTTAATTTTGTTATTTACCCAGTAGTCATTCAGGAGCAGGTTGTTCAGTTTCCATGTAGTGCAGTTTTGAGTGAGTTTCTTAATTCTGAGTTCTAATTTGATTGTGCTGTGTCTGAGAGACAATTTCTTATGATTTCTATTCTTTTGCATTTGCTGAGGAGTGTTTTACTTCTAGTTATGTGGTTGATATTAGAATAAGTGCTATGTGGTGCTGAGAAGAATGTATATTCCATTGATTTGGGGTGGAGAATTCTGTAGATGTCTATTAGGTCCCATTGGTCCAGAGCTGAGTTCAAGTCCTGAATATCCTTGTTAATTTTCTGTCTCATTGATCTGTCTAATATTGACAGTGGGATGTTAAAGTCTTCCACTATTACTGTGTGGGAGTCCAAATCTCTTTCTAGGTCTCTAAGAAGATGCTTTATGAATCTGGATGCTCCTGTATTAGGTGCATATATGTTTAGAATAGTTAGCTCTTCTTGTTGCTTTGATGCCTTTACCATTATGTAATGGCCTTCTTTGTCTTTTTAAATCTTTGTTGGTTTGCAGTATGTTTTAACAGAGACTACGTTTGCAACCTTTCCTTTTTTTTTTTGTCTCCCATTTGCTTGGTAAATATACATATACCTCCATCCCTTTATTTTGAGCCTATGTGTGTCTTTGCATTTGAGATGAGTCTCCTTAAATCAGCATACCAATGGGTCTTGACTATGCAATTTGCCAGCCTGTGTCTTTTAATTGGGGCATTGAACCCACTTACATTTAAGGTTAATATTTTTATGTATGAATTTGATCTTGTCATCATGATGCTAGATGATTATTTTCACATTAGTTGATGCAGTTTCTTCATAATGTCATTGGTCTTTATATTTTGGTGTGTTTTTGCAGTGGCTGGTACAGAATTTTTCTTCTATATTTAGTGCTTCCTTCAGGAGCTCTTGTAAGGCAGGCCTGGTAATGATAAAATCCCTCAGCATTTTCTTGTCTGTAAAGGATTTTATTTCTCCTTCACTTATGAAGCTTAGTTTGGCTGGATATGAAATTCTGGGTTGAAAATTCTTTTCTTTTGGAATGTTGAATATTGGCCCCCACTCTTTTCTGGCTTGTAAGTTATCTGCAGAGAGATCTGCTGTTAGTCTGATGGGCTTCCCTTTGTAGGTAACCTGACTTTTCTCTCTGGCTGCACTTAACATTTTTTCTTTCATTTCAAACTTGGCAAATCTGACAATTATGTGTTTTGGGGTTGCTCTTCTCGAGGAGAATCTTAGTAGTGTTCTCTGTATTTCCAGAATTTGAATGTTGGCCTGTCTTGCTAGGTTGTGGAAGTTCTCCTGGATAATATCTCAAAGTGTGTTTTCCAACTTGGTTCCAATCTCCCTGTCACTTTCTGGTACAACAATCAGTCGTAGGTTTGGTCTTTTCAAAGAGTCCCACATTTCTTGGAGGCTTCATTTGTTCCTTTACATTCTTTTTTCTCCAATCCTGTCTTCATGCCTTATTTCAGTAAGTTGATCTTCAATCTCGGATATCGTTTGTTCCACTTGAACAATTTGGCTATTGATACTTGTGTCTGCTTCATGAATTTCTCTTGCTGTGTTTTTCAGCCCCATCAGGTCATTTATTTTCTTCTCTAATCTGGTTATTCTAGTTATCTGTGCCTGTAACCTTTTATCATTGTTCTTAGCTTCCTTGCATTGGGTTAGAACATGCCTCTTTGACTCAGAGGAGTTTGTTATTACCCACCTTCTGAAGCCTACTTCTGTCAATTTGTCACTCTCACTCTCCATCCAGTTTTGTACCCTTGCTAGAGAGGAGTTGTTATCATTTGGAGAAGAGCCATTCCGGTGTTTGGAATTTTCAGTGTTTTTGCACTGGTTTTTCTTTATCTTTGTGGATTTATTTACCTTTGATCTTTGAGGCTAAAGACCTTTGCATGGAGTTTCTTGTGGAGGTTCTTATTGTTGTTGTTGATGCTGTTGCTTTCTGTTTGTTAGTTTTTCTTCTGACAGAGAGGCCCATCTTCTGCAGGTCCGCTATAGTTTGCTGGAGGTCCACTCCAGAACTAGTTTGCCTGGGTATCATCAGTGGAGGCTTCAGAACAGCAAAGATTGCTGTCTGCTCCTTCCTCTGGAAGCTTAATCCCAGAGGGACACGAGCCTGATGCCAGCTGAAGCTCTCCTGTATGAGGTGCCTGTTGACCCATTTTGGGAAGTCTTTCCTAGTCACAAGGCATGAGTATCTGGAACCCATTTGAGGAGGCAGTCTGTCCCTTAGCAAAGCTGGTACACTGTGCTGGGAGAATCCCTCTTGCCAGGATTAGATGCTCTCTTCAGAGCTGGCAGGCAGGAGAGATTAAGTCCTCTGAAACTGTGCCCACAGCTTCCCCTTCTTTTAAGCGCTCTGTCCCAGGGAGATGGGAGTTTATCTGTAAGCCCCTGACTGGGGTTGTTACCTTTCTTAAAGAGACTCCCTGCCCAGTGAGGAGGAATCTAGAGAAGCAGTCTGGCCACAGCTGCTTCACCGCACTGTGATTAATTCTACCCAGTCCACACCTCCCAGACCTAGCACTGTTAGGGAAAAACTGCCTACTATGTCCATTGTTGATAGTGGGGTATTAAAGTCTTCTATACTTATTTTATTGCCTATTTCTTCTTATGGACATGTCAATCTTTTCTTTATATAACTAGACATTTTGATATTGGATGCATATATATTTACAATTGTTATATCACCTTGCTGAACTAACCCTATTTTCATTATGTGATGACCTTCTTAGGCCCTTGTGAGTTTATGGCTTGAGGTCTATTATGTCTGATATAGATAGAGCCCCCCCGCTCCCTTTTAAATACCATTTGCAATCATATTTTATTCTACATTTTCACTTTCAGCTTAAGTGTGTACTTAAATCAAAAATGAGTCTCTGGTAGACAGCATAGAGCTTGATCTTGTTTTCTATCTATTCACTCTATATAAACTGTAATTCATTTTTACATAAAGTAATTATTACAATGTAAGAACTTCTGGCAGAATATGGGTGATTTCTGCATTTCCAACTGAGGTACTGGGTTCATCTCACTGGGGAGTGTCAGATAGTGGGTGCAGGACAGTGGGTGGAGTGCACCGAGCATGAGCCAAAGCAGGGTGAGGCATCACCTCACCTGGGAAGCTCAAGGGGTCAGGGAATTCCCTTTCCTAGTCAAAGAAAGGGGTGACAGACAGCAACTGGAAAATTGGGTCACTCCCCCCACAATACTGTGTTTTTCCAATGGTCTTAGCAAACAGCACACCAGGAGATTATATCCCACGCATGGCTTGGAGGGTCCTATGCCCACAGAGCCTCACTCATTGCTAGAACAGCAGTCTGAGATCAAACTGCAAGGAGGCAGCAAGGCTGGAGGAGGGGCGCCCGCCATTACTGAGGCTTGAGTAGGTAAACAAAGCAGCCAGGAAGCTCAAACTGGGTGGAGCCCACCACAGCTCAAGGAGGCCTGCGTGCCTCTGTAGACTCCACCTCTGGGGGCAGGGCATAGCCAAACAAAAGGCAGCAGAAACCTCTGCAGACTTAAAGGTCCCTGTCTGACAGCTTTGAAGAGAGTAGTGGTTCTCCCAGCATGCAGCTTGAGATCTGAGAATGGACAGACAGTCTCCTCACGTGGGTCAATGACCCCAGAGTAGCCTAACTGGGAGGCACCCCCCAGTAGTGGCAGACTGACACTTCACACAGCCGGGTACTCCTCTGAGACAAAACTTCCAGAGGAAAAATCAAGCAGCAACATTTGCTGTTCACCAATATCTGCTGTTATGCAGCCTCTGCTGCGGATACCCAGGTAAACAGGGTCTGGAGTGGACCTCAAAGACTAACAAACAGAAAGGACATCCATACCAAAACCCTGTCGGTATGTCACCATCATCAAAGACCAAAGGTAGATAAAACCACAAAGATGGGGAAAAAACAGAGCAGAAAAACGGGAAGCTCTAAAAATCAGAGTGCCTCTCCTCCTCCAAAGGAACACAGCTTCTCACCAGCAACAGAACAAACCTGGAAGGAGAACGACTTTGATGAGTTGAGAGAAGAAGGCTTCAGATGATCAAACTACTCCAAGCTAAAGGAGCAAGTTCGAACCCATGGCAAAGAAGTTAAAAACCTTCAAAAAATTAGATGAATGGCTAACTAGAATAACAAATGCAGAGAAGTCCTTAAAGGACCTGATGGAGCTGAAAACCATGGCATGAGAACTGTGTGACAAATCCACAAGCCTCAGTAGCTGATTCGATCAACTGGAAGAAAGAGTATCAGTGATGGAAGATCAAATGAATGAAATGAAGTGAGAAGAGAAGTTTAGAGAAAAAAGAACAAAAAGAAATGAACAAAGCCACCAAGAAATATGGGACTATGTGAAAAGACCAAATCTACTTCTGATTGGTGTACCTGAAAGTGACGGGGAGAATGGGACCAAGTTGGAAAACACTCTGCAGGACATTATCCAGGAGAACTTCCCCAATCTAACAAGGCAGGCCAATATTCAAATTCAGGAAACACAGAGAATGCCAAAAAGATGCTCCTTGAGAAGAGCAACTCCAAGATATAATTGTCAGATTCACCAAAGTTGAAATGAAGGAAAAAAATGTTAAGGGCAGCTAGAGAGAAAGGTCGGGTTATGCACAAAGGGAAGCCCATCAGAATAACAGTGGATCTCTCGGCAGAAACTCTACAAGCCAGAAGAGAGTGGGGGCCAATATTCATCATTCTTAAAGAAAAGAATTTTCAACCCAGAATTTCATATCCAGCCAAACTAACATTCATAAGTGAAGGAGAAATAAAATCCTTTACAGACAAGCAAATGCTGACAGATTTTGTCACCATCAGGCCTGCCCTAACAGAGCTCCTGAAGGAAGCACTAAACATAGAAAGGAACAACTGGTACCAGCCACTGCAAAAACATGCCAAATTGTAAAGACCATTGAGGCTAGGAAGAAATTGCATCAACTAATGAGCAAAATAACCAGCTAACATCATAACAACAGGATCACATTCACACAGAACAATATTAACCTTAAATGTAAATGGGCTAAATGCTCCAATTAAAAGACACAGACTGACAAATTGGATAAAGAGTCAAGACCCATCAGTGTGCTGTATTCAGGAAACCCATCTCATGTGCAGAGACACACATAGGCTCAAAATAAAGGGATGGAGGAAGATCTACCAAGTAAATGGGAAACAAAAAAAGGCAGGGGTTGCAATCCTAGTCTCTGATAAAAAAGACTTCAAACCAATGAAGATCAAAAGAGACAAAGAAGGCCATTACATAATGGTAAAGGGATCAATTCAACAAGAAGAGCTAACTATCCTAAATATATATGCACCCAATACAGGAGCACCCAGATTCATAAAGCAAGTCCTTAGAGACCTAGAAAGAGACTTAGACTTGCACACAATAATAATGGGAGACTTTGACACCACTGTCAACATTAGACAGATCAACGAGACAGAAAGTTAACAATGATATGCAGGAATTGAACTCATCTCTGCACCCAAGTGGACCTAATAGACATCTACAGAACTCTCCACCCCAAATCAACAGAATATACATTCTTTTCAGCACCACACCACACCTATTCCAAAATTGACCACATAGTTAGAAGTAAAGCACTCCTCAGCAAATGTAAAACAACAGAAATTATAACAAACTCTCTCTCAGACCACAGTGCAATCAAACTAGAACTCAGGATTAAGAAAATCACTCAAAACCACTCAACTACATGGAAACTGAAAAACCTGCTCCTGAATGACTACTGGATACATAATGAAATGAAGGCAGAAATAAAGATGTTCTTTGAAACCAACGAGAACAGAGACACAATATACCGGAATCTCTGGGACACATTCAAAGCAGTGTGTAGAGGGAAATTTATAGCACTAAATGCCCACAAGAGAAAGCAGGAAATAACTAAAATTGACACCATAATATCATAATTAAAAGAACTAGAGAAGCAAGAGCAAACACATTCAAAAGCTAGCAGAAGGCAAGAAATAACTAAGATCAGAGCAGAACTGAAGGAAATAGAGACACAAAAAACCCTTCAAAAAATCAATGAATCTAGGAGCTGGTTTTTTGAAAAGATCAACAAAATTGATAGACCACCAGCAAGACTAATAAAGAAGAAAACAGAGAAGAATCAAATAGACGCAATAAAAAATGATAAAGGGGATATCACCACCGATCCCACAGAAATACAAACTACCATCAGAGAATACTATAAACACCTCTATGCAAATAAACTAGAAAATCTAGAAGAAATGAATAAATTCCTTGACACATACACCATCCCAAGACTAAACCAGGAAGAAGTTGAATCTCTGAATAGACCAATAACAGGCTCTGAAAGTGAGGCAATAATTAATAGCTTACCAACCAAAAAAAGTCCAGGACCAGATGGATTCACAGCAGAATTCTACCAGAGGTACAAGGAGGAGCTGGTACCATTCCTTCTGAAACTATTCCAATAAATGGAAAAAGAGGTAATCCTCCCTAACTCATTTTATGAGGCCAGCAACATTCTGATACCAAAGCCTGGCAGAGACACAACAAAAAAAAGAGAATTTTAGACCAATATCCCTGATGAACATCAATGCAAAAATCCTCAATAAAATACTGGCAAACCGAATCCAGCAGCACATCAAAAAGCTTATCCACCGTGATCAATCGGGCTTCATCCCTGGGATGCAAGGCTGGTTCAACATACACAAATCAATAAATGTAATCCAGCATATAAACAGAACGAAAGACAAAAACCACATGATTATCTCAATAGATGCAGAAAAGGCCTTTGACAAAATTCAACAGTGCTTCATGCTAAAATCTCCCAATAAATTAGGTATTGATGGGACATGTCTTAAAATAATAATAGCTATCTATGACAAACCCACAGCCAATGTCATACTGAATGGGCAAAAACTGGAAGCATTCCCTTTGAAAACTGGCACAAGACACAGATGCCCTCTCTCACCACTCCTATTCAACATAGTATTGGAAGTTCTGGCCAGGGCAATCAGTCAGGAGAAGGAAATAAACGGTATTCAATTAGGAAAAGAGGAAGTCAAATTGTCCCTATTTGCAGCTGACATGATTGTATATCTACAAAACCCCATCTTCTCAGCCCAAAATCTCCTTAAGCTGATAGGCAACTTCAGCAAAGTCTCAAGATACAAAATCAACATGCAAAAATCACAAGCGTTCTTATACACCAATAAGAGACAAACAGAGAGCCAAATCATGAGTGAACTTCCATTCACAATTGCTCCAAAGAGAATAAAATACCTAGAAATCCAACTTACAAGGGATGTGAAGGACCTCTTCAAGGAGAACTACAAACCATTGCTCAATGAAATAAAAGAGGATACAAACGAATGGAAGAACATTCCATGCTCATGAGTAGGAAGAACCTATATCATGAAAATGGCCATACTGCCCAAGGTAATTTATAGATTCAAAGCCATCCCCATCAAGCTACCAATGACTTTCTTTACAGAATCGGAAAAAACTACTTTAAAGTTCATATGGAACTAAAAAAGAGCCCACATTGCCAAGTCCATCCTAAGCCAAAAGAACAAAGCTGGAGGCATCACGCTACCTGATTTCAAACTATACTATAAGACTACAGTAACCAAAACAGCATGGTACTTGTACCAAAACAGAGATATAGACCAATGGAACAGAACAAAGCCCTCAGAAATAATGCCGCATATCTACAACTATCTGATCTTTGACAAACCTGACAAAAACAAGAAATGGGGAAAGGATTCCCTATTTAATAAATGGTGCTTGGGAAAACTGGCTAGCCACATGGAGAAAGCTGAAACTGGATCCCTTTCTTACACCTTATACTAAAGTTAATTCAAGATGGATTAAAGACTTCAATGTTAAACCTAAAACCATAAAAACCCTAGAAGAAAACATAGGCAATACAATTCAGGACATAGGCATGGGCAAGGACTTCATGTCTAAAACACCAAAAGCAATGGCAACAAAAGACAAAATTGACAAATGGGATCTAATTGGACTAAAGAGCTTCTGCACAGCAAAAGAAACTACCATCAGAGTGAACAGGCAACCTACAGAATGGGAGAAAATTTTTGCAATCCACCCATCTGACAAAGAGCTAATATCCAGAATCTACAAAGAACTCAAACAAATGTACAACAAAAAAACAAACAACCACATCAAAAAGTGGGCGAAGGATATGAACAGATGCTTCTCCAAAGAAGACATTTATGCAGCCAAAAAACATGAAAAAATGCTCATCATTACTGGTCATCAGAGAAATGCAAATCAACACCACAATGAGATACCATCTCACACCAGTTAGAATGGCGATCATTAAAAAGTCAGGAAACAACAGGTGCTGGAGAGGATGTGGAGAAATAGGAACACTTTTACACTGTTGGTGGGACTGTAAACTAGTTCAACCATCGTGGAACTCAGTGTGGCGATTCCTCAGGGATCTAGAACTAGAATTACCATTTGACCCAGCCATCCCATTACTGGGTATATTCCCTGAGGATTATAAATCATGCTGATATAAAGACACATGCACATGTATGTTTATTGCGGCACTATTCACAATGGCAAAGACTTGGAACCAACCCAAATATCCAACAATGATAGACTGGATTAAGAAAATGTGGCACATATATACCATGGAATATATGCAGCCATAAAAAAGGATGAGTTTATGTGCTTTGTAGGGACATGGATGAAGCTGGAAACCATAATTCTCAGCAAACTATCGCAAGGACAAAAAACCAAACACCGCATATTCTCACTCACAGGTGGGAATTGAACAATGAGAACACATGGACACAGGAAGGGGAACATCACACACCGGGGCCTGTTGTGGGGTGTGGGGAGAGGGGAGGGAAAGCATTAGGAGATATATCTAATGTTAATTGACGAGTTAATGGGTGCAGCACACCAACATGGCACATGTATACATATGTAACTAACCTGCACGTTGTGCACATGTACCCTAAAACTTAAAGTATAATGAAAAAAGTAAGAACTTCTTATTGCCATTTTACTAATTATTTTCTGTCCGTTTTGTAGTTCTTCTGTTTCTGTCTTCCTCTCTTGCTATCTGTATTTGTGATTTTATTATTTTTGTAGTGATACACTTTGACTCTTTTCTTTTTTTCTTTTTTGTGTCTATTGTAGGTTTTTCTTTGTAATTACCATGAGGCTTGCCTCTTGAGAAGCTGGGATTACAGGCATGCACCACCATGCCTGGCTAATTTTTGTATTTTTAGTAGAGATGGGGTTTCACCATGTTGGTCAGGCTTGTCTCGAACTCCTGACCTTGTGATCTGCCTGCCTTGGCCTCCCAAAGTGATGGAACTACAAGCGTGAGCCACCACGCCCTGTCCAATAATTCACTTTTTAACTTATATTTTAAGTTCAGGTGTACATGCACAGGTTTCTTATGTAGGTAAACTTGTGTCATGGTGGTTTGTTGTATAGATTGTTTCATCACCCAGCTATTAAGCCTAGTACCGATTAGTTATTTTTGCTGACCCACTCCCTTGTCCCACCCTCCACCCTGCAATAGACCCAGTGTGTGTTGTTTCCCTCTATGTGTCCATGTGTTCTTATCATTTAGCCCCCACTTATCAGTGAAAACATGTGGTATTTGGTTTTCTGACCCTGCATTCGTTTGCTAAGGATAATGGCCTCCAGCTCTATCCATGTTCCTGCAAAGAACATAACCTCATTCTTTTCTATGACTGCATAGTATTCCATTGTGTATATGTACCATATTTTCTTTATCCAGTCTACCATTGATGGGTGTTTACATTCCTTTCATGTCTTTGCTATTTTGAATAGTACTGGAAAGAACATATGTATGCATGTATCTTTATAATAGAATGATTTATATAACTTTGGGTATATACCCAGTAATAGGATTGCTGGATCAAGTGGTATTTTTGTCTTTAGGTCTTTGAGGAATCACCACACTGTTTTCCACAGTGGTTGAAATAATTTACACTCCCACCAACAGTGTATAAGCATTCTTTTCTCTGCAACCTCTGCAGCATCTTTAATTTTTTGACTTTTTAATAATAGCCATTCTGACTGGTATAAGACGGTATCTCATTGTAGTTTTCATTTGCATTTCTCTAATAATCAGTGATGTTGAGATTTTTTCCATATGATCATTGGCCACATGTATGTCTTCTTTTGAAAAGTGTCTCTTCATGATTTTTGCCTATTTTAATGGAATTGTTTGGCTCTTTTCTTTATAAATTTAAGTTCCTGATAGATACTGGATATTAGACCTTTGTCAGATGCATAGTTTGCAAAAATTTTCTTCCATTCTGTAAGTTGTCTGTTTACTCTGTTGATAGTTTCCTTTGCTGCACAGAAGCTCTTTAGTTTAATTAAATCTCATTTGTGAATTTTTGCCTTTGTTGCAATGGCTTTTGGTGTCTTCATCATGAAATCCTTGTTTGTTCCAATGTCCAGAATGGCACTGCTTAGGTTACCTTCCAGGGTTTTTATAGTTTGGGGTTTTACATTTAAGTTTTTATCCATCTTGAGTTAATTTTTGTGTATGGTGTAAGGAAGGGCTCCAAATTTAATCTTCTGCATATAGCTAGCCAGTTACCCCAGCACCATTTATTGAATAGGGGTTTCTTTTCCTATTCCTTGTTTTTGTCAGGATTGTTGAAGATCGAGTACTTGTAGGTGTGTGACCTTATTTCTGGGTATTCTATTTTTTCCATTTGTCTATGTGTCTGTTTTTGCATCAGTACCATGCTGTTTTGATTACTGTAGCCATGTCATATAGTTTTTTTCTTTTTTTCTTTTTTTCTTTTTTTTTAGACAGAGTCTCGCTATGTCACCCAGGCTAGAGTGCAGTCATGTCATATAGTTTTAAGTTGGGAAGCATGATGTTTTCAGCTTTTTTCTTTTGCTTAGGATTACCCTGGCTATTTGGGCTCTTTTTCAGGTCCATATGATTTTTAAAATAGTTTTTTCTAGTTCTGTGAGGAATGTCAATGTTAGTTTAATAGGAATAGCATTGAGTCTGTAAATTGCTTTGGGCAGTATGGCCATTTTAACAATATTGATTCTTCCTCTCCGTGATCATGGAATTTTATTTTCATTTATTTGTGTTATCTCTGATTTCTTTGAGCAGTGGTTTGTAGTTCTCCTTGTAGAGATCTTTCAGCTCCCTGGATAGCTGTATTTCTAGGTATTTTATTTTTTGTGGCAATTGTGAATGAAATTGCCTTTCTGATTTGGCTCTCAAATTAACTGTTGTTGGTGTATAAAAATATAAGTGATTTTGCACATTGATTTTCTATTCTGAGCCTTTGCTGAAATTGCTTATCAGCTGAAGAAGCATTTGGGCTGAGGCTATGGGGGTTTTCTGAATACAGGATCATGTTGTCTGCACACAGGGATAGTTTGACTTCTTCTCTTCTTATTTCAATACGTTTATTTTTTCTCTCTTGCTTCATTGCCCTGGTCAGGACTTCCAATACTATGGTGAATAGGAGTGATGAGAGAGGGCATCTTTGTTTTGTGCTGATGTTGAAGGGGAGTGTTTTCAGCTTTTGCCCATTCAGTATGATGTTGGCTGTGAGTTTGTCATAGGTAGATGGCTCTTATTATTGAAGTATGTTCCTTCAAAACCTACTATATTGAGAGATTTTAACATGAAGCAGTGTTGATTTTTATTGAAAGCCTTTTCTGCATCTATTAAGATTATCATGTGCTTTTTGTCTTTAGTTCTGTTTATGTGATAAATTACATTTATTGATTTGTGTATGTTGAACAACCTTGCATCCCAGGGATAAAGCCTACTTGATCATGGTGGGTCAGCCTTTTTATGTGCTGCTGAATTCTGTTTGCCAGTATGTTGTTGAGAATTTTTGCTTCGATATTCATCAAGGATATTTGCATGAAGTTTTTTTATTTTTATTGTGTTGGTATCAGGGTGATGCTGATAGAATGAGTTACTGAGGAGGCCTTCTTCCTCATTTTTTTGGTATAGTTTCAACAGGAATGGTACCAGCTCTTCTTTGTACATCTGGTAGAATTCAGCTGTGAATCCAACTGATTCTGGGGTTTATTTGGTTGGTAGGTTATTTATTACTGACTCAATGTCAGAGCTTGTTATTGGTCTGTTCAGAGATTCAAATTCTTTCTAGTTCATCCTTGGGAGTGTGTATGTGTCCAGGAATTTATCTTTTTTTTCAGATTTTCCAGTCTATGTGCATAGAGGTGTTCATAATATTCTCTGATGTTTATTTGTATTTCTGTTGGGTCAATGGTAATATACCACTTGTTGTTTCTGATTGTGCTTATTTTAATCTTCTCTCATTTCTTCTTTATTCTTCTAGCTAGTGTTCTACCTATTTTGTAAGTTTTTTCAAAAAAAAAAAAGAAAAAAAACCAGCTCCTGGATTCATTGATGCTTTAAAAGGTTTTTGTGTGTCTCTATCTCCTTTAGTTCAGCTCTGGTTTTTGTTATTTCTTGTCTTCTGCTAGCTTTGGGGTTGGTTTTCTTTTTGTTCTCTAGTTTTTTGGTTGTGGATATTAGGTTGTTAACTTGAGATTTTTCTAATTTTTTGCTGTGTGCATTTAGTGCTATAAATTTCCCTTTTACCACTGCCATTGCTGTGTCCCAGAGATTCTGGTATATCATATCTTTGTTCTCTTTAGTTTCTCTATTAGTCTCTTCTCATGCTGATAATAAAGACATACCTAAGAGTGGGTAATTTATAAAGAAAAGAGGTTTAATTGACTCACAGTTTCACATGGCTGGGGAGGCTTCACAATCATGGCAGAAGGCAAATGAGGAGCAAAGTTACATCTTACATGGCATCAGGCAAGAGGGAATATGTGCAGGGGAAGTTCCCTTTATAAAACCATCAGATCTCATAAGACTTATTCACTATCATGAGAACATCATGGGAGAAGCCCACCCTCATGATTCAATTACCTCCTACCAGGTACCTCCCACAACATGGGGGAATTATGAGAACTACCATTTAAGATATGGTTGGGGACATAGCCAAACCAGACTCAAAGAACTTCTTGATTTTTGTCTTCATTTCTTTATTTACCCCAAAGTCATTCAGGAACAGGTTATTTAATTTCCATGTAATTGTATGGTTTTGAGTTAATTTCTTAGTCTTGATTTTGTGGTCTGAGAGACTGTTTGTTATCATTTCAGTTATTTTGCATTTGCTGATGAGTGTTTTACTTCCAATTCTGTGATCACTTTTAAAGTATGTTCCATAAGGCCATGAGAAAAAAATGTATATTCTGTCATTTTGCAGTGGAGAGTTCTGTAGATGTCTATCAGGTCCATTTGCTCCAGTGCAGAGTTCATATTCTGAATAGCTTTGTTAATTTTCTGTCTTGGTGATATGTTTAACATTGTCAGTGTCGTATTAAAATTTCCCACTATTATTGCATGGGAGTCTAAGTCTCTTTGAAGGTCCTAAGAACTTGCTTCATGAATTTGGGTGCTCCTGTGTTGAGTGCAGATATATTTATGATAGTTAGCTCTTCTTGTTGAATTGAACTGTTTACCATTATGAAATGCCCTTGTTTGTCTTTTCTGATCTTTGTTGGTTTAAAGTCTGTTTTTTCAGAATTTAGGATTGCAACCCCTGCTTTTTTCTGTTTTCCATTTGCTTGGTATACTTTTCTCCATTCCTTTATTTTGAGCCTATGTGCATCATTGCATGTGAGATAAGTCTCTTGAGGACAGCATACCAATGGATCTTGGTTCTTTATTCAGCTTTCCAGTCTGTGTCTTTTAATTGGGGCATTTAGCCCACTTACATTCAAGGTTGTTTGCACATTCTTTTTTTTTTTTTTTTGAGACAGGGTCTTGCTCTGTCACCCTATTTGGAGTACAGTAGTGTGATCCCAGTTCACCGCCATCTCTGTCTCCCAGCTTCAAGTGATTCTAGTGCCTCAGCCTCCTAAGTAGCTGGGACCACAGATGTGTGCCAACACACCCAGCTAAGTTTTGTATTTTCAGTAGAGATGGGGTTTCACCATGTTTACCAGACTGGTCTTGAACTCCTGGCCTCAAGTGATCCACCTGCCTCAGCCTCCCAAAGTGATGGGATTACAGGCATGAGCCACCATGCCTTAGTATTGATATTTGTAAATTTGATCCTGTCATAATGTTACCTGGTTATTTTGCAGACTTCTTGATGTGGTTGCTTTATAGTGTCACCAGTCTCTGTGCTTCACTGTGTTTTTGTAGTGGCTGATAATGCACTTTCCTTTCTATATTTAGGGCATTGTAAGGCAGGTCTAATGGTAATGACTTCCCTCAGCATTTGCTTGTCTGAAAAGGATCTTAATTCTCCTTTACTTATGAAGCTTATTTGGACTGAATAGGAAAGTCTGGGTTGGAATTTCTTTTTTTTTAAGAGTGTTGAATATTGGCCCTCAATCTGTTCTGGCTTTTAGAGTTTCTGCTTAGAAGTCTGCTGTTAGTCTGATGAGTTTCCCTTCGTAGGTGACCTTGGTTTTGTCTGTAGCTGCCTTTAACATTTTTTCTTTAATTTCAACCTTGGAGAATCTGATAATTGTGCCTCAGGGATAATCTTGTGAAGTATCTTCCTGGGGTTCTTTGCATTTCCTGAATTGGAATGTTGGCCTTTCCAGCTAGGCTGGGAAAGTTCTCATGCATGAAATCCTGAAATATGTTTTCCAAGGTGGTTCCATTTTCCCTATGTCTTTAGGGACACCAATGAGTCATAGATTCAGTCTTATTACAAAAATCCTATATTTCTCAGAGGTTTTGTTTGTTCCTTTTTATTCTTTTCTTCTCTATTCTTGGCTGTCTTATTTCAGAAAGCTAGTCTTCAAGTTCTGTG
Organism: Homo sapiens; assembly: GCF_000001405.40. Taxonomy (NCBI): domain Eukaryota; kingdom Metazoa; phylum Chordata; class Mammalia; order Primates; family Hominidae; genus Homo; species Homo sapiens. The sequence goes on along the minus strand of NC_000023.11, from coordinate 73,293,780 downwards.
ATTCTTTTCTCTGCTTGGTGTATTCTGCTATTAATACTTGTGACTGCATTATGCAATTTTTGTAGGGTGTTTTTCAACCCTATCAGGTCACTTACATTCTTTTCTATACTGGCTATTTTGTCTGTTATTTCCTGTATTGTTTCATCATGATTTTTAGCTTCCTTGGACTGAGCTTTAATGTACTTCTGTAATTCAATGATCTTAACTCTTATCAGCATTCTAAATTATATTTCTATCATTCAGCTTTCTCAGCCAGTTCAGAACCTTTGCTGGATAGGTGATGTGGTTGTTTGAAAAAAATAAGGCATTCTGGATTTTTAAGTGGTCCAGGTCCTTACACTTATTCTTTCTCTTCTTTGTGGGCTTATTTTTCTTTAACCTTCAAAATTGCTCACTTTTGAATGGAATTTTTTTCCTTTTTTAAAATTGTAATTTTTTATTTCCATAGGTTTTGGGAGAACAGGTGATGTTTGGTTACATGAATAAGTTTTTCAGTGGCAATTTCTGAGATTTTTGTGCACCCATCACACAAGCAGTATACACTGTGCCCAATGAGTAATCTTTTTATCTTTTACTCTCATCCCATTCTTCTCTCTGGGTCCCCAAAGTCTCATAACTTAGCTCCTACTTATAAGTGAAAGCATACCATGTTTGGTTTTCCATTCCTGAGTTACTTCACTTGGAATAGTGGTCTCCAGTTCCATCCACGTTGCTGTAAATGCCATTATTTAGTTCCTTTTAATGGCTGAGTAGCATTCCATAGTACATGTATGTTAAAATTTCTTTATCCACTAGTTGATAGATGGGCATTTGGGTTGCAATGCCAAATTGGCAAATGTCAACAATTTTGCAATTTTGAATTGTGCCACTATAAACATATGTGTGCAAGTATCTTTTTCATATAATGACTTCTTTTCCTCTGGGTAGATAAGCAGTAGTAGGATTACTGGGTCAAGCGGTAGATAGAAATCTTCACACTGTTTTTCATAGTGGTTGTACTAGCTTACATTCCCACCAGCAGTGTAAAAGTGTTCTTTTTCTTTTTTTTTTTTTTGAGATAGAGTCTTACTCTGTTGCCCAAGCTGGAGTGCGTGCAGTGGCATGATCTTGGCTCACTGCAACCTCCACCTCCCAGATTCAAGCAATTATCTGTCTCATCCTCCCAAGTAGCTGGGATTACAGGTGCCCACCACCACACCCAGCTAATTTTTGTATTTTTAGTAGAGAGGGGTTTCATCATCTTGGCCAGGCTGGTCTTGAACTCCTGAACTCGTGATCCACCCCCTCAGTCTCCCAAAGTGCTGGGATTGCAGGCGTGAGCTACAGGCCTGGCCAAAGTGTTCCCTTTGAACAACAACCAGCCAACATTTATTATTTTACAATTTTTTGATTATGGCCATTTTTGCAGGAGTAAGATGGTGTTGCATTGTGGTTTTGATTTGTATTTTCCTGATAATTAGTGATGTTGATCATTTTTTCATATGTTTGTTGGCCATTTGTGTATATATATATATATATATATATATATATATATATATATATGTGTGTGTATATATATATATATGTGTGTATATATATATATGTATATATATATTTTTTTTTTAATTTTTTTTTTTTATTATACTTTAAGTTTTAGGGTACATGTGCACATTGTGCAGGTTAGTTACATATGTATACATGTGCCATGCTGGTGCGCTGCACCCACTAACGTGTCATCTAGCATTAGGTATATCTCCCAATGCTATCCCTCCCCCCTCCCCCGACCCCACCACAGTCCCCAGAGTGTGATATTCCCCTCCCTGTGTCCATGTGATCTCATTGTTCAATTCCCACCTATGCGTGAGAATATGCGGTGTTTGGTTTTTTGTTCTTGCGATAGTTTACTTAGAATGATGGTTTCCAATTTCATCCATGTCCCTACAAAGGACATGAACTCATCATTTTTTAGGGCTGCATAGTATTCCATGGTGTATATGTGCCACATTTTCTTAATCCAGTCTATCATTGTTGGACATTTGGGTTGGTTCCAAGTCTTTGCTATTGTGAATAATGCCGCAATAAACATACGTGTGCATGTATCTTTATAGCAGCATGATTTATAGTCCTTTGGGTATATACCCAGTAATGGGATGGCTGGGTCAAATGGTATTTCTAGTTCTAGATCCCTGAGGAATCGCCACACTGACTTCCACAATGGTTGAACTAGTTGACAGTCCCACCAACAGTGTAAAAGTGTTCCTATTTCTCCACATCCTCTCCAGCACCTGTTGTTTCCTGACTTTTTAATGATTGCCATTCTAACTGGTGTGAGATGATATCTCATAGTGGTTTTGATTTGCATTTCTCTGATGGCCAGTGATGATGAGCATTTTTTCATGTGTTTTTTGGCTGCATAAATGTCTTCTTTTGAGAAGTGTCTGTTCATGTCCTTTGCCCACTTTTTGATGGGGTTGTTTGTTTTTTTCTTGTAAATTTGTTTGAGTTCATTGTAGATTCTGGATATTAGCCCTTTGTCAGATGAGTAGGTTGCGAAAATTTTCTCCCATTTTGTAGGTTGCCTGTTCACTCTGATGGTAGTTTCTTTTGCTGTGCAGAAGCTCTTTAGTTTAATTAGATCCCATTTGTCAATTTTGTCTTTTGTTGCCATTGCTTTTGGTGTTTTGGACATGAAGTCCTTGCCCACGCCTATGTCCTGAATGGTAATGCCTAGGTTTTCTTCTAGGGTTTTTATGGTTTTAGGTCTAACGTTTAAATGTTTAAATGTATATATATTTTTTTGACAATTATCTATCCATGTCCTTAGCCCACTTTTTGATGGGATTGTTTGTTTTTTTCTTGCTGGTATGTTTGAGTTTTTGTACATTCTGGATATTAGTTTTTTGCTGACTGTAAACATGATGAAGATTTTCTCTCACTCTGTGGGTTGTGTTTACTCTGCTGATTATTTCTTTCACTGTGCAGTAACTTTTTAGCTTAATTAAGTCTCATTTATTTATCTTTGATTCTGTAGCAGTTGCTTTTGGGTCCTTGGTCATGAAGTCTTTGCCTAAGCCAATGTCTAGAAGGGTTTTTGTGATGTTATCTTCTAGAATTTTTATGGTTTCAGGTCTTACATTTAAGTGCTTGATCAATTTTGAGTTGATTTTTGTATAAGGTGAGAAATGAGGATCCAGCTTTATTCTTCTACTTGTGGCTTGCCAATTATACCTAACCAAGGAGGTGAGAGACCTCTAAAGGAAAACTACAAAACACTGATGAAAGAAATCATAGACGACACCAACAAATGGAAACACATCTCATGCTCATGGATGGGTGGAATCAATATTGTGAAAATGGCCATACTGCCAAAAGCTATCTACAAATTCAGTGCAATTCCCGTCAAAATACCATCATCATTCTTCACAAAGCTAGAGAAAGCAATTCTAAAATTTTTTCTCTATGGAACCAAAAAAGAACCTGCATAGCCAAAGCAAGACTAATCAAAAAGAACAAATCTGGAGGCGTCACATTGCCTGACTTCAAACTATGCTATAAGGCCCTAGTCACCCAAACAGCATGGTACTGGTATAAAAATAGGCACATAGACCAATGGAACAGAATAGAGAACTCAGAAATAAAGCCAAATACTTATAGCTAACTGATTTTCAACAAAGTCAAGAAAAACATAAAGTGAGTAAAGAACACATTTGGCATTGCAACCCAAATGCCCATCTATCAACTAGTGGATAAAGAAATTTTAACATATATATACTATGGAATGCTACTCAGCCATTAAAAGGAACTAAATAATGGCATTTGCAGCAACGTGGATGGAACTGGAGACCACTATTCTAAGTGAAGTAACTCAGGAATGGAAAACCAAACATGGTGCTGGATAATCTAATGGGTTTCTTTCTTTTATCTTAATTGATGATTTTGAGAGTTTGATTGTGGTATAAGGTGGATTCAGCTGACTCACTTCATTTCTGCAAGATTTTAGGGTTCCAACACTCAGCTCCCAACTCCTTTCCTGAACTGTATGAGCTAACTCTGAAGGACTTGTATTAGGCCCCGACTTTGTTCTCTGGATTATTGTGGTTAGGAATCTACTGCACTGGGAGGCCGAGGTATTCTCGAACTACTGGTCACTACCCTCTGATGGCTGGTGTCAGACAGAACATTTCATAGTACAGTGACATTGTGATCCATTCTCATGTACACATGCCAGCAACAGCAGTAGTGGCAGCTGTGGCAGAGTTCTAGCAGGTCCTGGGGTGCCTGCCTCCCTGTTCACCACAGGGAAGATGAGGGGCCGCTGCTGGTGATTGTGTGTGTGATCACGCTGGAGGTGGTGTTGGTTCAGGATTGAGGCACTGGTGGGTGCTAGTTTGGGTTCCTTCTCTGTGCCCCACAAGGAGGAATTGTAACTCAAGGTGGGGGAGGATCCGCTGTTCTCTACGCAGTGTTAATGCAAGGGTGAGGTGCTGGCAGGGGTGGGGCTAGCTTTCTTTGTGCCTACCAAGTCTCCATCTGCAATGGCGGTTGACATGGGGCTGGAAGGTGGACTGTACTTCCACCTGCTGGCGGGACAAGGAAAGCAAAATTGCCCACACAGACGTGCGCGAGTAAAGTGATGTGAGGAGTTGTGGTCCCAAGGGGAAGCTGCAGTATGTGGAGGGAGTGTGTGGCCATAGAGGTTGCCCTGCTGGGACTTTCTGCCAGTCAGTCATGGTCTGACAGTGCAGATCCTATGGTGTGTCTGTCCCCAGGGCACCTGAGACTGTCCTGCAAAAAGGTGTGGCCATGCTACAACCCCCAGAAAGGCCAACAGACAAAGGGGTGCTCAGGTTGGACCAGCCCTGTCTGATGTGGAAGGCTGCCCTGCAGAGTTCATGACCAACAGTACCCTCAGGGCTAAACTGTTCTATGGGAGCAAGTCAAGCCTAAGAGGATAGTCATCTCTGGCTGTGCTTTGCTACAGATATTCCTGCAACAAACCTGAGCTCCACATCTGCTGACTTGCTGCCTCTACCATTTTTCTAATCAGCTTTCCTTGCCAACTCAATTGTCCATGGTGTTTGATGGGTCTCCTTCTTTTGGGGATCCAGAGGCCTGTGGTGAGAATGGGTTGTTCCTTGTCAGTTCAACCCACCCATTTCCCCAAAGCTGTTGGGGGCCAGGAACAAGTCCAGGTGCACTGTAGCCCCGTGTAAAGTTCATAGATTTCTCCCCCTTCAGCCCAGCTTCTGTCTTCACTCTGTCCACAGTTGGTGCTTTTCCTCTGAAGATCTGTTAGGAGCATACCAGTCATCTTGGTCTCTTAGTGGAAGCTGTTCCACCTGGTTTTCTAGTTAGTCATCTTGCCCTCCTTTCCAGCATTAATTCTTTAAAGCTTTTAAATCAAGACCTAGTTTTTTTTAAGTTATCACTTATAGATAAAATTACTTTATTTTTAATTTATTTCAATAGATTTGGGGTACATGTGGTTTTCGGTTACATGGATGAGTTATTTAGTGGTGAATTCCAAGATTTTAGTGCACATGTAACCCAAGCAATATACACTGTACCCAATATGTAGTCTTTTATCTATCATCCCTTTCCCAACCTCCCCACCATGAGTCCCCAAAGTCCATTATATCACTCTATATTTTTGTGTCCTCATAGCTATGCTCCCACTTCAAGTGAGAACATACAGTATGCCTATTCCTGAGTTACTTTTCTTAGAGTAATGGCCTCCAGCCCCTTCCAAGTTTGTGGCAAAAAGCATCATTTTGTTTCTTTTTTATGACTGAGCAGTATTCCATGGTGTATATATACCATATTTATTTTTATCCATTTGTTGGTTAACGGGCACTTAGGTTGGTTCTGTATCCTTGCAACTGTGATTTGTGCTGCTATAAACATGCATATACATGTATATTTTTCATATAATAACTTCTTTTCATTGGAGTAAATACCCAGTGGGATTGCTGGATCAAATGATAGATCTACTTTTAGTTCTTAAAGGAATCTCCATACCGTTTTCCAGAGTGGCTGTACTAACTTACATTCCTACCAGTAGAGTTCCTTTTTTACCAGACTAACATCTATTGTCTTGAATTTTTAGTTATGGCTATTCTTGCAGGAGTATCTCATTGTGGTTTTAACTTGCACTTCCCTGATGATTAGTGATGTTGAGCATTTTTTCAAATGTCTCGTGGTTATTTGCATATCTTCTATGGAGAAACATTTATTTATGTTTTTTTACCCACTTTTGTTGGGATTTTTTTTCTTCTTATTTTTTTTAACTTTCTCCACTATTTTTTTTATTATACTTTAAGTTTTAGGGTACATGTGAACAACGTGCAGGTGTGTTACGTATGTATACATGTGCCATGTTTGTGTGCTGCACCCATTAACTCGTCATTTAGCATTAGCTATATCTCCTAATGCTATCCCTCCCCCCTCCCCCTACCCCACAACAAGCCTCAGTGTGTGATGTTCCCCTCCCTGTGTCCATGTGTTCTCATTGTTCAATTCTCACCTATGAGTGAGAACATGCGGTGTGACATTTTTTGTCCTTGCCATAGTTTGCTGAGAATGATGGTTTCCAGCTTCATCCATGTCCCTACAAAGGACATGAACTCATCATTTTTTATGGCTGCATAGTATTCCATGGTGTATATGTGCCACATTTTCTTAATCCAGCCTGTCATTGTTGGACATTTGGCTTGGTTCTAATTCTTTCCTATTGTGAATAGTGCTGCAATAAACATACGAGTACATGTGTCTTTATAGCAGCACGATTTATAATCCTTTGGGTATATACCCAGTAATGGGATGGTTGGGTCAAATGGCAATTCTAGTTCTACATCCCAGAGGAATCGCCACACGGACTTCCACAATGGTTGAATAGTTTACAGTCCCACCAACAGTGTAAAAGTGTTCCTATTTTCCACATCCTCTCCAGCACCTGTTGTTTCCTGACTTTTTAATGATCACCATTCTAGCTGGTGTGAGATGGTACCTCATTGTGGTTTTGATTTGCATTTGTCTGATGGCCAGTGATGATGAGCATTTTTTAATGTGTCTTTTGGCTACATAAATGTCTTCTTTTGAGAAGTGTCTGTTCATATCCTTCGCCCACTTGTTGATGGGGTTGTTTGGTTTTTTTCTTGTAAATTTGTTTGAGTTCTTTGTAGATTCTGGATATTAGCCCTTTGTCAGATGAGTAGGTTGCAAAAATTTTCTCCCATTCTGTAGGTTGCCTGTTCACTCTGATGGTAGTTTCTTTTGCTGTGCAGAAGCTCTTTAGTTTAATTAGATCCCATTTGTCAATTTTGTCTTTTGTTGCCATTGTTTTTGGTGTTTTAGACATGAAGTCCTTGCCCATGCCTATGTCCTGAATGGTATTGCCTATGTTTTCTTCTAGGGTTTTTATGGTTTTAGGTCTAACATTTAAGTCTTTAATCCATCTTGAATTAATTTTTGTATAAGGTGTAAGGAAGGGATCCAGTTTCGGCTTTCTACATATGGCTAGCCAGTTTTCCCAGCACCATTTATTACATAGGGAATCCTATCCCCATTGCTTGTTTTTGTCAGGTTTGTCAAAGATCAGATGGTTGCAGATGTGTGGTATTATTTTTGAGGTCTCTGTTCTGTTCCATTGGTCTATATATCTGTTTTGGTACCAGTACCATGCTGTTTTGGTTACTGTAGCCTTGTAGTATAGTTTGAAGTCAGGTAGCTTGATGCCTCCAGCTTTGCTCTTTTTACTTAGGATTGTCTTGGAAATTCGGGCTGTTTTTTGGTTACGTATGAACTTTAAAGTACTTTTTTCCAATTCTCTGAAGAAAGTCATTGGTAGCTTGATGGGGATGGCATTGAATCTATAAATTTCCTTGGGCAGTATGGCCATTTTCACGATATTGGTTCTTCCTACCCATGAGCATGGAATGTTCTTCCATTTGTTTGTATCCTCTTTTATTTCATTGAGCAGTGGTTTGTAGTTCTCCTTGAAGAGGTCCTTCACATCCCTTGTAAGTTAGATTCCTAGGTACTTTATTCTCTTTGAAGCAATTGTGAATGGGAGTTCACTCATGATTTGGCTCTCTGTTTGTCTGTTATTGGTGTATAAGAATGCTTGTGATTTTTGCACATTGATTTTGTATCCTGAGACTTTGCTGAAGTTGCCTATCAGCTTAAGGAGATTTTGGGCTGAGAACGATGGGGTTTTCTGGATATACAATCATGTCATCTACAAACAGGGACAATTTGACTTCCTCTTTTCCTAATTGAATACCCTTTATTTCCTTCTCCGGCCTGATTGCCCTGGCCAGAACTTCCAACACTATGTTGAGTATGAGTGGTGAAAGAGGGCATCCGTGTCTTGTGCCAGTTTTCAAAGGGAATGCTTCCAGTTTTTGTCCATTCAGTGTGATATTGGCTGTGGGTTTGTCATAGATAGCTCTTATTATTTTGAGATATGTCCCATCAATGCCTAACTTATTGAGAGTTTTTAGCATGAAGGGCTGTTGAATTTTGTCAAAGGCCTTTTCTGCATCTATTGAGATAATCATGTGGTTTTTGTCTTTGGCTCTGTTTATATGCTGGATTACATTTATTGATTTGTGTATGTTGAACCAGCCTTGCATCCCAGGGATGAAGCCCGATTGATCATGGTGGATAAGCTTTTTGATGTGCTGCTGGATTCGGTTTGCCAGTATTTTATTGAGGACTTTTGCATCTATGTTCATTGGGGATATTCGCCTAAAATTCTCTTTTTTTGTTGTGTCTCTGCCAGGCTTTGGTATCAGAATGATGCTGGCCTCATAAAATGAGTTAGGGAGGATTCCCTCTTTTTCTATTGACTGGAATAGTTTCAGAAGGAATGGTACCAGCTCCTCCTTGTACCTCTGGTAGAATTCGGCTGTGAATCCATCTGGTCCTGGACTTTTTTTGGTTGGTAAGCTATTAATTATTGCCTCACTTTCAGAGCCTGTTATTGGTCTATTCAGAGATTCAACTTCTTCCTGGTTTAGTCTTGGGATGGTGTATGTGTCAAGGAATTTATCCATTTCCTCTAGATTTTCTAGTTTATTTGCATAGAGGTGTTTACGGTATTCTCTGATGGTAGTTTGTATTTCTGTGGGATCGGTGGTGATATCCCCTTTATCATTTTTTATTGTGTCTATGTCATTCTTCTCTCTTTTCTTCTTTATTAGTCTTGCTGGTGGTCTATCAATTTTGTTGATCTTTTCAAAAAACCAGCTCCTGGATTCATTGAGTTTTTGAAGGGTTTTTTGTGTCTCTATTTCCTTCAGTTCTGCTCTGATCTTAGTTATTTCTTGCCTTCTGCTAGCTTTTGAAAGTGTTTGCTCTTGCTTCTGTAGTTCTTTTATTTGTGATGTTAGGGTGTCAATTTTAGACCTTTCCTGCTTTGTCTTGTGGGAATTTAGTGCTATAAATTTCCCTCTACACACTGCTTTGAATGTGTCCCAGAGATTCTGGTATGTTGTGTCTTTGTTCTCATTGGTTTCAAAGGACATCTTTATTTCTGCCTTCATTTCGTTATGTACCCAGTAGTCATTCAGGAGAAGATTGTACAGTTTCCATGTAGTTGAGTGGTTTTGAGTGATTTTCTTAATCCTGAGTTCTAGTTTGATTGTACTGTGGTCTGAGAGACAGTTTGTTATAGTTTCTGTTCTTTTACATTTGCTGAGGAGTGCTTTACTTCTAACTATGTGGTCAATTTTGGAATAGGTGTAGTGTGGTGCTGAAAAGAATGTATATTCTCTTGATTTGGGGTGGAGAGTTCTGAAGATGTCTATTAGGTCTGCTTGCTGCAGAGCTTAGTTCAATTCCTGGATATCCTTGTTAACTTTCTGTCTCGTTGATCTGTCTAATATTGATAGTGGGGTGTTAAAGTCTCCCATTATTACTGAGTGGGAGTCCACGTCTCTTTCTAGGTCTCTAAGGACTTGCTTTATGAATCTGGGTGCTCCTGTATTGGGTGCATATATATTTAGGATAGTTAGCTCTTCCTGTTTCATTGATCCCTTTACCATTATGTAATGACCTTCTTTGTGTCTTTTGATCTTTATTGGTTTAAAGTCTGTTTTATCCGAGACTAGGATTGCAACCCCTGCCTTTCTTCGTTTTCCATTTGCTTGGTAGATCTTCCTCCATCCCTTTATTTTGAGCCTATGTGTGTCTCTGCAAGTGAGATGGGTTTCCTGAATATAGCACACTGATGAGTCTTGACACTTTACCCAATTTTACAGTCTGTGTCTTTTAATCAGACCATTTAGCCCATTTAAGTTTAATATTGTTCTATGAGAATGTGATCCTGTCATTATGATGTTAGCTGATTATTTCGCTTGTTAGTTGATGCAGTTTCTCCCTACCCTTGATCGTCTTTAAAATTTGGCATGTTTTTGCAGTGGCTGATACCGGTTGTTCCTTTCCATGTTTAGTGCCTCCTTCAGGAGCTCTGTTAGGGCAGGCCTGATGGTGACAAAATCTCTCAGCATTTACTTGTCTGTAAAGGATTTTATTTCTCCTTCACTTATGAAGCTTAGTTTGGCTGGATATGAAATTCTGGGTTGAAAATTATTTTCTTTAAGAATGTTGAATATTGGTCCCCACTCTCTTCTGGCTTGTAGAGTTTCTGCCGAGAGATCTGCTGTTAGTCTGATGGGCTTCCCCTTGTGGTTAACCAGACCTTTCTCTAGCTGCCCTTAACATTTTTTCCTTCATTTCAACTTTGGTGAATCTGACAATTATGGGTCTTGGAGTTGCTCTTCTTGAGGAGTATCTTTGTGGCGTTCTCTGCATTTCCTGAATTTGAATGTTGGCCTGCCTTGCTAGATTGTGGAAGTTCTCCTGGATAATATCCTGCAGAGTGTTTTCCAACTTGGTTCCATTCTCTCTGTCACTTTCAGGTGCAGCAATCAGACGTAGATTTGGTCTTTTCACATAGTCCCATATTTCTTGGAGGCTTTGTTCATTTCTTTTTATTCTTTTTCTCTACACTTCTCTTCTAGCTCCATTTCATGCATTTGATCTTCCATCATTGATACCCTTTCTTCCAGTTGATTGCATCAGTTACTGAGGCTTGTGCATTCATTACGTAGTTCTTGTGCCATGGTTTTCAGCTCCTTCAGGTCCTTTAAGGACTTCTCTGCATTGGTTATTCTAGTTAGCCATTCGTCTAATTTTTTTTCAAGGTTTTTAACTTCTTTGCTGTGGGTTTGAACTTCCTCCTTTAGCTCAGAGTAGTTTGATTGTCTGAAGCTTTCTTCTCTCAACTTGTCAAAGTCATTCTCCATCCAGCTGTGTTCTGTTGCTGGTGAGGATCTGTGTTCCTTTGGAGGAGGAGAGGCACTCTGATTTTTAGAGTTTCCAGTTTTTCTGCTCTGTTTTTTCCCCATCTTTGTGGTTTTACCTGCCTTTGGTCTTTGATGATGGTGACAAACAGATGGGGTTTTGGTGTGGATGTCCTTTCTCTTTGTTAGTTTTCCTTCTAACAGTCAAGGCCCTCAGCTGCAGGTCTGTTGGAGTTTGCTGGAGGTCCACTCCAGACCCTGTTTGCCTGGGTATCAGCAGTGGAGGCTGCAGAACAGCTGATATTGGTGAACAGCAAATGTTGCTGCCTCATCGTTCCTCTGGAAGTTCTGTCTCAGAGGAGTACCTGGCTGTGTGAGGTCTCAGACTGCCACTACTGGGGGGTGTCTCCGTTAGGCTACTCGGGGGTCATGGACTCACTTAAGGAGGCAGTCTGCCCGTTCTCAGATCTCAAGCTGCATGCTGGGAGAACCACTACTCTCTTCAAAGCTGTCAGACAGGGACATTTAATTCTGCAGAGGTTTCTGCTGCCTTTTGTTTGGCTATGCCCTGCCCCCAGAGGTGGAGTCTACAGAGGCAGGCAGGCCTCCTTGGGCTGGGGTGGGCTCCACCCAGTTCGAGCTTCCCAGCCACTTTGTTTCCCTACTCAAGCCCCAGCAATGGCAGGTGCCTCTCCCCCAGCCTTGCTGCCACCTTGCAGTTTGATCTCAGACTGCTGTGCCAGCAATGAGCGAGGCTCCATGGGTGTAGGACCCTCCAACCCATGTGTGGAATATAATCTCCTGGTGTGCCATTTGCTAAGACTGTTGGAAAAGCACAGTGTTAGGGTGGGAGTGGCCCGATTTTCCAGGTGCCATCTGTCACCCCTTTCTTTGACTAGGAAAGGGAATTCCCTGACCCCTTGAGCTTCCCAGGTGAGGCGATGCCTCACACTGCTTCAGCTCATGCTCAGTGTGCTGCACCCACTGTCCTTCACCCACTCTCTGACACTCCCCAGTGAGATGAACCCGGTACCTCAGTTGGAAATGCAGAAATCACCCGTCTTCTGCGTCACTCATGCTGCGAGCTGTAGAGTGGAGCTTTCCTATGTGGCCATCTTCTTTTTCTTCTTCTTTTTTTTAAATTATACTTTAAGTTCTAGGGTACATGTGCACAACATGCAGGTTTGTTATATATGTATACATGTGCCATTTTCATGGGGATTTTTTTTCTTCATGATTTGTGTGAGTTCCTTGTAGATTCTAGATACTAGTCCTTTTTTGGATGCATAGTTTACAAATATTTTCTCCCACTCTTTGGTTTGTCTGTTTATTCTGCAAATTATTTCTTTTGCTGTGCAGAAGGTTTTTAGTTTAATTAGTTTTCATTAACTTTCTTTTTCTTTCTATTGAATTTGCTGCTGTGTCTTAGCTATGAATTCTTTGCCTAAGCCAGTCTCCAGAAAAGTATTTCTAGGGTTATCTTCTAGAATTTCTACAGTTTCACGTCTTTCTTAGATTTAAGTTTTTGATCCATCATGAGTTGATTTTTGTATAAGGTGAGAGATGGGGATGCAGTTTCATTCTTCTACATGTGGCTTGTCAGTTTTCCCAACACCATTTATTGAATAGGGTGTCCTTTCCCCAAGTTACATTTTTGAATGCTTTGTCAAAGATCAGTTGGCTGTAAGTATTTGGCTTTATTTCTGGGTTCTGTATTCTGTTCCACTGCTCTAAGTGCCTGAAAATTATATGATTTTCTATTTTGGGTGAGACTGGGTATTTTGAGCTTTTAGAAAATTGGCACATTTCTTCTGTGTTGCCTAATTTATGTGTGTAAAATTGTTCATAGTACTCTATATTTATCATTTAAAGCAGGGGTTCCCAAACCTTGGGCTCCATGACCTGTTAGGAACTGGGCCACATAGCCAGAGGTGAGCAGTGATCGAGTGAGAATTACAACCTGTCTCCTGTCAGATCAATGGCAGCTTTAGAGTCCCATAGGAGTGCAAACCCTATTGTGAACTGTGCATGCAAAGGATCTAGGTTGTGTGCTCCTTATGAGAATCTAACTAATGCCTGGTGATCTGAGGTGGAAGAGTTTCTTCCTGAAACCACCCCCTCCCCACCTTCCCCCCAGTCCATGGAAAAATTGTCTTCCACAAACTCGTCTCTGGTGCCAAAAAGGTTTGGGACCACTGATGTAAAATGCTTTAGGATCTTCAGTTATATGATCTGTTCCATTTATGATATTGCTATTTTTTGTCCTTTCTCTTTATATCTTTGTCAGTCTCATGAGAAGTTTATTAATTTGTCAATCTTTACAAAAGCCATCATTCTGTTGCTTTGATTTTCTTTATTGTTTTTGGTTTTAGATTCATTAAGATATTTTTCTTATTCTTATTTGCTTTCTTCTGCTTGCATCAAATTTATTTTTTCTTCTTTTTGTAGTGTCTTCATATGAGAGCTTAAATTTTTAATTTGAGATCGTTCTTATTTTCCAATGCAAGAAGACTGGACCTTTGAAAAAGATGCAGTATATTCTTGCTACTAGAAAAAATTACTTATAATACAATTATGTAGATAGGCTGAAAGCAAAAGGAAAAAACATGTATTGCATGCAAACCCCAATTTGAAATAGAACAGGAGTGGCTATATTAATATCAGGTAAAGTACCATAAATTTACCTTCAATATTGCTTTAGCTTTATTGCATACAATTTGATGTGTTGTATTTTCTCTTTTGTTCAAGTCTACATAATATTTTTGAGAATTTTTTTACCCATTAATTATTTAGAAGCATGGTGTTTAATTTCAAAACCTTTGGAGATTATTCTTCTTTGTTTATGTTATTTATTTATAGATTGATTCTATTATAATCTGAGAAAGAATATGTATAAATTCAATCTTTTACATTTGTTTTGTTTTTGTGGCCCAGAGTGTAGTCTATATCAGTGATTACTTCATGGAAGTTTGAATAGAATGTGATGTGTATTCTGTTGTTTTTACATAGTGTTCTATTAATGTACACTTAGATTATATTGGTTGATGATAATGTTCAGTTTTCTATATCATTGCATAATTTTTCTTATTTCTATCAATTGCTGAGAAATATTTCTCAATGTTTCCAACTATAAATATAATTTTTTCCCTATAATGCTATTAGTAATTGCTTCATGTATTTTGAAGCTTTCTCGTTTGGTACAGAGACATTTAAATGGCTACATTTTCTTTATGGATTTACATCATAATGTAATGTTGTTACTTGTTCCTAGTAATTTTCTTCTCTTTAAATTTTACTTTACCTGTTATTAATATAGTCATTCCTGTTCTCTTTTAAAATTAGTGTTTATATACTACATATATTTTTTCTTTCTTTTTGCTTTCAGCCTGTCTAAATAATTACATTTGAAGTGATTTTCTTGTAGTAATCATATACTTGGTCCTTTTAAAAAAAGAAACCCTATCTGACAATATCTAATTGGTAAATTAGGTATAATACAATTTCATTAATTATTGTTATGCTAGTGCTAAAATTTGATGTTGAATCTCATTGTTGATTCATGGGCATGAAAATTAGGCTCTTTGTTAGGCAACACTGACATCAGAGGGGAAAACAGAGGATTAATTAGCAGTGCATTGCACCAACTTATTTCTTTCATTGCTGCTTACTGGGTTTTATATCCTCACTTGTCCTTGTTGACATTAGTGGAATGGAAGACTTAGTCCCAACTAGAACCACCTAATACCACCTTCTTATGCCTTGATGCTGCTATTTGAAATTGTATGATGAGCATCTTCCTGCGTCCACTAATATCAATGGAGGGGAAAGCAGAGTGCTGAACTGCATCATTTTGCAGGCCTCACACCACGACCTTGTGGGATGATGATGTTGAATTTTATTTGGTCCCTACCAACAAGAGGCTTGTGAAAAGGAAATTGCTAAGTAGCACCAAATAACATCCCCTCATTTGTGCTAGGTGAGGGTGGAAGCGGAGCTTCCTACTGGGCCCTGTTGACACCACCCTTGGAAAAACAGAGCTCCACTAACACTGCTTGGCACTGCCCCATTGTTGCCTCTTTGACACCTCATTACATTAGGTCAGGATGAATGATCTGCTCCACCTTGGGCTGTGCTGATGTTTATAGGGAAAGTGGAGTGCCCAGTAACACCAGCTCACACCACCTATTTCTTCAGGGTAGGAAGAAGTGTCTTCCGCTATGCCATTGCTGAAAGCAATGTGCCCACTAGTGTCATCTTGTTGCTTTTGGAGAGGGTGTAAGTTCAGCTCCTTGCTGCGATCCACTGAAACCGTCTTTCATAATAGCAGGGTTCTAACTCACACCACCTGTTGTTTTTGGGTAGAGGTGGCAGTTTAGCTCCTTAATGGTTCCTACTGACACCAGGGGTTGGAAGAGAAGTGTTCTTCCTAGTAGTACCCCATTACTGTCTCATGGGTGTGGAATCTCAACTTTCTGCTGGGACCCACAGCACAACAGTGGGGAAAGTAAAGTGCTGACTAGCTTTGCCATTTACTGCTCATTCTGCTTTATTTTGCTGCTAGGTAGAGGTGGAAGCCCAACTTCCTGCTTGGTTCCACTAACACCACACAAGTGAGGGAATTAAAGTACCCTCTCCCAGGACCAAGCAGGGAGTGGAAGTTCAATTTCTTCATTGCGACCCCTTAACACCACTTTTTTTTTCCTATGCCTGTTAGTAATTCTGAGTTGGTTTCTCCAGTGCCTTGTCTAACATATGGAAGGCAAAAACGAAACACAGGGAACACATCAAGTTTCTAATATTCCAAGATTCCTAAGCAGTCCACCCTCTTCTTTCCATCCTTCCTATCCTTCAGAGTTGTTTTATGTTTTGTTATATCCATATTTTTTATTTGTGTGAGAGAAGCCTAGAGGAGATAGAAACTACTCTATCCTGAAAGGAATCCAGCAGTATATTTTTAAATTTAGTTTTCTTCTTTCTATTAGAATATGAAGACATAATTGGTTTTTTTTAGGGGGAGATTTTAGTTTTTCACCCTTGTCATTAAGACGCATTGCCTCTCATCATCAACATTGAGCATTTACAATGTACTAGGCATTATAGAACATATAGAAAATGTCCCTGCTCTTGAGAAGCTTGCACCCTAAAAGAAAATAAAACTTTCAAAATAGCATTGTTTTGTTTGCTGTTTTTTGAAAAGTGTTAAAGGGCTATTCTGTAGAGTGAGCTTTGAGTATAACTTAGCCCCATCATTATTTAAAAAACAGAGGAAGAAAAAGATAATAGATTTTAAAGGTAGACAATGACAGACCATTCAGAATAGGTAGAACTTAAACACAATCTCATTAACTAAAGAGAGATTTGCTGCAATAAATAGGATGAGGAAAATAGTTTGTGGAATGCAAGCAAGGGAAGCAGGGTATTTTAGACATTGACTGGAGCCAGAAATATTATGTGGTCTTTTTCCAAGTACATGGCCACCAAGTAGGAATTGTTAGTGATAAGACAGAGGACTAAAAAAGGCAGGTAATCTTGTGCACCTGATACCTAGAAAGAATAAAGGATCAGAATTGAAGGCAGACTATAACAGTATCAAGAAATTCTTCAAAAATAAATGTGATTCAGAAGCACAAACTTACAGTTAATACTACCCAGTGTCATCATGGACCAAAAACATTGTGGCTTCCTAAGTTAGAAAATGCTATATACCAACACTTTAAATGGAACATATTACCCTTATAAAAATCATTCTCTCCCTCCCTCCCAAAAAATAATAACTCATTTTTTCAGAATGGGAGAAGGAGAAGGGAACATGGGAAATTATTGAAAACAGTAGTTATATTAACATTTTCCTTATGATAATCTTTGTGTTTAAACTTGGTAAAAGCCCATTAGCTGCCAAGAGAAAATAAATAAATTTCTAAAACTATACAATTTCTTTTAGAGAAGTTTCAGAACCAAAAGACGAACCTACATGGAAAACTATAGAAACCATAGTTGAAGTGTCTACTCATAAAACTTTCATACTACTTACACACACAGTATATGTGTTCTTAACAACTAAACTTGAATTGCTCATGAAAATTTTATAAGACATTAAACAAAGCTAGCTATCATCTCAAATACAAGTGATTTTTTGTTTTACTGCTGTGCTATCTATCTCTAAAGTATATAGTATATTAAAGTGTGTGTGTGTGTATATATATATATATAGTAATGGATATCAAGCAATTTGCTTTTATTGCATTTTTAACTTTTCATTTGTTCTTAGGTTGCCTAAACCATTTAAATACAAATAAATTGAGTGTAGCAAAAAAATAATAAACACAAACAGCAGATAACTTTACAAATAATAGAATGTAAAACATTTCTGCCCTTATCCAGAGTAAACTGAATCACAACTTTGTTGAAAGGAACACTTCTGCAGCTGTAATCAAAGGTATGCACATTGAGGTTGAGCATTCCACAGATAGACATGGTTCAACATGTGGTATCCATAGTGTACCTGTTTCTATTACAGCCTTGTAAGTGATTCAAACCTGAAAGTATTCACAATTGCTACATCTGTGACTGGAACCAATTATCCCTTTGATTTCCCATGAGGACAAACCGATATGTAGGCAGTTTTTCTTTGCTTAGACATGGAAGCAGTTTTACACTGGCCCTTGTGAAGCCACAGTTTACAAAAAGTACCGTTCCAAACATATATAACTTGTGTAAAAATTTTACATCTGCATATTGTCTACCTCAAGGTGAAAACATTTAACTCCATAAAAATATTCACTGGCTCTAATCCCCTAACATTAAACATAAAAAACCACATGAGAAATATAGAAATTCAAATAAAAGTAACAGTTTTTTATCAAATTAAAAAACTGTCATAAATTATAAAGAAGAAAACTACTTATGGGGCAGCATGGAGGAAAAATGATCTACTGTGTAAATTTTAGAATGAGGCTGATGAAAGTTGAAAGACTGGTTAATTTTCTCCTCCTTCTCTTGCTTCAGCTTCATCTCCTTGGGTATCTGATGTCTGCAATGTCAAGCCATTTCTCAGTAGTTTCAAAACTACTGTGCTGTCTTTGTATGGCTCTGTGCTAAATGTGTCAAATTCAGCAATGGCTTTATCAAAAGCTGTCCTTGTAAGAGAGCAGGCTTTATCTGGGGAGTTTAGAATCTCATAATGGAATACAGAAAAATTAAAGGCCAGACCCAATCTGGTAGGATATGTTGGTTGCATTTCCTTTTTGCTAATTTCAAAAGCTTCTCTGTATGCTTGTTGTGACTGATCCACAATCTCTTTCTTGTCATCACCAGCAGAAACCTCAGCTACAAAAAAATAGTAGTGTCCTTTTATTTTCAAATAGAAGACTTTGCTCTCTGTGAAGCATTGGGGATCAAGTACATTTCCAAAAGAGATAGTGCTTTATTGCAGATATGTCTTAGCTCAGTCTCAATTTTATCTCTGTACTTTTGAGCTAATTGCTGTTTTTTTTTTCAGCACCTTCCCTCATTTGTTTAATACTTAAAAGACCCTCCAAGATGACCTATGGGCTCCTTCAACAATTTTATAAGTAATTGAAAGAAGATTCCTCTCCTCCTTGGATAATTCATCTCCTTGCTCAGTGATAGATTTCATGCAGGCTGCCATGTCATCATACTTCTCAGCTTGCTCCATTAGTTTGGCCTTCTGAACCAACTCATATTTATCTATGACTGGATGTTCTGTGTCTGGAGTGGGTGGTGGCAGATGAACTGGGGCTTAGCAGTCTCTGGGTAGCAGTGGCGGCAGGAGCGAGGCTGAGATTCTACAATTAATTGTCATTTTTTTTGTTATGTATGTATGTATTTATTTTTAAACATTTAAAAAATTTCCATAGCTTTTGAGGTACAAGTGGTTTTTGGTTACATGAATGAATTGTGTAATGGTGAAGTCTAATATTTAAGTGCATCATCACTAGAGCAGTGTACATTGTACTCAATATGTAGTTTATTGCTCACCCACCTCTAAACCTCTACTTTCTGAGTCTTCAAAGTACATTATACCACTCTTTATGCATTTACATACACATAGCTTAGTTCCCACTTATAAGTGAGAACATACAGTATTTTTTATCCATTCTTGAGTTACCTAACTTAAAATAATGGCCTCCACCTCCATCCAAATTCCTGAAAAAGACATATTTTATTGTTTTTTTATGGTTGGGTAGTATTCCATATTGTTTATATACCACATTTTCTTTATACGCTTGTTGGTCAATGGGCACTTAAGCTGGTTCTATATCTCTGCGATTGTGAATTGTGCTACAATAAACATGCATGCAGTTTTCTTTTTGGTATAATGGCATGTTTTATTTTTCCTTTGAGTAGATATTCAGTAGTGGTATTCCTGGATTGAACAGTAGATCTACTTTTAGTTCTTGAAGGAATCTCCACACTATCTCTCATAGAGGTTGTACTAGTTTACATTCCCACCAGCAGTGTATAAGTGTTCCCTTCCCACCACATTCACACCAACATGTATTGTTTTTAATCTTTTTAATAATGGTCATTCTTGCAGGGGTAAGGTGGTATCTCACTGTGGTTTTAATTTGCATTTCCCTGATGATTAGTGATGTTGAGCATTCTTTCATATGTTCATTGGCCATTCGTATATCTTATTTTGAGAAATGCCTATTGATGTCATTTGCCTACTTTTTAATGGGATTCTTTTCTTGCTGATTTGTTTGTGTTCCTTGTAGATTTTGAATATTAATCCTTTGTCAGATGTATGCTTCGCAAATATTTTCTCCCACTCTGTGGGTTTTCTGTCTACTCTGCTGATTATTTCTTTTTCTGTGCAGAAGATTTTTAGTTGAATTAGGTCCTATTTATTTATTTATTTACTTTTGCACTTGCTTTTGGGGTCTTAGTCATAAACTCCTTGCCTAGGCCAATGTCCAGAACAGTTTTTCCTAGATTTTCTTCTAAAAATTTTATTGTTTCATGTCTTAGATTTTAATCTTTGATTCAGTTTGAGTTGATTTTTTTAATAAGATGAGAGATAGGGATCCAGATTCATTCTTCTACATGTGAAAATCCAGTTTTCTCAGCACAATTTATTAAGTAAGATGTCTTTTCCCCAATTTATGCTTTTGTATGCTTTGTCAAAGATCATGCTTGTAAGTATTTGGCTTTATTTCTGGGTTATATATTCTGTTCCATTAGTCTATGTATTGACTTTTATACCAGTACCATGTTGTTTTGGTAACTATAGCTTTGCAGTGTAATTTGAAGTCAGGTAATGTGATGCCTCCAAATTAGTTATTTTTGCTTAGGATTGCTTTTGCCATTTAGGCTCTTATTTGGTTCCATGTGAATTTTAGGATTGTTTTTTTTCTAATTCTGTGAGGAAAAAATGTTTGTATTTTGATAGAAATTACATTGAATCTGCAGTTTGCTTTGGGCTGTATGGTCATTTTCATAATATTGATTCTTCTAATCCATGCATATGAGTTGTGTTTCTATTTGTGTCATCTATGATTTCTTTCAGCAGTGTCTTATAGTTCTTACAGAGATATTTTACCTCCTTGGTTAAGTACATTCCTATGTGTTTTTTTTTTTGCAACTATCGTAAAAGGGACTGAGTTCTTGATTTGATTCTTAACTTTGTTGGTGGTGGTGTATAGTGGTGCTAATGATTTGTATATTGATTTTGTAACCTGAGACTTTACTGAACTCATTAATTGAATCTAGGAGTTTTTTGGAGGAGTTTTTAGGGTTTTCTAGTCATACAATCATATCATTGGCCAACAGAGATGGATTGACTTCCTCTTTTCCAATTTGGATTCTCTTTCTTTCTTCCTTCCTTTATTCCTTTCTTCCTTCCTTCCTTCTTTCCTTCCTTCCTTCCTTTCTTTCTTTCTCTCTCTCTCTTTCTTTCCCTTTCTTTTCTTTTCTTTTCTTTTCTTTTCTTTTCTTTTCTTTTCTTTTCTTTTCTTTTCTTTCTTTGTTTCTCTTGCCTGATTGATCTGGCCAGGACTTTCAGTCCCATGTTGAATAGAAGAGCTGGGTGTGGGCATCTTTGTCTTGTTCCAGTTCTCAGGGAGAATGCTTTCAACTTTTCCCTATATGATGTTGCCTGTGGGTTTTTCATATATGCCTTTATTATTTTGAGTTATGTCCCTTCTATGTCTAGTTGGTTGAATGTGTTTTTCATAAAAGAATGCTGGATATTATCAAATGCTTTTTCTGCATCCATTGAGATAATCATATAGTTTTTGTTTATAATTCCATTTATGTAATTTATCATATTTATTGACTTGCATATGTTAAACCATCCCTGCATGCCTGGGAGGAAATCCACTTGATTGTGGTGTATCGTGTATTATCTTTTTGATGTGCTATTGGATTCAGTTTGCTAGTGTTTTGTTGAGGATTTTTGCATCTATGGTCATCAGGGATATTGAGCTGTAGTTTCCTTTTTTTGTCATTTTTTTCCAGTCTTGGTATCAGAGTGATATTGCTTTATAGACTGAATTATGAATTATTTCCTCTTTCTTAATCTTTTGAAATAGTTTTAGAAGAATTCTTCTAAATTCTTCTTTGAATGTCTGGTGGAATTCAGCTGTGGATCTATCTGGCCCTGGAATTTTTTTGTTGGCAATTTTTTTATTACTGATTTAATTGCACTGATTGTTATTGGTATACTCAAGTTTTCTTTTTCTTCCTGGTTTAATCTAGGAGGGTTGTATATTCCCAAGAATTTATTCATTTCCTCTACATTTTCTTCTTTGTGAGCATACAGTGTTCATGGAAGTCTTGAATGATCTTTCATATTCTGTGGTGTTGATTTTAATATCTTCATTTTCATTTGTAATTGAGTTTATTTGAATCTTTTCTCTTCTTGGTTAATCTAACTAAAGGGCTATCAATTTTGTTTATCTTTTCAAAGAGGCAATTTCTTGTTTCATAGATGTTTTGTATTTTTGTTTCTATTTCATTTAGTTGTACTCTGATCTTTGTTATTTCTTTTGTTCTGCTAGTTTTATGTTTGGTTTCTTTTTGTTTTTGTAGTTCCCTGAGGTGTGACATTAGGTTGTCAATTTGTGATCTTTCAGACTTTTTGATATAGCTATTTAGTGCTATAAACATTCATCTTAACACTGCTTTTGTTGTATCTCAGAGGTTTTGATAACTTGCATCACTATTATCACTCATTTTAAAGAATTTTCAAATTTTCATCTTGATTTTATTGTTAACCCCCAAACCATTCAGGAGCAGATTGTTTAATTTCCATATATTTGTATAATTTTGAGTGTTCCTTTTAGAGTTTATTTTTAGTTTTATTCCACTGTGGTCTGAGAAGACACTTTACATAGTTTTGATTTTTGAAATTTGTGAAGGCTTGTTTTGTAGCCTATCATACGGTCTATCTTGAAGACTGTTCCATGTGCTAATGAGAAGAATGTATATTCTGCAGTTCATGAGTTCAATCTTCCGTAAATATCTGTGAGGACTATTTGTTCCACAGTGCAGCTTAAGTTCACTGTTTCCTTGCTGACAGTCTTCCTTGATGATCTGTCTAGTGCTGTCAGTGATATGTTAAAGTCCCCCACTATTATTGTGTTGCTGCCTATCTCATTTCTTAGGTCTAGTAGTAATTGTTTTATGAATCTGGGAGCCACAAAATTAAATATGTATATATTTAGATTGTAATATCTTCTTGTTGGATTGATCCTTTTATCCTTATTAAATGACCTTATTTGTCTTGTTTTATTGTTGTTGCTTTAAAGTCTACTTTATCTGATATAAGAAAAACTACTGCTGCTTGTTTTCTGTTTCCATTTATGTGGAATATCTTTTTCCACCCCTTTATCTAACACTAACTTTTAACCTTGATTTTATATGAATCCCTAGGTGTTAAGTGAGTCTTTTGAAGACAACAGATATTTGGTTTGTGTTTTTTTTTAATCCACTCTGTCAATCTGCATCTTTTAAGTGAAGCATTTAGGCCATTTGCGTTCAACATTAATATTGAGATATGAGATATTGTTCCAGTTGTTATGTTGATTTTTATCTTTACATGTTGTTTTTTCATTGTTATAGTTTTATAGAACCTAAGAGTTTTATGATTTTAAGAGGTTGTATTCTGGTGCATATTAACCTTTTGTTTCAAGATTTAGCACTCCTTTTATCATTTCTTATAGGGCTGGTCTGGTACTGACAAGTTGTCTCAGCATTTGTTTGTCTGAAAAATGCTTTATTTCTTCTTCATTTATAAAACTTAATTTACAGGATACAAAAATCTTGACTGACAATTGTTGTGTTTAAAGAGGTTAAATATAGTACCCAAATCTCTTCTGACTTGTAACATTTCTGCTGAGAAGCCTACTGTTAGTCTGATAGGATTTCCTTTAGAGGTTTCCTGATGTTTTTGTCTCACTGCTCTTAGAATTCTTTTCTACACTTTGATTTTAGATAGCCTGATGACTACATGAGTTGGTGATGTTCTTTTTGCAAGGAATCTCTGAGATTTTCTTTAAACTTCTTATATTTGGATAGCTAAACCTCTAGAAAGGCTAGGAAAGTTTTCCTCAATTATTCCATCAAATGCGTTTTCCAAATTTTTGCTTTCTCTTCTCCCTCAGTAACACCAATTATTCTTAAGTTTGGCTATTTTACATAATCCTATATTTCTAGGATACTTTGTTCATTTCTTTTGATTCTTTCTTCTTTATTTTTGTCTGATTAAGTCAATTCAAAAGTCTTGTCTTTGAGCTCTGAAATTCTTTCTTTTACTAAGTCTAGTCTAATGTTGAAATATTCCACTTCATTTTGTAATTCCCTAAATGTGTTTTTCATTTCCAAAAGTTCTGATTGGTTTTTCTTTAAAATATCTATCTTTTTAGATTATATTTACTCATATCCTGAATTCCTAAAAAGTATCTTTATGTTAGTTTTCACCTTTCTCGTGTATATTTTTGAATAGCTTAATAATCAACATTTGGAATTACTTATCTTGTATTTAAAGGATTTTATTTTGGTTTGAATCCATTGATGGTGAGATAGTGTGATCTTTTGCAAGTATTCTAGAACACTGTTTTGTAATATGGCCAGAATTATTTGTCTGTTTCTCATTTGGGTAGACTATTTCTTCTAATTAGTCTTGAATTTATTTTTGATTTGACCATGTGGCTTTTTAAAATTTCTTTTTCCCCCTTAATGATATAATTTTAATGTTTATAGTTTATTGCAGCCTTTTTTGGCTCTTTTTGCTTTCAGAGATGAAGGCTCTACATGAGTTCCTTGGTTATAGAGAGTCCATGTACCATGGCTTTCTTAAATCCTGTTTGTAGTAGCAATGTGCTGTGTGCAAGCAAATTTACTGTCTCCTATGACTTTGAAATGAAAGAGGTCTTTTGAAGCTTATCTTGTTCCCTCAGAGCGTGCACTTTTTAAAAAATTTATTTTTTCCCCGGTATTTTGTTTCCAGGTTGAATAGTTCAGGCTTCAGAGGAATGAGAGTGGTATCCCTGGTTAGAAACCAGTGGTGGCTAAAGCAGGTGGGTAAATGCAATACTCAGTGGTGAGCAGAGGTCCCAACCTGACAGACAGAGGTGGCTGGGGGAGCTCCCAGTTAATCACACTGAGGTCCTTTCATAGGGAAGTGAGGGAACCACCTCAGCTCTCCTGAAAGGCCAGCAGGAAAACAATCTGCCTCCCAGTTACACTCCTGTCACAGTATTCCAGCTATTCAGATCAGACAGGCACCTCTTTTCATGAGCAAGAATGCTGTTGTTCAATGTAAAGAGGGATTGTGGTTCTACTCCTAGAGCATGTCTAAACATGGAGGGACATTCCTCCTTTGGGGATTTCATCACCCTGAAGTGTTCCAGAAAGGCTGTCTACATGTTCACCCATGTCGAGCTCCCATGGGAGAAGCCCCAGCTTCTCCAATACCCTTCACAAACACCAGTGCTGTCAGACTGTTGAGGTAGAGCCACATAACTTTTCAGACTGAGCCCAGCACTGCATCTGTACTTCTGCTGAAAGAAACTTCCCACATGCAGAAAGTCCCAACTTTGACATAGGTGGCTGGGGGAGCTCTCAGTGAAACACACTGAGGTCTTCTCCGGGTGAAAGGAGGGAGCAACCTCAACACCTCTGCCAAGCCAGCAGGAAAGTGGTCCACCTCCTAGTCACACTCTTGACCCAGTGTCCAGGCTATTCAAATCAGAGAGGCACATCTTTTCATCTGCAATGAGGTTGATGTTTCAAATAGGGAGGTATTGTGACTCTACTTTTTATGCAAGCCTGAACCTGAAAGGCACTCCTCCTGTGGGAATGCAGTCACTCTGAAGTGCTCCAGAAAGGCTGTCTATAGGTGTACCCCTGCTGAGCTTGCATGTGAGAAGCCCCAGCTGTGTCTGCAGTAGTGGACAAGGGGAACAAATGTTCCCTTCTCCAAAAATCTTCATGAGCAGCAGGGCTGCCTGAATGTTGGGGTAGAGCTACAGATTTTCCCTACTGAGCCCAGCACTGCACCTGTAATTCTGCTGAAAGACACTTCCCACAAGCAGAAAGTTATGGGACTCAAGCCCTGCCATCTAAATTCTTTTGTCTCACAGGCATGTGGTGCACTCTCCCTTCCCCTAGGAGTAGGAGTCCCTGAGAGCCAGACTCCTGTAAATGCTGCTGTTCCCCTGGTTCTAGCTGCCCAGTGGAGCTGCCATACTCCAGGCTGGTGTTGGAAAATGTTGGCAAGGGATTCAGTGATGTGACTTTTCCTCAAGTCTCTCAGCAGCAGGTACCAGCACCAGCTCCAATGGGTGTAGTGGGAGAGTGATGTGAAATTATCTGGTTATAAATAGCTTTAGTGTATTGGGTTTATCAAATGCTGGTTGTAGTAGTAATAAACTCATGTGGACATACTCCTGATTAACCATGGTGCTGCAGGCAATGGTGATAGCTGAGGCTATGCTATCAGGTTTTCTCCTTCCTGGGTGCTGTAGTATTCTACCTGGAGATTCTGTAATGGACTGTGTCAATTGGCCCCAAGCCAGGAGATGGCTTCTGCAAAAGAGTGCCAGCCACAGTGGTAGTAGTGAGACTTGTGCCTGCCTTATGTTACCATGAGGAGGTACTCTGGTGACTCAGGCAATGGGTGGGGCCCTAGAAGTCCCAAAAGTTTCTGTCCTTTGTGTTAAACTACCAGATCAGGTAGAGGAGCAAAGCCAAGTGGAACCTGGGTCAGACAAATTTGTGCTCTGGCTCTCCATGTGCAGGGCAAGCAATGGCCCCAGTGAATATTGGTTGACAGTTCTCTGGAAATTTGGGTAATATTCCACGGAGGAGCAAAATGGTCTTTGTTGCACAGAAGAGTTCGTACATGGGGTGGTGAGTAGCAGGTGGCAGTAAGCCCCACTCAGCTCCCAGACACTTGGCAACTCAGGTCTCACACCTACAGTATTCCACTAGCAGCAGCTAGCTAATTTCCAGGAAGTCTGCACTCAGAATGCAAAACTGCCCCAGACCATAAGCCTTTCCACAGAGCAACCGCAGCTTTCAGACCACACCCCTCCTGGTCTGCCCATCTAGCCAGGGCATCCAGCTCCTGCACTTGCAGCTGCAGCCCACTTCCCATTTGCCTCCCAGTTCTGGCCAAAGGAGTTCATCCCCACTCAAAATTATGTCATGAATCTCAGTTGAGGGTTTCCCTCAACCTGTGACCACCACTTGAGTTAGCTGGCAGAATTCTGCAGAGTCCCCTGTGAGGTAGAATCAGAAATGGCCCCCTTCATCTACACTAGAGACTGGGAATGGAAGCAAGCCTCTTCTCACTGCTCCAACTTTTATTTTCCCCACTGTTCCCTAAATCAGTTCCAGTGCTGAGTAGGGTTCAAATCTTCCCCAGTGGCCTGGATTGGTAGGTTTTCTGATGGGAATGTGTATCATACAGGCAGTTTATCCCTCTCTCACACTCTGGGAACCTAAAGTTTTCTGCCTGGCTCATTGTGTAAGCTGCAGCCTGTTGCTCCTTTCAAAAGGTTTGTAGCTTCTTTCAGCTTTCCTGTAGAGTTCCTGCAATGCTTCTTGGAAAAAAGTTCACAGTGTGAATCTCTATATACTATTTTGCCTTTCCAAGTTGGGGAGGCATGTTAATAATGCCTCCAATCTGCCGTCTTGAAAAAAAAATAAAACTTCTGCACTAATTTTTGTATACTAATTGTGGTTCAAGAATCATACTAACTTGACATTAATTTTCATAATCTGCTCAGAGATTATTTTGGACTTTACATGTACCCAATTTTGTCACTTGAATAATGGCAGATTTTTGTTTTCTTTTACAATCATTGTACCTTTTATGACTTTTTATTGCTTATTGCACTGCTTAAGACCTTCATTGCACTAATGAATTAATGTGGTGCGAGTGGACAACCTTCTTGTGTTTTGAAACTGTATATCAATTCATTTAATATTTTCACATGGAGTTTCTGTTATCTACAAAGGTTTCAAATATATTCTGCTCTTAATGGAGTTCCCTTTTGCCACAATGTTTTCAAAATTTAAAAAAAATTATGCATATGTATTGAGTTATACCAAATACATTTTCTCATCTTTATTTCCTTATTATGTGAATTATATTGATTATTGAACTTTTAAAGCAATCATATTTCTGGACTAAATTTCACAGGGATATGAAATACAGTAATTTTTATATATCTCTGTATACTACCAGCCTCTATTTTGTTTAGAATTTTATATCTATATTCATGATCTACATTAGTTTTAAATGATCTTCTCACAGTGTAACAGTCCTATTTTCAGATCAAAGTTATGCTGGTTTTATAAAACAATTTAGGAACTATATGATGTATATTCTCTGGAAAATTTTGTATAACATTGGTAATATTTATTATTTAAGTATTTGAAAAACTTTACCAGCTAAGCCATCTTGATTTGAAATTATCTTTATAGGATAATGTATAACAAGGAATTCAGTTTATTCAAAGACTATTCAGATTAGTATGTTTTCTTTTGTTATTTTTTTCAAAAAATTTATCCACTTAATCTTAGATATTGGATTTGTTTGCATACTGCTGTTTATAGTATTCTATTATATTTTTAAATGTAGAATCACTAAGGGTGATCACTTTTTTATTCATAGTTTTGATAATTTGCATTTTATTTAAATTTTGCTTTATCAATTGTTTTAAATGAAATATTTGCTTATTTCCTCTATTATATATTTGTTTCTATTTTATTTATTTTTACCTTTTTTAACTTTTATGTTCAAGGATACAAGTGCAGGTTTGTTACATAGGTAAACTTGTGTCATGGGAGTTTGTTATACAGATTATTTCATCACCCAGGTATTAAGCCTAGTACACAGTAGTTATTTTTCCTGATCTTCTTCCTCCTCCCACCCCCCACCCTCTGAAAGCCTCCAGTGTGTGTTGTTCTACTCTATGTGTCCATATTTTCTCATCATTTAGCTCCCACTTACAAGTGAGAACATGCAGTATTTGGTTTTCTATTCCTACATTAATTTGCTAAGAATAATGGCCTCAAGCTCTATCCATGTTGCTGCAATGGACATTAAATTGTTTTTTATGGCTGCATAGTATTCCAAGGTGTATATGAACCACATTTTCTTTATCCAGTCTATCACCAATGGGCATTTAGGTTGATTCCATCTCTTTGCTATTGAGAATAGTGCTGCAATCCGTATGTGTGCCTGAGATTCCTTGGGAAAAATAGAGGAGGTGTCACAGACCCCATTTTGGGAAAAGCCTGTTTTCCTCATGAAACTCAAGGAATTTAAAGCAGATACATTTCTTTCAAACTCTAAGGCTAAATATACTTTTAGGGATAGCAAATGGCAATTATGGGTGAATACTCAACTCTTTGCACATTTGGATTAGAGAAGCATGCACTTTGCCGCCTAGAAAATATGGAAATGTCCCCACCGTCTGCTGAGAGATGACTCCCATGGGAGGATGTGCTGATCACAAAGTGGGCTAATTGGCTTTGGGTTACTTTGCAATAAAATACACAGTAAAATTATTGCACTGTCGTGTTCCATAGAGTTTCTCTTTTGGGAATACAGGATCCAGTATGAAAATGGGACACTGATTGGGAATCTGTTTTGCCTTCCAGTTGTGCCTGCTTATTAGGCTCTAGAAAGTGCAAGTCTTCCTGGCCTTCTTCCTTGAAGAGCTCCATCTTGAAGCCAGTAATCCAATTAATAAATTAACACTCCCCTCCTGTCCCCGTGTCAGGTCACGCCCCAGCGTGTGCCGTCCCCCTGGCTCCCGTTGTGGGTTACTTCCCAGCTGTTTCAGGCAGCGCCTCAGCCTGTTCGATTCTCCCAGCTGCTGCTGTGGATCCCTCCTTTGCTTGTGATACTTCTGCTCATATTTCACCCTCCCCCCCCCTTATAATACCGACTCTGCAGAATTACCGTCATGTGAGCCTGCCCCCTCCCAATCTATCTTTAAAGGGGCTTCAATGTGAAATAGAGCAATGTAAAAAAAGATATTCAAAACTTTGTATTTCCCTCTACACCCAAAGAGACAGATCCAACTTTCTTTCCTTTTAGAGAGGTACCGCAAGGCAGAGGGGCTGTTGGCTTTGTAAACGCTCCCTTAACTAGTTCAGAGGTCCGGAATTTAAAAAAGGAGCTTAAGCCATTACTGGATGACCCTTATGGAGTAGCAGATCAAATTGATCAATTTTTAAGGCCTGACATAGGCACTTGGGCTGAGTTGATGTCCATCAGGGGCATCCTCTTTTCAGGGGAAGAACGAAGTATGATTCGGAGGGCTGCTGTGGCAGTCTGGGAACGTGAGCACCCTCCGGGTCAAAATGTTCCTCCTGTGGACCATGAATTTCCCGCCCACGACCCTCAGTGGGACAATAACAATGCAAATCACTGGGAAAACATGCAGGATCTAAGGGAGGTAATAACAAAAGGAATTCGAATATCAGTACCCCGAACTTGAAATCTTTCTAAAGCATTTGATATTCAACAGGAAAAAGATGAGGGACATGCTAGATTCTTAGATTGAGGGAGCAAATGAGACAATATGCAGGCCTTGATCTGGAAAATCCCCTTGGACAGGGAATGTTAAAACTTCATTTTGTTACTAAAAGTTGGCCAGACATTTCAAGAAAATTTAAAAAATAGAAAATTGGGAGGACCGTCCCCTGAGTGAACTGCTTAGGGAGGCTCAAACGGTATATGTCAGAAGAGATGAGGAAAAACAAAAACAAAAGACAAAACTTATGTTACCTACCTTCCAGCAGATGGCTCCAAATCCATATATCTCTAAGCAGGGCTTCCAAGGGGCCAGAGATGATAAGGGGCCTAGATCATTCTTAAGAAGGCCCAAGCCTCCATCTGGAGGGCTGAGGTCTTCAACTAATAAGCCCCCTAAGGGGTATAGGGGGGCAAGGGCAGAGAATGCTAAGACTGAGAAGGGAGAAGGACAAGATATATGTTACCAATGTGGAAAAACAGGCCACTTCAAGAGGGAGTGTCCTGCACTAGAGAGAGAGAGAGAAACTTTCACACTCATGACTTTTGAGGAACAATAGGGGAGTCAGGGGGCTCCACCTCTTTTATTTTGAGTCCCACCAGGAGCCCTTGATAAATTTGGATGTGGGGTCTAAACCTGAATTTATCACCTTTCTAGTTGATTCAGGGGCTTCACGCTCCTCTGTTTCCCTCCACCTGGTCTCACCTGCTCTTCAGAAGAACTTTTCATCTCTGGGGTAGAAGGAGAAGGATTTAAGGCAAAAATTTTAGAAAGCACAGAAGTCAGATATCAAGATCGATTTACCCATATTCAATTTTTATTAATTCCTGAAGCAGGAACTAATTTATTAGGAAGGGACCTAGTGTTAAATCTAGGCATAGGCCTTCAAGTGGGCCCTAAAGGATTCCTCACTTCACTACATTTACTTGCTGCTGAGGATGAGAAATATATTCATCCTGATATCTGGTCAAAGGAAGGAAATAGAGGGAAACTCCAAATCCCTCCAATATATATCAAACTAAAAACCCCTGGGGAAATAGTAAGGAGAAAGCAATACCCCATTTCTTTAACGGGCAGAGTAGGGCTAAAGCCTGTAATTGAGGGTCTCATTAAAGATGGGCTTCTTGAACCCTGTATGTCTCCTTACAATACCCCAATCCTGCCTGTCAAGAAATCAGATGGGTCATATCGATTGATGCAAGACCTTAGAGCTATTAATCAAACAGTCCAGACCACTCACCCCAGTGTTCCTAACTCTTACACCATTCTTAGCAAAATTCCATATTATCATCAATGGTTTATAGTGATAGATCTGAAGGATGCCTTCTAGGCATGCCCCTTGGCTGAGGATAGCCGAGATACATTTGCTTTTGAGTCAGAAGACCCCTATTCGGGGCAGAGACAACAATATCGATGGACAGTCTTGCCCCAGGGGTTCACAGACTCCCCCAACCTCTTTGGTCAGATCCTAGAACAAGTACTAGAGAAAGTTACAGTCCCTAAACAAATACGTCTGCTTCAGTGCATGGATGATCTTCTTATATCTGGTAAAGACATAAAAGGAGTAGGTGACTTCTCTACACACATTCTCAATCACTTGCAATGTGAGAGTTTGCGGGTCTCAAAAGGGAAACTTCAGTATGTAGAACCTGAAGTTAAATACTTAGGCCACCTAATCAGTGCAGGTAAATGAAAAATAGGACCTGAAAGAGTGGAGGAAATTGTTTCCCTACCCCTGCCCCAAACTAAACAAAAACTCAGGAAATTTTTAGGACTAATTGGATATTGTTGTTTATGGATTGACTCATATGCATTAAAAAGTAAACTTCTATGTAAGAAACTTGCCCAGTGGAAGCCTGATAATCTCTTGTGGACTTCCCAGGAAATCCAGCAGATTGAGGAATTAAAAGAGATGCTCATAACCACCCTTGTTCTAGTTCTACCTTCCCTAGAAAAGCCATTTCACCTTTTCATTAATGTAAACAACAGGGTAGCCCTAGGAGTGCTCACCCAAGAACATGGAGGCCACCAACAGCCCGTGGCCTTCTTGTCAAAGGTCTTAGACCCAGTCACTTGTGGGTGGCCCCAGTGTACCCAATCCATCGCAGCTACAGCACTATTAGTTGAAGAAAGTAGAAAGTTAACCTTTGGAGGAAAGTTAACAGTAAGCACGCCCCACCAAGTTAGAACTATATTAAATCAGAAAGCAGGGAGATGGATCACTTACTCAAGAATTTTAAAATATGAGGGTATCTTACTGGAAAAATGTGATTTAATATTAACTACTGATAATTCACTTAATCCAGCAGGCATTTTAACAGGGGATCCAAACTTAAAACGGGATCATGTATGTTTAGATTTGATTGACTATCATATAAAAGTTCAACCAGACTTAGGAGAAACTCCCTTCAAGACAGGGTAGCACTTATTCATAGATTAGTCCTCCAGGGTGATTGAAGGGAAGACATAATGGGTATTCAGTGATTGACTGAGAGACTCCTGAAGAAGTAGAATCAGGAAGGCTGCCTAATGATTGGTCTGCCCAAATGTGTGAACTGTTTGCACTCAGCCAAGCTTTAGGACATTTACAAAACCAAGAAGGAACTATCTATACTGACTCTAAGTATACCTTTGGGATGGCACACATATTTGGGAAAATTTGTATGGACAGGGGTCTTATCAAAAGTAGAGGCCAAGTTTTAGTTCATAGAGAGCTGATTACTAGTGTCCTCAACAATCTCCAATTGCGGGAAGAGATAGATATTGTGCATGTCCCAGGGCACCACGGGGACTTGTCTCTCACAAGTTGGGGAAATAATCTTGCAGATCAGATAGCAAAACAAGTTGCCGTTTCTTCCGCAATGCCTGTTTTTCATTTAACTCCATGCCTTCCTTCTCCTACTGCAACCCCCATTTTCTCTTCCATTGAAAAAGAGAGGTTAACAAAAATAGGAGCTAAAGAAAATGTGGAAGGGAAATGAATATTGACAGATCAGGGGGAAATGTTATCCAAACTTCTCATGAGGGAGGTCTCCAGGGGACCCATTGGGGACCCCAAGCAATGTGCAATGTAGTTCTCCGGGTTTATGGGTGTATAGGAATTTACACCCTGGCCAAACAAGTTATAGATAGTAGTTTAATGTGTAAAAATACTAATAAACAGGTTCTAAGGAAATCGCCCCTTGGAGGAAGAATTCCAGGGTCGAGACCATTTCAAAGTGTTCAGATCGATTACACTGAAATGCCCCAATTGGTCATTTAAAATACTTATTAGTAATAATAGACCACTTTACCCACTGGGTAGAGGCAAACCCATTCTCAAGTGCAACCGCTGGTAATGTAGTTAAAGCATAAATTGAAAATATCATATCCAGATTTGGACTAATAGAAAATATTGACTCAGATAATGGAACCCACTTCACTGCGCATGTCACTAAGAAGTTAGCCCAAGTACTAGATATAAATTGAGAATACCACACCCCTTGGCATCCATCCTCCTCAGGAAGAGTAGAGTGGATGAACCAGACTCTAAAAAACCACTTAACTAAGTTAGCTTTAGAAACTCGATTGCCATGGACTAAATGTCTTCCTATTGCTTTGTTAAGAATCCAGACTGCTCCTCAGAGAGATATTGGTCTCTTCCCTTATGAAATGCTCTATGGATTGCCCTACTTATACTCCACTCCTGACATCCCTACGTTTGAAACAAAAGATCAGTTCCTCAAAAATTGTATACTTTGTCTATCCCCTACCTTCTCTTCACTTAAGACTAAAGGCCTCCGAGCACAGGCACCACCCTTGGAGTTCTCAGCACATAAGCATCAGCCCAGAGACCACGTTCTCATCAAAGGGTGGAAGGAAGGGAAGCTCGAACCAGCCAGGGAAGGACCCTACCTAGTGCTCCTAACTACTGAGACTGCAATCCAGACAGCGGAAAGAGGATGGGCTCATCACACCTGAGTCAAGAAGGTGCCACCGCCTCCAGAATCATGGACTGTCACTCCAGGGCCCACCCCCACCAAAGTAACTCTAAAAAGAGCCTAATAGTCACTTGTTTGTATCTTTTTTCTTTTCAACAGAAGGTCATCTTGTCATCGATGTAACTCAGGCTAGTCATCCTTTAACCCTTCAGTTTGATGTCTGTTCAGCCACCCCGTGTGGAGATGAGCAAGCTCAAAAGAAGCTATTCCATGTTGATAAGTATCGATGTCCATACCATGAAGAATCCAGCAGGTATAAGTACGGAGCCTTAAAAAGTCCCTGTGGTGACTGGGCAGATGTTCGGTGGACTACTAAGTACAAAGGGTGGACAGCCAAACCCCCAGCTTCAAATACGTTATGGGGACTAAAACAAAAACTCCAACTAGTCCATGGTCCCACCCCACCAAATTGTAAGCCATTACACTGTAACTTCTTGTTGCTGATTATAAATAATCCTTGGAAAATGGCCCAAGAGCCCTCTATATTCTAATGGTATGGGTTAGGAGTAGATGTTGAAGGACAGGACCCTATAGGAATCTTCTCCCTGAGGTTAGTTAAAACACTGGTTAACAATAATAAAGGAGTTCAGACCCAAAGTCTGGGAGACACGTAGAACCCAATGCTCTCCCCAAGTATAGTGAGTCCAACATCCTCCTCCCATCTCCAAAATGACCCAACCAAGGTAACAGTTGTGGAGGTAGAAAACTTAAGGCAAGCTATAGCTCTAGAGACAGGATATCAAGATGCAAATGCCTGGTTGGAATGGATTAAATATTCCATCTGCACTTTAAACAAAAGTAATATAATGCTTGTGTGCATGGTAGACCAGAGGCCCAGATTGTCCCCTTTCCACTTGGATGATCTTCCAGCCGATCGGGCATGAGCTTTATGGTAGCTCTCTTCCAAGACCCCTCAGCCTGTTGTAACAAATCATGCCAAGCTCTTTTTCTGCTGTTCCCTGAAGTTAAACACCCTGCGGGTCAGCCCCTGAGGGCCATTCAGCGTCCATCTCCCAATGCCAATTTTACTTCGTGTCTCTCATGACAGGGAGAGAATTTGGCATTCCTTGGAGCCTTAATGGGATGCAGTGAGCTTAAGCCCTTCCAAGAGCTTACCCATCAGTCTGCCCTTAGCCATCCTCAAGCAGATATGTGGTGGTATTGTGGTGGACCAATACTGGACACTCTGCCAAGTAACTGGAGCGGAATTTGTGCTCTAATTCAATTGGCCATCCCTTGCACCCTGGCATTTCATCAACCAGAAAGGGTGGGAACCAAACATTGTCAAACAAGAGAGACCCTCCAAGGGGCCTTCAATTCTCATGTTTATATAGATGCCATTGGGGTCCCAAGAGGAGTGCCAAATGAATTTAAGGCCCGAAACCAAATAGTTGCCAGATTTGAATCTATGTTCTTCTGGTGGTTAACTGTAAATAAAAATGTGGATTGGATAAATTACATTTATTATAATCAGCAATGATTTATTAATTATACTAGAGATGCTATTAAAGGAATAGCTGAACAATTAGGACCCGCCAGTCAAATGGCCTGGGAAAATAGGATAGCATTAGACATGACACTAGCAAAGGAAGGTGGAGTTTGTGTCATGATCAGGACCAAAAGCTGTACTTATATTCCTAATAACACTGCTCCTGGTGAGACGATAACTAAAGCATTACAAGATCTTACTGCCTTATCAAATGAACTAGTCAAAAATTCTGGACTAAACGATCCCTTCACAAATTTAATGGGAAATTGGTTTGGTAGATGGAAGGGACTTATGTCCTCAATCCTCATCTCTCTAGCCATTGGAATAGGGTTGCTTATTCTTGTAGGATGCTGCATCATACCCTGTGCCCCAGGGTTAATACAAAGACTTATTGAAACAGCTCTCACTAAAATCTCTTACGATCCTTCCTCCCCTAATTCAAATAGGCTTTTCCTTCTAGAAGACCAAGTAGAACAACGGAGCCAAATTATGCTAGAAAGAGTTAAAACAAAAGGGAAAGTGGGAAGTTGTGGGATATGATGAGGTTTCTCTTCAAATAATCTGGTTAATCTTTTATTCTTTAATTCATAGTAACCCCCTCCCCGCTTTTCCTCCTTTTTCTCCTTTTTCCTTTTTGCCTTTGTTAGATGCCCAGGCACTCCTCAGGACCAAGTGTTATCAGTACCAGCTCACATTCTTTTCCTTATTTGGAAAGAGGACTAACTTTCTAGCTCATTACAAACACCCCTTCCCCTTCCTCACCACTTTCTTTTACGTGTCCACCCTATCTAAAAAAAAAAAAAAAAAAAAAAAAAATCAACTGTTTAGCCAACCGGGATTAGTTTAAATTGTACAACCCGACCCCGGCCAATGGGGAAAGGGTACAGAGGCAGGACTTGCATCAGGAATAAAGGCTCTTGTGCCCCTTTGTTCATGTGTGCTCTCATGGCAACTGGCCAAGGAGGCACCCTCTGTGCAGAAGTAAAATTGTTTTGCTAAGAATCCTTTGTTTGAGTGTTCAATTTCCTTAGAATTTTGAGCCTTATTCCTAACATCTAAGTATATGCTACCAATCGTAATTAAGACTGTTAAGTTATTTGAAACCACAGAGATAACCAAACTTCTTTGTGAATTGTGTTTCTAACTGTAACTACCTTGGACAGTTTACTATTAACAGACAATAGTTGCCTGGTTTTAATCCTTTTCAAAAGATGGTTTATAAGAAGCTATGAGACTCTGATAGTGCTTCCAAATACAATTTCTGATTGTATTTGAGACAATAAGGCTTCTGATAATTTTGGAGATTGTGACATTGGAATAAAGGAAAATGTACAGGACTCATGAAAAGCTGAAATGCTCACAAATGTCAAGCAAAACAAGAGTTAACTAAACGGACTAAACTTAAGAAACTGAAGCAAATCTTTTTGACTTTTCCTTGGAATATTGTTAATCTTTGTTTTGTTTTTCAGAGTCAAGGAAACTTATTTTGAACTATTTATGGCCTTTAATAATTGAGTAAGGTATACTCTTATGAAGAAAATTTGGAACATGTTTGTTTCTCTCTCTGCCTGTTTTCTGTAAAATTTGGAAACTATTTGTGAGTATTCTTATGGCAATACAGTTGTTTACATCAGTGCAATAATATTTTTTTTTTTTTTTTTGGCAACAGGACACAATTGGAAAAGGTCATTATTTTACCAAGGCTTTGACTGGAAGGGTATGCTTCCCTTTAAGGAGTCAATCTCAACTTGCAGCTGATAAAAGCCCAATGGGAGACTGGCCTCATACCCTCATCTACACAGTCCCTGTACAGGGTTTCTAACCTGTGGTCAGTAAAGAATTCCACCTTATAGCAGGTCTAGGAGCTCCAAATTTATCTTGGGACCCTAAGAGGAGAGAATCACCCAACTCACAGGTGTTTGAGGATACAATCCCATGGTTGTGCTCAGATTTAAAAGTTCTTTTCTGAGATTCCTTGTGGAACAGAATTCCATCAAAGCCAATCCAAAAGGCCTATGTAGAAATAATTATTCTTGCTGCACTTTATGCAAATAATCAGGCCAAGTATAAAACTAAAGTCTATTTTGTAAACCACTCAGTCCTATGATGATTTTATTTTTAACAAAAATGAGGACTGGAGAGAGACAGAAATTGTGTTCCAAAACTTATCATACATTTATCATTAAATTCTAAACTCACTAGTTGTATTTAAGTTTTCACGTACATTTTAATCTAACCCTGCTTGCTCCTGTGAACCAACCAGCAATCCCTAGCTGCATCTCAGAAAGAACAAGAGGGATAGGTAATGTAGAAATCTGGATCAGTATTCTAATTCTGAGCAATTATCCTGCAAATCCTGCCAGGCGATGGAATAATTGGGGAATAAATAGGGTGCCAATCACCTGGAGATTCCCTTTTGGGGAAGCCAGACTGAGGGAGCTAACCAAAGCCAAGCACCATGCACACAAATTCTAGCATACATAACTATAACCACCAGTTAACTGGGTGTGTCACAAGACATCCTTTTCTCTCCCTTTTTGGAGGAGGATGCAGTTCCACAGTTGCACCTTAGCATTTGGCTTATAGTAAGGAGTTCATGCAACACCCCCGCGCCCCTCCACAAGAGATACATTTTTGTCCCAGACTCAATTCCAAGCTTTGGGTCAAAGCTCAAGGAAAGAAAACTGGATCTAAGGGATCCAGAGGCAAATGATAACAGAAGTTAAAAGGCACAGCACAGGTGAGCGTGGCTGATTCCAATTAAGCCAAGCCCAAGCTTCCTGTTTCATGGATAAAGGCCACGTTAATATATAT
This sequence comes from Homo sapiens, assembly GCF_000001405.40. NCBI lineage: Eukaryota > Metazoa > Chordata > Mammalia > Primates > Hominidae > Homo > Homo sapiens. Next base: position 73,255,193 of record NC_000023.11, on the reverse strand, counting down.
GGAATAAATGAGGTCTAGGGAACTCCAAGGCTACTGACAGCAGGGGAGATCAGGTGTATGTGAGTAAGAGTAGATGATTCCCTCCCCCTAAGCCCCCCTGCTTCATGGGTGCAAGCCACTTTGGTACCCATGGCAACACCTGCCAAAGTCACTGGGACTCAGGGATGCAAGGACGTAAGAGGAAAAGAGGATGCTCCTCCCTCTCTCCCTCACATACCCTGGGTATCTGCTAGGAAGATATGGTAACCAGGGATGCCTTCTCCCCTCTTTATAGATGGGTAGCCATTCATTTTTAGTCTGTACTCATTTTGAATGCATCCTGAACCCTTGGGACTACTTTAAAAGAAGCCTTTTTTCCTTTTTTTTTCGTTGGTTCTCTCTTCACTGATAGATAATTGTGTCTCTGTACTATGGGACACTCCCCTCAGATGCAGCCTCCAAACTGGAAAGAGATAATTCCCCAAACCTTCAATTAGTTGGCCTAGGATTGAGCTTAGGGGAAGGAAGCTGAGAAGCCCAACATACCTGCAAAAGGGTAAAGTTTTTTTTTTTTTTTTTAAACCAGTTGGGCTTTTGGCCTCCTTCTCCCTGTGTAAACTGGTAAAAGTCCTTGGAATTTTTCAGCTATCCTTACCCATCCCGTTGTTTCATTTTGATACATGTTTTCTAATAACCCGGTTTCTCTGTTCTTGCCTTCAGGCCATCAAACTCCAAACGGCCATGCATCCAGAACCTCTGACTATTGCCCCTTCTGCTGGAGACCCTTAAATAGGCCTCTGAGGAAGCTCTGACTATCATTTCCTGGAAACAGCTCCTCCTGTCAGCAGGAAGCAGTTAAGATGGGTCTTCATCCCTATCCTTAATCTAAGGGCAGTTAGATGTACTTTTTTAGAGGGAGAAATAAGACAGCCAGGTGGGAGGGGGCGTTCCTGGAAAGACTCCAACCTGCCTGCACACTAGAGTGGAGCCTGAGGTAGTTTGAACCCTTTTCAACAAGGAAGAGCCTGGCCCCTCCTCTTCCTGTGTGAAAATTAGGATTCAAAAAGCCGAGCAGGAAGCTGTGAGTGGGACTCTGACCTAGCAAGAGTCTCTGTTTCTCCCTTTTCTTCCTTTTCATCCAACAAAACTCTGCTTTGCTCATCCTTCAAACTGTCTGCAAGCCTAAATTTTCATGGCCAGAGATGCACAAGGACCCCATCTTTAGCTGAACTAAGGAAAAGTCCTGCAACAGTTGCAGCTCAGCATTTGCCTTATTTGAACATGGTTCAAACAGTTGGCTATGTATGATTGGCTAAAACTCAATGAATGGCACAAGTGTAAGCTACAGTCTGTTTACACCTCCACTTGTTACAGTTCATGATGTACAGAGAAACCTTTAAGCCATACTTAAAATATGTAAGGGGTCAGCTTTAGACTAAACTTGATTTCCCAATTTGTAGCACTTTAACTTAGAACTATACTCATCCCACCTCTCCACCCCCAACCCCTCTCTGTGGCATGGTAGCAATGAAAAGTAGGCAACCTTCTGGCCAGCAGAGAAGACTGCTGTCCTTTGGGGCTTTATTAAAAACTCATACTCAAAGCATAGTCAATATTATATCTGAATAGGAGCTCTTTGGAAAATATCTTTTCCCAGGGCATTGCCACTATTTGGTCTGACTCACACTTACTCCTACCAAAAAAGATGTCTTATATACATGACACTATCAAAAACAATAACAATCAGCTGGTAACATCACTGATACATAGGGCTGTGATTTCAGTTGAGGCTGTAAACCAAAAGTAAAATTCTAAGCCCCCTAACTGACTGAGTGGACCCTCTTCTTGGCCAAGGGGACCCAAAGAAACCTGAAAATACAGTTCAGACCATAAAGGGAAGGAGGGTGTTGGACATGCATCATTACACTTTCCTCTCTTTGGAGTTTAAGCACAGCTCATCAGCATTAACATTAAAATAGAGATAGAACAGACTCTTTGTAACAATAAGATACCAAATTTCAAACTGACTCTAGTATAGCATCACATGACAGATAGCAGGCCCTAAAGGAAATCAAAGTATTTTACCCCAAAATATATTCATTTGACATATTTTTAAATGGCTCTGCAAAACTATCTCTTATGAAGGAAATTTTGCATTCTGTACAGAATCTCCTTCCCTTACTAGGTCTTTCCAGGGAACCTGACACCTTTTAAGGTCGAAGAAATACAACTACTGTTTCTGAAGGTGGCTACTTGGAGGCTTCATCTATATGAAAAGAACCTCAGCTTCCACAACCCCCTCTTACCTTAGTTCAACCTGATTTCAACTCTTCAGGCAGGGATTAGCCCTTTCAACCAACTGTCAAATAGGAAACCTTTAAATCCACCTACATTCTGGAAGCTCCCTCTTGGAGATGTCTTACCTTCCAGGCCAAACCAATGTAAACCTTACATGTATTAGTTTATGCCTTTGCCTGTAACTTCTGTCTCCCTAAAATGTGTAAAATAAAGCTACAACTCAACTACCTTGGACACATGTTTTTAGGATCTCCTGAGGATGTGTCACAGGTTATGATGCTTAACCTTGTCAAAATAGACCTCTAAATTAATTGAGACCTGTCTCAGATACGTTTTTATTTACAAGGCAAAGAATAGTTTGGAGGAAAATTTTCACCAAAGACCTAGAGAGGAAAACTGGTAAACTACCATAGATAACTTCAAAAAGCTCCGACATAATCTTGAAGATTTGGAAGCCTGCACACATGCACAGAGATGAGTGTATGCTCACAAAAAAACCTGTAAAAGGAGAGGGCTCAAGTAATTTACCTTGATTGACCTTGAAGCCCTGCATAAATAGGAAGTGAAAGCTCAGGATAACATGTAAACTGCCTGAAATTTGAAGGCATCCCTTCAAATAAAGATAACTTTGGTAAAGAGTAAGAAATATATCATCCCAAGGAAACTCTTATTGACTAATTATTAGTCAATAACTAATATTAGACATATTGACCACTAAATTACACTAAAATAGGGATGATACCTATAAATCCATTCTTTAAACTAGTTATTTAAAAACAGCTAACAGGAAACTCAGTGGCTATGTACTGCAGAAATACAGGATCCACAGAATTAGTTCAGGAAAATCACTAAACAAATAAGTAGCATCTAGAAAACAACAAGAATAAAAATTAAAAAAACAACAATAAATCCTCTGGTAGAATGGATCCAATACCAGAGTTGTTAAAATATATGATCTCAATGTCCAGTTTTCAACAAAAAATTAAGAGACATGCATATAAGAGAAAAGTATGTCACATATACAGTAAAATATTCAGTCAACAGCAAACATTCCTAATGGAATCCAGATATTGAACATAGTAGTCAAATATTTAAAATCAGCCATATAAATATGTTTAAAAAACTAGAGAAAATTGTGTTTAAATAATTAAAATAAGATGATTGTCTCACTAAATATAAAATATTAAAATAAATATATAGATACTACTTTAAATGAATCAAAAAGATATTCTAGAATTAGAAATTTTTGCAACTGAAATTTAAAATTCCATTTTTTCTTCCAATATGACTGACTGGAAGCATTTCCAGCATATCTCATACACTTATAAGGACCAAAAGAATGTGTAGACAATTACACTTTGAATATATTATCCAAAAGGGAATGTGGGAGTTCAACAGATAAGTAAAAGGAAAGCCCAAATTTTGGATGGAGAAGGAAAATGGGCAACACCTGAGGCTAGGACTGGCTGAAAACTAGGAGTAAATTTACAATATGAAGAGGGTAACTGAGTTATTTTCTGTAGTTCACTTTACCACTTGGGAATTGTACAATTCAAGCCACAGGAGAGTACCTTGACCCTTTTAATTTCTAAACTAACTTAGAGAGTGGCCAGGAGACTGTGAGAAGAAACTGCTCCATGTAATGTTCCACACACTACTTCAGACCAAGGCCAACTACTGAAAGATGTCATTCTTGACCCCAGCTCTTAACAAGCTGTTTATGATCCAGGAATCTAGGGGTGGCACTAGCATTGGCATTGGAGACTTGGGCTTAGGATTAGGGAATTAGGGCTTGAGTAGTGAAAAGGATATATCCCACAATCAGAACTGAGAAATAAATATAGTGTGGGCTCCAGACACCGGCAAAGGAACTGGGTTTCCCCCCTTGGGACCTGAGCAGGAAGAGAGTTGCCAGAAAGGCTTGGTATTAAGCTGGGCAATGTCTCTGCTGGCCTGGCTCCGTGTTACAGACTAGATGCAGTTGGCCGTTAGTGACTGATTATCCCAATTGGCTGCCACAGTTGAATTGGGTAAGAGAACCCTGTGAGGATTGGAGCATGAGACAGAAGCAAGTACCACTCTCATCAGCCAAAGCTGTGGTCGGTGTATATACTTATGAGGTACATGAGATATTTTGGTACAAGAATACAATGTAATAATCACATCCTGGAAAGTTGGACATCCAAAGCCTTAAACATTTATCCTTTGTTACAAACAATCCAATTATACTATTTTAGTTATTTTAAAAGGAACAATTAAATAATTACTGACAAAAATAACCCTGTTGTGCTATCAAATACTATGTCTTATTTATTCTTTCTTACTATTTTATTTTGTGGCCATTAACTATTGCTACCTATCCCTGCCCTCCCACTACCCTTCCCAGCCTCTGGTAACCATACCTTTACTTTCTATCTCCATGAGTTAAATTGATTTGATTATTAGCTCCTACAGATAAGTGAAAACATGTATTTGTCTTCCTGCTCCTGGTTAATTTTACTTAGCATAATGAATCCCAGTACTGTCAATGTTGTTGCAAATGACGGGATCTCATTTGTTTTATGGCTGAATAGTGCTCCATTTTGTATAAGTGTGACATTTTCTTTATCCATTCATCTGTTGACAGACACTTAAGTTGTTTTCAAACCTTGGCTATTGTGAATAATGCTGAAATAAACGTGAGAGTGCAGATATCTCTTTGAAATGTTGATTTTCTTATTTTGGGGTATATACTTAAGAGTGGGAGCTCTAGATTATATGCTAGTTCTATTTTTAGTATTTGAGGAATCTCCAAACTGTTTTTCATAGTGGTTATACTAACTTACATTCCCAGCAACAGGTAAATAAGGCAGTATATACAAGTTTCCTTTTCTCCGCATCCTCACCAGTATTTGTTATTCCCTGTCTTTTGGATAAAAGCCATTTTAACTGGGGTGAGATGAGATGTCATTGTAGTTTTGATTTACATTTCTCTGATGATCAATGATGTTGAACACCTTCTTATATGTCTGTTTTTCATTTGTTTGTCTTTCTTCGAGAAATGTCTATGCAAATATTTTGCCCATTTTTAATCAGATTATTAGATGATTTTCCTATAGAGTTGTTTGAGCTCTTTTTATATTCTGCTTACTAATCCCTTGTCAGATAGGTAGTTTGCAAATATTTTCTCCCATTCTGTGGGTTGCCCCTTCACTTTGTTGATTTTTTTCCTTTGCTGTGTCCATTTAACTTGATATAATTTAACTTGATGTAATTCCATTTGTCTATTTTTGCTTTGGTTGCCTGTGTTTGTAGAGTATTACTCAGTAAATTGTCACCCAGATCAATCTCCTGGAGAGTTTCCCCAAAGTTTTCTTGTAGTTGTTTCAAAGTCTGAGGTTTTATATTTGATTTTTGTATATAGTGAAACATAAGGGTCTAGTTTTATTATTCCACATATAAATATCTAGTTTTCCCAGCACCACTTATTGAGGAAACTCTTCTTTCCCCAATGTATGTTCATGGAAGCTGTGTCAAAAATGTGTTCACTGTAGATGTATGGATTGACATCTGGATTCTCTATTTTGGTGCACTGGTTTGTGTGTTTCTTTTTATGCCAGTACTCTATTAGTCCATTTTCATGCTGATAAAGACATACCTGAGACTGGGCAATTTACAAAATAAAGAGGTTTAATGGACTCATGTTGCATTAAACTCAGTTCCACGTGGACTCAGCACTCAGTTCCACGTGGCTGGGTAGGCCTCACAATCATGATGGAAGGTGAAAGTCATGTCTCACATGGCAGCTGACAAGAGAAGAGAACTTGGGCAGGGAAACTTCCCTTTATAAAACCATGACATCTCATGAGACTTATTCACTATCACAAGACTAGCATGGGAAAGACCCACCCCATGATTCAATTGGGATCTCTCCCAAACATGTGGAAATTGTGGAAGCTACATTTCGTGATGAGATTTGTTTGGGGATACAGCCAAATCATATCACTCTGCCCATTGCCCTTCCCAAATCTCATGTCCTCACAATTCAAAACCAATCATTCCTTCCCAACAGTCCCCGAAAATCTTAACTCATTTTAGCATTAACTGAAAAGCCCACAGTCCAAAGTCTCATCTGAGACAAGACAAGTCCCTTCTGCCTATGTGCCAATAAAATCAAGAGAAAGTTAGTTACTTCCTAGATACAATGAGGGTAGAGGCATTGGATAAATACACCCATTCCAAATGGAAATTCTAATGAGAAATTGGCCAAAACAAAGGGGCTAATGGCCCCATGCAAGTCCAAAATCCAGTGGAGCAGTCAAATCTTAAAGCTCCAAAATGATCTCCTTTGACTCCATGTCTCACATCCAGATGCAAGAGCTGGGTTCCCATGGTCTTAGGCAGTTCTGCCACTCTGGCTTTGCAGGGTACAGCCTCCCTCCCAGCAGCTTTCACAGGCTGGCATTGAGTGTCTGTGGCTTTTCAAGGCACACAGTGCAAGCTGTTGGTGGATCTACCATTCTGGGGTCTGGAGAATGGTGGCCCTCTTATCACAGCTCCACTCAGCAACGCCCCAGTGGGGACTCTGTGTGGGAGTGCCCATACCACATTTCCCTTCTGGACCGTCCTAGCAGAGGTCCTCCATGAGCACTCCACCCCTACAGCAAACTTCTGCCTGGACATTCATGCATTTCCATACATCCTCTGAAATCTAGGCAGAGGTTTCCAAACTTCAGTTCCTGACTTCTGTACACCCACGGGCTCAACACCATGTGAAAGCTGTTAAGGCTTGGGACTCACACCTTCTGAATCCATGGCCTGAGATGTCGCTTGGCCCCCTTTAGTCATGACTGGAGAAGCTGGAGTGCAGGGCACCAAGGCCCTAGAGTTCAAACAGCAGAGCAACACTGGGTCTGGCCCACAAAACCATTTTTTTTTCTTGTAGGCCTCCATGTCTGTAATGGGAGGGAATGCTGCAAAGGTCTCTGACATGCGCTGGAGACATTTTCCCCATTGTCTTGGTGATTAGCATTTGGCTTCTCACCACTTATGCAAGTTTCTGCAGCTGGCTTGAATTTCTCCTCAGAAAATGGGATTTTCTTTTCTATCACATTGTCAGGCTGCAAATTTTCCAAACTTTTATGCTCTGTTTCTCTTTTAAAACTGAATGCCTTTAATAGTACCCAAGTCACCTCTTCAATGCTTTGCTGCTTAGAAATTTCTTCTGCCAGATACCCTAAATCATCTCTCTCAAGTTCAAAGTTTCACAAATCTCTAGGACAGAAGCAAAATGCTGCCAGTCTCTTTGTTAAAACATAACAAGAGTCAACTTTGCTTCAGTTCTCACAAGTTTCTTATCTCCATCTGAGACCACCTCAGCCTGGATTTCATTGTCCATATCATTATCAGCATTTTGGTCAAAGCCATTCACAAGTCTCTAGGGGGTTCCAAACTTTTCCACATTTTCCTTTCTTCTTCTGAGCCCTCCAAACTCTTCCAGCCTCTCTGTTACCCAGTTCCAAAGTCACTTCCACATTTTCAGGTATCTTTTCAGCAGTGCCTCACTCCTGGTACAAATTTACTGTATTAGTCCATTTTCACACTGCTGATGCAGACATACATGAGACTGGGCAATTTACAAAAGAAAGAGGTTTAATGGACTCATAGTTCCACATGGCTGGGTAGGCCTCACAATCATGGCACAAAGTGAAAGGCATGTCTCACATGGCAGGAGACAAAGGAGAGAACTTGTGCAGGGAAACTTTCCTTTATAAAACCATCACATCTCGTGAGACTTATTCACTATCATGAGAATAGCAGGGGAAAGAACCACAACCCATGATTCAATGACCTCCCACCGGGTCCCTCCCAAACATGTGGGAATTGTGGGAGTTACAATTCAAGATGAGATTTTCATGGGGACACAACCAAACCATATCAAGTACCATGCCATTATGGTTACTAAAGTGCTTTAGTATAATTTGAAGTAAGATAATGCAATTCCTTAAGTTTCATACTTTTTGCTTAGTATAGCTTTGGCTGTTCTGTCTCTTTGTGGTTTGATATGAATCTTAGGATTGCTTTTTCTATTTTTGTGAAGAATGTCATAAGTATTTTGACAGGCATTGCATTAAGTCCAGAGATTTAATGCTTTGGGTTGTATGAACATTTTAAAATATTCTTCCAATCCATGAATGTAAAATATCTTTCCACTTTTTAGTGTCCTCTTCAATTTCTTTCATCTGTGTTTTATAGATTTTGTTTCAGAGATCTCTCTTTTCTTTGGGTAAGTTGATTCTTGTATACTTTATTTTTTGTACGTATTGTTAATGGGATTGCTTTCTTGATTTCTTTTTCAGATTATTTACTGTTGGTATATACAAGTGCTACTGATTTTTGTATGTTGATTTTGTATCTTGCAACTTTACTGAATGCATTCATTCATTCTAAGGTTTTTTGGTGGAGTATTTAGATTTCTCTGAATATAAGGTTGCATCATCTGCAAACAAAGACAATTTGACTTCTTCCTTTTCAATTTGGATGCCCTGTATTTCTTTCTCTTGTCTAGTTTTCTAGGAAAGACTTCCAGTACTATCTTGAATAACAGTGGTGACAGTGGTTATCCTTGTCATGTTCCACAATTTAGAGAAAAGGCTTTCAGTTTTTCTGCATTCAGTATGATACTACCTATGGATTTGTCATGTGTGGCTTTTATTATGTTGAGGTATGTTCCTTCTATACCCAGTTTTTCAGAATTTTTATCAAGAAGGGATATTGAATTTTATCAAATGCTTTCTCAACATCTGTTGAAATAATCACAGGGTTTTTGTCCTTCTTTCGGTTCATATGGTGTATCACATTTATTGATTCACATATGTTGAAAAATCCTTGCATTCCTGGAATAAATCCCATTAGGTAATGATGAATAAACTTTTTAATGTGTTGTTGAATTTCATTTGTTAGTATTTTATTGAGGATTTTTGCATCAATATTTATCAGAAATATTGGCTGGCCTGTAGTTTTGTTTCTTGGATCCATTATTGTCTGGCTTTGGTAGTAGGGTAATACTTTCCTTAGAGAATGAGTTTGAAAGTATTCCTCCCTCCTTTATTTCTCAAAATAGTTTGAGTAAGATTGGTATTAGTTCTTTAAATGTTTGGTAGAATTCAGCAGTTAAGTCATCAGGTCCCAAGCTCTTCTTGGCTGGTGGGCTTTTCATAACAGCCTCAATCTAGTTAAATGTTTTTTATCTTTTCAGGTTTTAGATTTCTCTATGGTTCAATCTTGATAAGTTGCATGTGTGTAGGAATTTGTACGTTTCTTCTAGATTTTTCAACTTATTGGTATATATTTGCACATCATAGAAATTAATGATCCTCTGAATTTCTACAGTATCAGATATAATGTCTCCACTTTTATCTCTAATTTTATTTATTTGAATCCTCTCTTCTTAGTCTGGTTAAAGTTTTGTCAATTTTATTTAAATTTTTAGAAAACCAACATTTTGTTCCATTGATTTTTTGTATTTTTAATTACAAATATATTTATTTCTCCTATAATATTTATTATTTCTTTTCTTCTACTAATGATGGGTTTGGTTTGTGCTTGCTTCTTTAGTTCTTTAAGATGCATCATCAGGTTGTTTATATGAAGATTCTCTTCTTTTTGATGTAGGCACGTATTGGTATACATTTTCCTCTTCGTACTGCTTTGGCTGTATTTCATAGGTTTTGGTATGTTGTGTTTCCATTATCATTTGTTTCAAGAAAATTTTCAATTTTATTATTAATTTTTTTGTTGACTCACGGGTCATTCAGAAGCATGTCGTTTAATTTCCACATGTTTGTGTAGTTTCCAAAATTTCTCATTATTGATTTCTAGTTTTCATTGTGGTCAGAGAAGATGCTTGATATTATTTCAAATTTTTCAATGTTTTAAGTCTCATTTTGTAACCTAACATATGATCTATCTTTCAGAATAATCCATGTGCTGTGTAAAAAAAATGTGTATTCTGTAGCCATTGAATGAAATGTTCCCCAAATATCTATCCGATCAATTTGATCTAAAGTGCACATTAAGTTTGATGTTTCTTTGATGACTTTCATCTGAAATATCTGTCCGATGCTGTAATTGGGTTGTTAAACTCTTCAGCTATTATTATTGTTAGAGTCTATCTTTCTCTTTACCTCTAATATTTGCTTCATATATCTGGTTGCTCCAGTTGGGTGCATATATATTTAAAATTGTTATGTCCTCTTGCTAAATTGATGCATTTATCATTATATGGTGACTACTTTGTCTCTTCTTATGGTTTTTGTCTTAAAATTCTTTTCTCTCATGTAACTACTCCTCTTTTTTGTTTTCCATTGACATAGAAGATCATTTTCTAACCCTTTATTTTCAGTCTATGTGTGTCTTTATATGTATAGAGTGTTTTTGTTGAAAATAGATCATTGGGTCTTGCTTTTTTATCCATTCAGCCACCCTTTGTCTTTTGATTTAAAAATTTAGTCCATTTATAATCAATGTTATTACTGATAAGTAAGGACTTACTCCTACTATTTTGTTATTTGTTTTCTGGTTGTTTTTGGTCTTCTCTTCCTACTTTTCTTCCTTCCTTTCTTTCTTTATTAAAAGTAATTTCTTCTAGTAATATGACTTAATTTTTTGCTTTTTATTTTTTATTGTATATATGATGTTACCATGAGGCCTTCAAATATCATTTTGTTTTTCCATTATTTTAAGCCGATAATAACATGTTGGTATAAACAAACCAACAAACAAGCAAAAAGAAAACATAAACATTTTACATTTTTATTTCATTTCCCAGCTTTTTTTATTTTTTATATGTTATTGTACTATGTTGTAAAAAGTTTTATTTATTATTTTCATTCATTTATCATTTAGTCTTTCTACTTAAGAGTTGTTTAGACACCACAGTTATGGTGTTATAATATTATTTGTGTTTCTGTGCACTTGCTATTATGCATGAGTTTTGTTCAATCAGATTATTTCTTATTGTTTATTCATGTCCTTTTTTTCTAATTGAAGTACTCCCTTTGGCATTTTTTATAGAATGGGCCTGGTGTTGATAAAATTCCTCAGCTTTTGTTTGTCTGGAAAAGTCCTTATTTCTCTCTCATGTTTGAAGGATATTTTTGCTAAATATGCTCTTCTAGCATAAGAGGGTTTTTTCTGGCACTTTAAATATACCATGCCATTTTCTCCTAGCCTGTAAAGTTTCCATTGTAAAGTCTGCTATCAAATGTATTGAAGCTCCATTGTATGTTATTGGCTTATTTTCTTTTGCTTCTTTTAGGATCCTTTCTTTATCCTTGACTTTTGGGAGTTTGATTAAATGCCTTGAGGTAGTCTTCTTTGGCTTAAATCTGCTTGGTGTTCTATAACCTTCCTGAACTTGGATATTGATACCTTTCTCCAGGCTTGGAAAGTTCTCTAATAATATTACTTGGAATACACTTTCTAACCCTATCTCTTTCTCTATGTCCTTTTTAAGGCCAGTAACTCTTAGATTTGCTCTCCTGAGGCTATTTTCTATATTCTACAGGCATGCTTCATTTTTAAAATTCCTTTTTCTTTTGTATCCTCTGGCTGTATATTTTCCAATAGTCTTCTTCAAGCTCATTAGGTCTTTCTTCTCCTTCATCCATTGAGCTATTAAAGGAGTCTAATGCATTCTTCAGTGTAGCAATTGCATTTTCACTCCCAGAATTTCTGCTTAATTCTTTGTAATTATTTGATCACTTTGTTAAATTTATCTGATAGAATTCTGAATTTCTTCTCTGTGTTATCTTAAATTTCTTTGAGTTTCCTCAACACAACTATTTTGAATTTTCTGTCTAAAAGGTCACATATCTCTGTTTCTCTAGAATTGGTCCCTGGTGCCGTATTTATTTCATTTGGTGATGCCATGTTTTTCTGGATGGTCTTGATACTTGTAGACATTTGTCTGCACTGGTCATTGAAGAGCTATGTGTTTATTTTAGTGTTCACACTCTGGGCTTGTTTGTGCCTGTCCTTTTGTTGAAGGCTTTCCAGATATCTGAAAAAACTTGGATGTTATGATCTAAGCTGTATCTGCATTAGGGTGCACCTAAGTTCAGTAACACTGTGGGTCTTAATGACTAGTGGTACCATCTTGATGGTCTTAGACAAGATCCAGGAGAATTCTCTGGATTACCAAACAAAGACTTATGTTATCTTCCCTTAATTTCCCCCAAACAAATGGAGCCTGTGTCTCTCTGTTCTGAGCCACGTGGAGCTTGGGGTAGAGTGACACAAGTACTCCTGTGGCCACCACTACTAGGATTATGCTGGGTCAGACCGATGCCAGCATAACACTGGGCCTCACTCAAGGCCTGCTTTAACTATTCCCTGGCTATTGCCCATGTTCACTCAAAGCCCTGTGGCTCTACAATCAGCAGGTTATAAAGCCAGCCAGGCTTGTGTCTTTTCCTTCAAGGTGTCCTCTTTAGCCTAGTCCCTGAGTTGGCCCAGCAGTGTCATTTAGGAGCCAGCGACTACAGTCAAAATCTTTAGAAGGCTCTCTGGTGTTCTATTTTACTGTGGCTGAGTGCGACTCAATCCACAAAGTGCAGTCCTTCTCACTCTTCCTTTCTTTTTCTAGAGTCAGTGGAGCCTCACTCTGTGGCCATCACTACAGGCCCACAGGATTACTGCCAGACTATTGCTAATGTTCCCTTAAGTCCTAAGGGCATTTCAGTCAGCTTGTGGTGAATGCTGCCTGGCCTAGAACTCACCCTTCAAGGCTCTGGGCTCCCCCCTGGCCCAGGGCAGGCTCAAAAATGCCACCCAAGAGCCAAAGACTGGCATTGTGGACCCCAAGATCCTGCTTGGTGCTCTATCCCCTGTGGCCAAACTGGTACATAAGGTGCAAGACAAAGACCCCTTCACTTTTCCCTCTACTTTTCTCAAACAGAGGGGCCCTCTTCCCATCACCATCACAGGTGGGAATGTGCTGAGTTTTACCTAATGCCAACAAGTTTAAGGGTCTTACCCAAGTCCCATGAATTACCCTTTGGGTATCACTGCTGGTTAGTCAAGACCCAAGGGCTCTTTAATTAGCCAGTGGTCAGTCCTGCCAGAAATTGGTCCTTCCCCTTAAGGCAACAGGTTTTCTTCTGGCCCAGGGTGTGTCTAGAAATGTTATCCAGGAGCTGGGACCTTGTATGGGGTTCTCATGAGTCTGACTGTTGCCCTATCCTGCTGTGGCTGAGCTGGTATCTGATATACAAGGCAAAGTCTTCCCCAGTCATTCTTCTTCTCCCCTCAAGCAGAAGGAAGGGTTCTCTTTTGGAGCTATGAGTTGTGCATCCTAGGTTTAGAAGAGATGTGGCATCAGCACTCCCTAGCTGCCTTGGCTGGTATCTCAGTAGGTTGCATTCTTGGTAATTTCCTGGCTCTGCACTCAGTTTGGCCCTAGTACACACCTATGATTTATATTCCTTGTGGCCTAGACTGCTTTTTACATTTATTTGAGGTCCCAGAGTACTTTACCCTGCAGTGGTGAGGCTTGTGGGAACTCAAGCTCCAACCACTAGGGCTGTTTTAAATGCTCTCTTCATTGAGCAGGTGTCAGCAGAGTTAGTTCCATTTTTGCTTTCTGCTATAACAGAGCAGCACCGAATTCAATGCAATGTCTAAGAATTGCTGCACTCTCCCTCCTCCAACAGCTCAGATTCTTTCTCTGTGCCATATCACCACTGCTGGAGGATGGGAGAGGGGTGGTTTTGGTGATGCAGGTCTGCTTTTTCTACGTCTTCAGAGCCTCTTTCAGCAATATAAAGTTAAATCCAGGTATGACAAGTACCTAATTTTTTGCTCTTATGAAGGTCCTGTTTTGTGTAGGTAGTTGTTGAATTCATGTCTTTGTGTTGGGGGACTATTGGGGAGCCTTCTCTTCTGCCATCTTACTCTGCCTCCTCAGATGATATGTTTTTTTATGTAGAAAACAAAGATTTTAGAAAGAAAAACCTGTTAGAACTAGTAGGGCAATTCAATAAACAGGTAGGCTACAATATAAACAACAAAAATCAATTACATTTCTATACACTAACAATGAAAGATCCTGAAAGAAAATTTTTAAAAATAATTTTATTCACAATAACATCAAGTCGAATAAAATAGTTAGAAGTTAACTTAACCAGGAAGGCAAAAGAAATGTACAATGGAAACTACCAAACATTGTCAAAAGAAATGTAAAAAGACTTAAACAAATGAAAAGATATTGTATATTCGTGCATTGTAAGACTTAATATTAAGATGACAGTACTAGCCAAAGTAGTCTACAAATTTAATGCAATCATATCAAAAATTCCAATAATGTTTTTTCATAAATAGAAAAGAATTAAAATTTATATGGAACCACAAAGGACCACAAAATATTTTGGCTGCATATAACCAAAGCAATTTTGAGCAAGAATAAAGCTGGAAGCATCATACCTCTGGATTTTAATATATGTTATAAAGGTACAATAATCAAAACAGTATAATATTGATGTAAAAATAGAGACATAGATGAATGGAACAAATTAGAGAACCCAGAAATAAATCCACAGAAATATGATCAACTGATGCCAAGAATACACAATGGAGAAATGATAGTCTCTTCAATAAATGATGTTGAAACAACTAGATATCCATATGCAAAAGAATGAACTTGGACCATTATCTCACACCATACACAAAAATAAATCCAAAATTAATAAAAGACTTAAATGTAAGGCTTGAAACTGTAAAACTCCTAGAAACGAGATAAAGAAAAAAACTTCTGGGCATTGGTCTTGGCAATGATGTCTTGAATATGACACCAAAAGCACACACAACAAAAGCAAAAATAGACAAGTAGGAATATGTCAATCTAAAAAGCTTCTGCAAAGCAAGCAACCAACCAACAAAATGAAAAGGCAACCTAAGTAATGAGAGAAGCTATTTGTAAACAATATATTATATCTGATAAAGAGTTAATATCCAAAACAAAAGAGAAACTCTTTCAAATCAACCACACATACACACAAAAATATTCTATTAAAAAGTGGGCAAAAGAAATAAAGATACATTGCTCCAAAGAAGATAAACCAATAGCCAAGAGATATATGAAAAGATATTCAACAACTCTAATCTTCAGAGAAATGAAAATCAAAATCACAATGAGATGTTACCTCACATCTGTTAGGATGGCCTTTATCCAAAAATAAAGATAAAAAATGTTGGCAAAGATGTGAAGAAAAGCAAACTCTTATACAATGTTGGTGGGAATACAATTGGTGAAGACACCATGGAAAATAGAATGGAAATTTATCAAAAAAGTAAAACCAAAACTGCCACATGGTCCAGCAACCCCACTTCTGAATATATATCCAAAGACGTTGTAAACAGGGTATCACTTGCCCCTCCTTCACCTCCTCCACCTGACACTTTGGCTGCAGGTCCTCTGGCGGCAGTACCGGTTGACTCAGCTAGGGATCTGAGGGGTCACCAGCGTGACTGACTAACCACCAGCTGTTGCCAGCAGCTGCCACTTCTAGCCCAGCCTACCTGGAGAGGACTGAATTTACTCACTGCATGCTTGGCCCCCATCTTTGCCCCTGGCCCTTTGCCCCTTGCCCTTATTCCCTGATCCTTTACGCCTTCCCCTGCAGGTGAACCATGTTACAAGCTGACACTTCCATGGCCCCATCTCAATCACAGCCGATGTCCAGAGTCATAGTGAAAGCAGAGTGGAATTACTTTCAGAGTTAAAAGGCTATTGAAAAAACAAGATGGGAGACAGATCCTAGAGTCCTCGTCAATAAAGTAAGGTAATGGAAAGATATCTCATCTCAGTAATCTAATCCAGAATGTCCACATGATAAAGCATTACTTTATAATTTTTAATAACCATGGTGTCTTAATCATTTCTATATTAGTGACCTATTTGTGGTTTTGTTTAAAAATTGTAAACATAGCAATAATATAAACTTGGAGAACAAATTATATTTTCCTTTAATACTCAGTATCTAGTTACAAATCATAAACGCATACCCTAGGGGAAAAAATGAACCTCCAACTTTGTATTAGGACTAGTTACTTGGAGAAATTAATTAATTGGGAAAATATGGATACCAATTTCATAATGCCCAGAACCTAGTCTAAGTATAAATTTAATGTTCTACCAGAAGACCTAAAAAAAAAGAAAAGAAAACAAGATGGAAACTTCTGGTTCTGGAAGGAAAACATCCATGAAAGCCTGATTTTCTGCAGAAGATGAAGTTTTGAGTAACATGCCAAAAAGACAGAGGTGAGGCTGACAGTAAAATCAGTTGCCTGGGCAAAAGCAAGAGATATACACATGAGCAAACCGGAACAATGAAAAGAGTTGGATAAAAACTCTGACAAACCATATGCTAAAAATTATGCAAGGCCTTTATCTTGAAATTCTGCTCTGCAACAAACACCCTAAGTGGAAATTGATCCAGATAAGGAAGTGGGGACATCAGCAGCTTAATAGATCCAGACACCTAATTGAGTTACCTGTCTTTGTCTAAAGTGAAGGAGAAATATAAGAAAGCCATGGTTTTCAGTGCATAGTTATTCAACAAGAACAATTTGGCCTACCACATAGATACCTTCAAGCTTGTTCTTGAAGAACAGGATGAACAGATGGTGGAATTTTATAGAGATAATGAAGAATGATCAAAGAAGTTAGAAAGACAGAAACATATGTGTAGTGCACTGCAGCATACAGTGGATAAACTTAAACCCTTTGACAAAGGGATGAACTTATTGTAAACATTGCTTAGTTATAATTCCCAATGGCACTTGCAGTGGTGATGTCAATCATGAGTCAGTGGTTGAAGCCATTACTGTTGTGACTCAGGAAGCTGCTCATGTCTTGGGGTCAGCAGGAAAGGGGCCATATAAAGATACAAAAACTTGCTGGAGTAAAGGAAGAGCTACCATCACAGTTTAGGAAACTGAAGTTGCAGTAAGAGAAACAATAGCAGGAGTCCTCCAGGGATGATGGTACAGCAGGTGACCTGGTGCAGCTGCAGAAAGACTCAGATTTGCAGTTCATCAAAAT
This sequence comes from Homo sapiens, assembly GCF_000001405.40. Classification (NCBI taxonomy): domain Eukaryota; kingdom Metazoa; phylum Chordata; class Mammalia; order Primates; family Hominidae; genus Homo; species Homo sapiens. The sequence continues at coordinate 73,237,834 of NC_000023.11, read as the reverse complement.
ACAGACATATGCCAATAGGCAAAGTAGTGAAAGTTGCAGGTGAACTTAAAGTAAGAAAGGGTAAAGTACAATGAGGTTTATAAACAGCACTGGACAAGATTGAGGAGATGGAGATGACCCACAGCCACCTGAACAAGTGTCTAGAGAAGGTGAAGGTCAATAGGAAGGCACTTGTGGCCCAGCAATAGGAAAACCACCGTTCAACCTGGGTGGTGCTCTTTGAGGCCCTGCCCAGAGGGACTGACTCTTTTTGTGCATTGACACAAACTTTTTTCAGTACTGTTTGAAGTTTGTCATTAAAACAGGAACTTTTATATTATAATTTGTGAGAGAAAAAAGCAGGTTTAAGTCTTCAAAAATAAACACAGATTTTTTTGTAGTTTGATTCTAGACTAAAAACTGATTTATTTTTTATTTCCACAATTTTAGAATCAAGTTTACTCAACATTTTCCCCCAGCTGCTTCAGTGATTGATCACTTGGAGGTGTTAAATTAAAAAATCACAAGATCGGGCCGAGTGCCATGGCTTACCCCTGTAATCCCAGTACTTTGGGAGGCTGAGGCGGGAGGATCATGAGGTCAGGAGATCGAGACCAACCTGGCTAACACAGTGAAACCCCGTCTCTACTAAAAATACCAAAAATTAGCCGGGTGTGGTGGCATGCACCTGTAGTCTCAGCTACTTGGGAGGCTGAGGCAGGAGAATCGTTTGAACTTGGGAGGCGGAGGTTGCAGTGAGCTGAGAGTGCACCACTGCACTCCAGCCTGGGCAAGAGAGTGAGTCTTGATATTAAAAAAAAAAGAAAGGAAGGAAGGAAGGAAACAAAGAAAGAAAGAAAGAAAGAAAGAAAGAAAGAAAGAAAGAAAGAAAGAAAGAGAGAGAGAGAAAGAGAGAGAAAGAGAAAGAGAGAGAAAGAAAGAAAGAAAGAAAGAAAGAAGAAAGAAAGAAAGAAAGAAAGAAAGAAAGAAAGAAAGAAAGAAAGAAAGAAAGAAAGAAAGAAAGAAAAGAGAGAGGGAGAAAATCACAAGATCTATAAATTTAGAAACAGAGACTTATAAAGGATTGCAATCTGCAAGGTGGCCATCCAGCAGACTGGAAAGCACAGCCTCTGGCAAAGACCAGAGACAGGCACTTTGAAGGAGAAACGGTTTAGGTAGGAGCTTTATGCTGAATGGGTTGGCTAAATACACATATTTAACAGGTAAAAGGAGTATCTATGAATATTCAGGAAGGTGGTCCTAATGTATGTGTATTTAACAAGCATGGATATAACACATGACCTACATTCACTTTGGGGTGGAGACTTAACATTTAAATGTATTACAATTAGTCCCTAAACATCTAACAGTCATTTCAGGACACAAAAGCACTCAAGTGTGCAGTCTCTGTAAACTGGTCAGAACCAGTCATGGTCAGTGGTCTTCTTATCTGGAGAAAGTTACTGAAATCAGACTCTTTTCCAATCAAAGCTGTAGTTATGGCTTGTGGTATGGGGCGGGGTGGGGGGGCTCAGTTAGCCAATATCTGATGGTTGTTAAGCTCTAATTACTTCAACATTCCTTATCTCAAGGCCAGGGCTTATTTAGCTGCTAGAGAAAAAAAATGCTGTCTAGTGCTTGTGGCAGTTGGAACATAGTTTATTCTTTAATTGTAAGAGTTGCATGACTTAACTGTTGCCTGGCATGGCCTTAGGTCTTGCTTACAATTTGGTATCTTATTACCACAGTCTGTTCTGTTAGTCTTATGATCTCTACTTTAACATTAATGAAGGTCAGTTGCTGTGTCTGAACCACAAAAGGGAGAGAATCTAATGAGGCATACTAGATCTCCCATCTAGTCATACGATTAAGATTTTCAGGTTTTTCTGGGGTAACCCTGGCCGAAAGAGGGTCCATTCTATTGATGGAAGCCTTAGAATTTTATTTTTAGTTTACAGAGGCATTGCCATGGGACCTGGAGGGCAGTGATTCTATAAGTACTCACTAGATACTTGCTGGAGACCTCAGAAAACAAAAGAGCCTTCTCTATAGTGCAATTCAGACTTCAGTAATCTCTAGTGGTCAAAAGACATTTACTCTTTCTTTTGAAAATGTCACTTTTCTTTCTTTTTTTAATTATCATTTAAGTTCTAGGGTACATGTGCACAACGTGCAGGTTTGTTACATAGGTATACATGTGCCATGTTGGTTTGCTGCACCCATTAACTCATCATTTACATTAGGTATTTCTCCTAATTCTATTCCTCCCCCTGACCCCTACCCCATGACAGGTCCCAGGGTGTGATGTTCCCCGCCCTGTGTCCAAGTGTTCTCATTGTTCAATTCCCACCTATGAGTGAGAACATGCAGTGTTTAGTTTTCTGTCCTTGTGATAGTTTGATCAGAATGATGGTTTCCAGCTGCATCCATGTCCCTGCAAAGGACATGAACCCATCCTTTTTATGGCTGCATAGTATTCCACGATGTATATGTGCCACATTTTCTTAATTCACTCTATCATTGATGGACATTTGGGTTCGTTCCAAGTCTTTGTCATTGTGAACAGTGATGCAATAAACATATGTGTGCATGTGTCTTTATAGTAGCATGATTTATAAACCTTTTGGTGTATACCCAGTAATGGGATCACTGGGTCAAATGGTATTTCTGGTTCTAGATCCTTGAGGAATCACCATACTCTCTTCCACAATGGTTGAACTAGTTTACAGTCCCACCAACAGTGTAAAAGTGTTCCTATTTCTCCATATCCTCTCCAGCATCTGTTGTTTCCTGACATTTTAATGATCACTATTCTAACTGCCGTGAGATGTGGTTTTGTGGATTGTGGTTTTGATTTGCATTTATCTGATGACCAGTGATGATGAGCATTTTTTCATGTGTCTGTTGGTGGCGTAGATGTCTTTTTTGAGAAGTGTCTGTTCATATCCTTTGCCCACTTTTTAATGAGTTTTTTTTTTCTCGTAAATTTGTTTGAGTTCTTTGTAGATTCTGGATATTAGCCCTTTGTCACAGAAGAAAATTGTAAAAATTTTCTCCCATTCTACAGGTTGCCTGTTCATTCTGATGGTAGTTTCTTTTGCTGTGCAGAAACTCTTTAATCAGATCCCATTTGTCTCTTTTGGCTTTTGTTGCCATTGCTTTTGGTGTTTTAGTCATGAAGTCCTTGCCCATGGCTATGTCCTGAATGGTATTGCCTAGGTTTTCTTCTAGGGTTTTTATGGTTTTAGGTTTAACATTTAAGTCTTTAATCCATCTTGATTTAATTTTTGTATAAGGTGTAAGGAAGGGATCCAGTTTCAGCTTTCAACATATGGCTAGCCAGTTTTCTCAGCACCATTTATTAAATAGGGAATCCTTTCCTCATTTCTTGTTTTTGTCAGGCTTGTCAAAGATCAGATGGCTGTAGATGTGTGATGTTATTTATGAGGCCTCTGTTCTATTCGATTGGTCTATATATCTGTTTTGGTACCAGTACCATGCTGGTTTGGTTACTGTAGCCTTGCAGTATAGTTTGAAGTCAGGTAGCATGATGTCTCCAGCTTTGTTCTTTTTGCTTAGGATTGTCTTGGCAATGCAGGCCATTCTTTGGTTCCATATGAACTTTAAAGTAGTTTTTTCCAACTCTGTGAAGAAAGTCATTGGTAGCTTGATGGGGATGGCATTGAATTTATAAATTACCTTGGGCAGTATGACCATTTTCACAATATTGATTCTTCCTATCCATGAGCATGGAGTGTTCTTCCATTTGTTTGTGTCCTCTTTTATTTTGTTGAGCAGTGCTTTGTAGTTCTCCTTGAAGAGGTCCTTCACATCCCTTGTAAGTTGAATTCCTAGGTATTTTATTCTCTTTGAAGCAATTGTGAATGGGAGTTCACTCATGATTTGGCTCTCTGTCGATTATTGGTGTATAGGAATGCTTGTGATTTTTGCACATTGATTTTGTATCCTGAGACTTTGCTGAAGTTGTTTTTCAGCTTAAGGAGATTTGGGGCTGAGATGATGGGGTTTTCTACGTATAGAATATGTTATCTGCATACAGCGACAATTTGACTTCCTCCTAATTGAATATCCTTTATTTCTTTATCTTGCCTGATTGCCCTGGTCAAAACTTCCAACACTCTGTTGAATAGGAGTAGTGAGAGAAGGCATCCCTGTCTTGTGCCAGTTTTCAAAGGGAATGCTTCCAGTTTTTGCCTATTCAATATGATATTGGCTGTGGGTTTGTCATAAATGGTTCTTATAATTTTGAGATACATTCCATCAATATCTAATTTATTGAGAGTTTTTAGCATGAAGCACTGTTGAATTTTGTCAAAGGCCTTTTCTGCATCTATTGAGATAATCATGTGTTTTTTTTTCATTGGTTCTGTCTATGTGATGGATTATGTTTATTGATTTGCATATGTTGAACCAGCCTTGCATCCCAGGGATGAAGCTGACTTGATCATGGTGGATAAGCTTTTTGATGTGCTGCTAGATTTGGTTTGCCAGTATTTTATTGAGGATTTTCACATAGATGTTCATCAGAGATATTGGTCTAAAATTCTCTTTTTTTGTTGTGTCTCTGCCAGGCTTTGGCATCAGGATGATGCTGGCCTCATAAAATGAGTTAAGGAGGATTCCCTTTTTTCTGTTGATTGGAATCATTTCAGAAGGAATGGTACCAGCTCCTCTTTGTACCTCTGGTAGAATTCATCTGTGAATCCATCTGGACCTGGACTTTTTTTAGTTGGTAGGCTGTTAATTATTGCCTCAATTTCAGAGCCTGTTATTGGTCTTTTCAGGGATTCAACTTCTTCCTGGTTTAGTCTTGGGAGTGTGTATGTGTCCAGGAATTTATCCATTTCTTCCAGATTTTCTAGTTTATTTGGGTAGAAGTGTTTATAGTATTCTCTGATGGTAGTTTGTATTTCTGTGGGATCGGTGGTGATATCACCTTTATCACTTTTTATTGCGTCTATTTGATTCTTCTCTCTTTTCTTCCTTATTAGTCTTGCTAGGGGTCTATCAATTTTCTTGATCTTTTCAAAAAACCAACTCCTGGATTCATTGATTTTTTGAAGGGTTTTTCAAGTCTCTATATCCTTCAGTTCTACCCTGATCTTAGTTATTTCATGTCTTCTGCTAGCTTTTGAATTTGTTTGCACTTGCTTCTCTAGTTGTTTTAATTGGTATGTTAAGTTGTCAATTTTAGATCTTTCCTGCTTTCTCTTGTGGGCATTTAGTGCTATAAATTTCCCTCTTCACACTGCTTTAAATGTGTCCCAGAGATTCTGGTACGTTGTGTCTTTGTTCTCATTGGTTTCAAGGAGCATCTTTATTTCTGCCTTCATTTTGTTACTTACTCAGTAGTCATTCAGGAGCAGGTTGTTCAGTTTCCATGTGGTTGTGCAGTTTTGAGTGAGTTTCTTAATCCTGAGTCCTAGTTTGATTGCAATGTGGTCTGAGACTCAGTTTGATGTGATTTCTCTTCTTTTACATTTGCTGAGGAGTGCATTTCCAAATATGTGGTCAGTTTTGGAATAAGTGTGATGTGGTGCTGAGAAGAATGTATATTCTGTTGATTTGCGGTGGAGAGTTCTGTAGATGGCTATTAGGTCTGCTTGGTCAAGAGCTGAGTTCAAGTCCTGGATATCTTTGTTAACCTTCTGTCTTGTTGATCTGTCTAATATTGACAGAGGGGTGTTAAAGTCTCCCATTATTATTGTGTGGGAGTCTAAGTCTCTTTGTAGGTGTCTAAGGACTTGCTTTATGAATCTGGGTGCTCCTGTATTGAGTGTATATATATTTAGGATAGTTAGCTCTTCTTGCTTAATTGATCCCTTTACCATTATGTAATGTCCTTCTTTATCTCTTTTGATCTTTGTTGGTTTAAAGTCTGTTTTATCAGAGACTAGGATTGCCACCCCTGCTTTTTTTTGCTTTCCATTTGCTTGGTAGATCTTCCTCCATCCCTTTGTTTTGAGCCTATGTGTGTCTCTGCACGTGGGATGGGTCTCCTGAATACAGCACACCAATGGGTCTTGACTCTTTATCCAATTTGCCAGTCTGTGTCTTTTAATTGGGGTATTTAGCCCATTTACTTTTAAGATTAATATTTTTATGTGTGAATTTGATCTGTCATTATGCTGTTAGCTGGTTATTTTGCCCATTAGTTGATGCAGTTTCTTCCTAGCATTGATGGTCTTTACAATTTGGCATGTTTTTGCAGTGGCTGGTACTGGTTGTTCCTTTCCAGGTTTAGTGCTTCCTTCAGGAGCTCTTGTAAGTCAGGCCTGGTGGTGACAAAGTACAATTATGTGTCTCAGGGTTGCTCTTCTCAAGGAGTATCTTGTGGTGTTCTCTGTATTTCCTGAATTTGAATGTTGGCCTGCCTTGCTAGATTGGGAATTTCTCCTGGATAATATCCTGAAGAGTGTTTTCCAACTTGGTTCCTTTCTCCTCACTACTTTCAGGTACACCAATCAAATGTAGATTTGGTCTTTTCACATAGTCCCATATTTATTGGAGGCTTTGTTTGTTTCTTTTTACTCTTTTTTCTCTAAACTTCTCTTCTCACTTTATTTCATTAGTTTGATCTTTAATCACTGATACCCTTTCTTCCATTTGATTGAAACGGCTATTGAAGCTTGTGCATGTGTCATGTAGCACTCATGCCATGGTTTTCAGCTCCATCAGGTCATTTAAGGTCTTGTCTACACCATTTATTCTAGTTAGCCATTTGTGTAATCTTTTTTCAAGGTTTTTAGCTTCCTTGTGATTGGCTTCAACATCCCCATTTAGCTCAGAGAATTTGTTATTACCAACCTTCTGAAGCCTACTTCTGTCAGATCATCAAAGTCATTCCCCATCCAGCTTTGTTCCATTGCTGGTGAGGAGCTGCTATCCTTTGGAGGATAAGAGGTGCTCTGGTTTTTAGAATTTTCAGCTTTTCTGCTCTTGTTTCTCCCTATCTTTGTGGTTTTATCTACCTTTGGTCTTTGATGTTGGTGACCTACAGATGGGGTTTTGGTGTGGATGTCCTTTTTGTTGATGTTGATGCTATTCCTTTCTCTTTGTTAGTTTTCCTTCTAACAGTCAGGTCCCTCAGCTGCAGGCCTGTTGGAGTTTGCTGGAAGTCCACTCCAGACCCTGTTTTCCTGGGTTTCACCAGCGGAGGCCGCAGAACAGCAAATATTGCAGAACAGCAAATATTACTGCCTGATCCTTCCTCTGGAAGCTTCGTCCCAGAGGGGCACCCGCCTGTATGAGGTGTCAGTTGGCCCTTTCTGGGAGTTGTCTCCTGGTTAGGCTACACAGGGGTCAGGGACCTACTTGAGGAGGCAGTCTGTCCATCCTCTGAGCTCAAACAACATGCTGGGAGAACCAATACTCTCTTCAGAGCTGCCAGACAGGGATGTTTATGTCTGCAGAAGTTTCTGCTGCCTTTTTTTCAGCTATGCCCTGCCCCCAGAGGTGGGGTCTACAGAGGTAGCTGGCCTTGCTGAGCTGAGGTGGGCTCCACCCAGTTCAAGCTTCCCTGCCACTTTGTTTGCCTACTCCAGTCTCAGCTATGGTGGACACCCCTTCCCCTACCAGGCTGCTGCCACACGGGTCGATCTCAGACTGCTGCACTAGCAGTGAGCAAGGCTTCATTGGTGTGGGACCCACGAAGCCATGCATGGGATATAATCTCCTGGTGTGCCATTTGCTAAGACCATTGGAAAAGTGCAGTATTTGGGCAGGAGTGTCCCAGTTTTCCAGTACCATCTTCAGTGAAGGCATGGCTTCCCTTGGCTAGGAAAGGGAAATCCCCTGACCCCTTGCACCTCCCTGGTGAGGCAATGCCCCAAACTACTTCGGCTCACCCTACATGGGCTTCACCTACTGTCCAACCAGTCCCAATGAGATAAACCAGGTTTCTCAGTTGGAAAGGCAGAAATCACCCATCTTCTGCATTGATCACGCTGGAAACTGGAGATCAGAGCTGCTCCTATTTTACTGTTTTGACATTTACTCTTAATATTGGATAGCATTTATATTTTAGTGAAGAAACAAGTTCACAGGTTGGATATCTGTTTTGCTCAAATTTATGTTTGGAGAAAAACAACTTGATTGTAAAATATTTAGATTTATGTAAGAAAATGTTACAAAAAGGCACAAGAATTGTATATAAAACTTGCTTTATTTCATGGGTCAGGGGAATTCCAATGCTTAATACTTTTAAAATGAGAGTAGACTCCTTATTCTTCAATATCAACTGTGCTATATCTTGTAAGGTATTTAATCTGTTACTTACACGTGGAATGAAAGCTTGAATAAGCCTGAAGGAAAAGGGAGAGGTGGTGTGGAAAGGTGGGAAATCTGTCTGAAGATTCTATTAAACATAACCCTTTGCAAAACAAATAAAAAAGTAGAAAGCAGGATCTTAAAGGGGTATTTGCACACTCATGTTCATTGCAGTATTAGCCAAGACATGGAAGCAACCCAAATGTTCATCAGTAAGTGAATGGAAAAAGATGTGATACATATACACAATGGAATGTTATTCAGCCATAGAAAAGAATGAAACTCTGTGATTTGCAGCAACAAGAATGAAACTGGAGGACATTGCAGTAAGTGAAATAAGCCTTTGAGAAATTAAAGAAAAATAAATGAAAAGAATTTGTTTATGCATTGGAAAACTTGATACTGTTAAAATGCCAATTCTCCCCAGATTGATCTACTGATTCAATGTATTCTCTTTTAAAATTCATAAAGGTGTTTTCTTTGCAGAAATTGACAACGTTATTATAAAATTTATGTGGAAATGCAAGAGGCTCAGAGTAGCCAAAACTATTTTGAACAAAAAAGAAGAAAAATGATGGAGGGCTTTCACTTTCCAATTTTTTAAAAGAAACTGTCAAACTATGGTAGTCAAGATGGTGTGGTACTTTCATAAGGCTAGACATTATACATTAATGAAACTGAGTTCAAATTCTAGAAATAAATTCTTTTATTTATAGGTGTGGTAAGTTTGAAGATATTGAGGCTCACCAAGAAAAACACAAAACAACAAAACAGTATCATTGTACAACAGACTTTATTAAATGGTGCTTGAAGAGCACCATTTGTATGAAAGAGTAAATCCCTTACCACAGGATACATGAGAAATATCATGAGGTCTCCACTAAGAAGGTGAAGTGGCTGAAGAAATTTCCAGAAGACAGGTGATTCAGAGAGGTAGCTTATGCCTTTAAGCAGTGTTGTTCAGCTGCAAAGTGAGAAGTCTGTGGGTCAGAAAGCTCCAAAGGGCAGCAGTGATTTGGGATCTTCTATAGTTACGGTGTTTGTGTTATCTAAGGCTAATAGAAGTGGGGTGCACTTTTGTGGAGTCAAAGGCAGGGAGTAGAAGAGGCAATAATATGCTTATTCGGGCTACGTTTAGAACATTTTGGATGTGTAATAATTTGAATTTGGTGCAGACAGGCTTTAAGCTAACAACGTGCTGCGAAGGAGTAAACAACATGGGGACCAATATAGAGGGGCTGTCTTTGACTCATTTTTACAACAGTCAAGGGATCTTATGATAAGGGTACCAAGGTAATTCATTGAGGAAAGGATAATCTTTTTAACAAGCTGTTTGGGGCAAAGGGATATCCACATGCAGAAAGCTAAGCCAAGGCTCGTAACTCTTACAATACACAAAAAATTAACTCAAAATACATTACAGACCACAAATAAGTATTTTTTTGAGAAGGGTCTTGTTGTGTTGCCCAGGTTGGAGTGCAGTGGCACAATCATAGCTCACTGAAGCCTCAATCTCCTGGGCTCAAGTGATCCTCCTGCCTCAGCCTTCCAAGTAGCTGGGACTACAGGTACACACCACCTCATCTGCTTTTTTTTTTTTTATTACTTTTAGTAGAGATGAGGCCTTGCTATGTAGCCCAGGTTCCTAAATATAGGATTTAAACTCTAACACATTTATATATAGGAGAAAATATTTAATGTCTTGGTTAGGCAGATATTTCTTAGTTATGACATAAAAACACAGTCCATTGAAAAAATGATAAAATGGATCCCATCAAAATTCAAAACTTCAGCACTTCAAAAACAACTTCTTATTAGGCATAAAAAGACATTCCACCTCATAGTGAAAAATATTGCAAAATGTGTATCTGAAAGGGACTTATATGCAGTATATGCATAGAACTCTTACATCTCAATAATAAAGACAAACCAATTAAAAATAAGCTAAAGATTTGAAGACATTATACCAAAATATATATGAATTGCTAATAAAAATACGAACAGATGGTTATAAGTGAAATACAAATTAAACCACAATGAGATAGCATTTCCTACATAATAGAATGATTAACATTAAAAAAGACTTGCACGTAAATGTTTATTCCAATGTAATTCATAGTAACCAAAGTTAGAAATAGCCTGTATATACATCAACTGGTGAAAAAATAAACATGCGGTATATTCATATAATTCAATACTATCCAGCATAAAAGGAATGAACTATGGATACATGCTACAGCAAAGATAAATCTCAAAATCTTTATTTTCAATGAACAAAGTCAGACACACAAGAGAAAATGTTGTATTTTTTTCCAATTCTGTGAAGTCATTGGTAGCTTGATGGGGATAGCATTGAATCTATAAATTACCTTGGGCAGTATGGTCATTTTCACGATATTGATTCTTCCTATCCATGAGCATGAAATGTTCTTCCATTTGTTTGTGTCCTCTTTTATTTCATTGAGCAGTGGTTTGTAGTTCTCCTTGAAGAGGTCCTTCACATCCCTTGTAAGTTGAATTCCTAGGTATTTTATTCTCTTTGTAGTAATTGTGAATGGGAGTTCACTCATGATTTGGCTGTCTGTTTGTCTGTTATTGGTGTATAGGAATGCCTGTGATTTTGGCACATTGATTTTGTATCCTGAGATTTTGCTGAAGTTGCTTGTCAGCTTAAGGAGATTTTGGGCTGAGGCGATGGGGTTTTCTAAATATACAATCATGTCATCTGCAAACAGAGACAATTTGATTTCCTCTTTTCCTAATTGAATACCCTGTATTTCTTTCTCTTGCCTTCATTTTGTTATTTACCCAGTAGTCACTCAGGAGCAGGTTGTTCAGTTTCCGCGTAGTTGTGTGGTTTTGAGTGAGTTTCTTAACCCTAAGTTCTAATTTGATTGCACTGTGGTCTGAGAGACAGTTTGTTGTGATTTCTGTTCTTTTACATTTGCTAAGAAGTGTTTTACTTCCAATTATGTGGTCAATTTTAGAATAAGTGCAATGTGGTGCTGAGAAGAATGTATATTCTGTTGATTTGGGGTGGAGAGTTCTGTAGATGGTTATTAGGTCTGCTTGGTCCAGAGCTGAGTTCAAGTCCTGGATATCCTTGTGAATCTTCTGTCTCATTGATCTGCCTAATATTGACAGTGGGGTGTTAAATTCTCCCATTATTATTGTGTGGGAGTCTAGGTCTCTTTGTATGTCTCTAAGGACTTGCTTTATGAATCTGGGTGCTCCTGTATTATTGGGTGCTTACATAGTTAGGATAGTTAGCTTTTTTTTCCTCCAATCCCTTTAGTATTCACTTAAACAGTTGAGGCACAAGCAATAATAAAACTGCATTTTTTACATTACAAAAAGATTTTGTATGTTATCTGCATGATATACCAATTTTCTCAATCTCTGCTGCAATAACATCTCATTAACACTCTGGTCCACAGGTTGATTTAATAAAGTCAGAATGGCAGGTGGGAAGATGGTAAAATAAACTTACCAAGGGGCAAAAGGAACCAAACATTTACTGAGTGCCTACTATGCATGCTCTACTAGGTTTCACACACTTTTCATAAATGTGAACCCAAGTTCTAGTTATCAGTTAACAGGCCAGCATTGCTACGGCCAGTAAGTCTGTTTTAAATGTTCTTTCACTTTTAAGTATAAATTGTGGAACAAAACAATATATCTTTGCCCAAAGAAGCATGTCAACTGTTGCACTAATATATTATTTTCCATTTCCAAAGTTTTTGTTTTTAGTAAGTGTGTAACATTAGCACATGGAAATGCTCAAGCTGTGTATTAGTTCACAGAAATCTGGGTTTTTTTCATTCTCACCTGCTGAGCACCATTTGGCCAGCATCACTGCAACGAGCTGATTCTATCACCTTGTAAAATTTAAGATGGGAATGGATAGTGTTTGGCAATTACATTTCTGGGAGAAAAAAGTGCTGATTTTTTTCTTTAACTCAACACAGCTAGCTTTAAAAAGTGGTACCTCATTTTAAAGCACCAAAGTTGTCATTTAAATAAGAAAATGTACTTGGCTTAATGAACTGTAAAATGAAGACACCACTGCCTTTTTGAGCATTACAGCAAAGCCAGTATGTTCATAGCCAAGTGACACCCAGCTCATACTGCACTCCAGTTCCCAAGGAAAGGGTGTTTCTACCCTCCCCAAACTTACGCTGCCCCTCACTCCTCCAGCCAGCCCTCCTTTTTCTGAGCCCATTCTTTCCTTGCTGAGCTGTCTGCCCCTTGCTCCCTTTCCCATCCCTGTTCTCCATCTAACTGCCCCTCTATACATGTCTGGGCTGCTGCCTAAGAATTCTTAGCTGCCTGGTTAGTCACTGACCAATCACCACTACACTGCTTTAGATTTGGGATCCCACTAGTAAAACTAACTGGCATGTTTGTACTGGTCATCCCCCAAAAAAAGCATCCTGTGTAACAAAAAAGCACTGTTTAAGGGTTCAGGATCACAAACCTTCAAGATACCCAAGAAAAGTCCTCAAATGTGAGTTGCCTCGTCTAACAGTAGAGGTAAGTTCAAAGATGAAATGTGATTTGTTCAAGGCTGTGCAGCTAATCAGAGGCAGAAACTAGAACTGTTTCTCCTTCCACTACACCACAAAAAAAAAAAACCGAGATTAATAATGATTAAGAAGTTTGTAAGTCAATCAAAATAAAATGCCTAATACATAGGAAAAGTCTTTGGGATTTCTCCACAGACTTTTAGACAGAACAAAGGCAATCTTTACAATGAGAAATGCTCCTCAGTTCAACAGATGCCACCAAGTACCAAGGATCCTTACTCAGTTCTGAAACAGTGACTACGGAGAATATGTCACTATTTGAGAATAAGAGGTCCCACCTGATCCACTCTTTTCAAGTCTTCAGTCACAAGGTTGCAACTTACTCTCATCATTTAACAAGATAAATTAATCAAGCTGAAGTAGGATTAAGGAGGTACATTGAAGATAAAAGCAAAAGACAACAAACATTTTTACAAGCAGATCATCCCAGTTACCTTAAAAGTTTTGGATTAATTCACAGAGCAGTGACAGAACCATATAATTTCAGTGAAAATCAAGATAGTTATACCATTAAAAAAAAGATCAATTCAGAAATACCAAGTCAGGCAAGCATGCAAATTTCAGAATATAAAAAAATGCAGGGCCTGGTTGCCCACATACATTCCTCAGGTTAAGGTAGATTTAAAGATGCCCAACAGAACCCAATGAATCAGAAGCTAAAAGGGACACTTCAGTGATCAGCAGATGCATTCTCTCATGTAACAAATGGAGGGAAAGTGAGCACACATTAACTGGCGAAGCACACAAGGCTAGATTAGGGGTGTACAGAGATCTAACTCCTGGTGCTATTTACAACTACATATATTTAAAATACAAGGAGATAAATACCCAGAACACATTAAGCATACTGATTTAAACAGAACATTTCAAGACTGATACACAGAAAGGGAAGGAAGCTGTTAACCCAGCACAGCAGCACACCTCACATATTTATGTCTCAGAGATTAAATGGAAAGAAACGATCAATCAAAACGTTTAATGCTCAGTTTTCACAAACACAATCAAGTCTATCAAATTTCTGGATTTACAGCAAAATGTGCCCCCTAAAAACATGTACACTCTTCAGTTTCTCCTATACATTTTTTTTTGCCTATCTTTCAAAACCGAGCACTGGGTATTTTTAACATGAGCCATGTCATATGTACTGTTTAACTATGATTCAGGAATAAACAAAATCCATGATTTTTTAGTAACCCATAGTGTATTTATAGAATGAAAAGTTCTCTATCAAATTACACTTTTCACTGGGAAAAATAAATAAAATGGACAAATGGATCTACACAAAGTAAACATTAACTTTGGTAGATTTCAGTGTAGTTCATAACAAGCATATTTGCCCTTATTCCCCCAGAGCTGCTCAACTACCAAGAATTTTTAAAATATTTTTAACTGAGATTTTATTATGTTGACATTTGTTTCTCATTCCACATCATCTTCAGCCAAGCTGTGAGTACTTACAATTCTCTGACTAATTGTTGGGATCTTAGTCAGAAGCATCTGGAACACTGGTGGTGGAAGAGTTTGCTGTAAGACCTGCAGTAACTGCTGTGGCTGTCCACACACAGCAATTGCATTTGTCAGATGGTCTACACCCTTCTCATATTCACCTTGAGCTAGTAACTCTTCACCAAGCTGTATTTCTTCAAAGAAGAACTTCTGAACAGCTTCAGCATCTTTAAGGTCAGGTAACTTGGAAAGCCCAGCTCTCTCCTTGGCAAGCTTCTGTTTCTTTCTTCATTCTCGAAGCCTGTTCTTGAAGTTGGGGTCACTTCATCTTTTGTGGTCAAAGTAGATGCAGTACGCAATAAAAAGGGTCCCGCATGCACCGGCGGCGATGGCACTGTTCCGACCCACCATCTTCTCTACAGCGCTAAGCGTGGACAGTGGCAGCAGGAACCATGAAGGAGCGGTGGGCCACGAACCCTCAGAGCAGTTGGCGCAGCTCAGACCCGATGGCGTGGGCCAGGAACCTAGTTAGCTCTTCTTGTTGAATTGATCCCTTTACCATTGTGTAATGGCCTTCTTTGTCTCTTTTGATCTTTGTTGGTTTAAAGTCTGTTTTATCAGAGACTAGGATTGCCACCCCTGCTTTTTTTTGCTTTCCATTTGCTTGGTAGATCTTCCTCCATCCCTTTATTTTGAGCCTATGTGTGTCTCTGCACGTGAGATGGGTCTCCTGAATACAGCACACCAATGCATCTTGACTCTTTATCCAATTTGCCAGTCTGTGTCTTTCAATTGGAGTGTATAGCACATTTAAAGTTCATATGGAACCAAAACAAAGAGCCTGCAGAGCGAAGACAATTCTAAGCAAAAAGAACAAAGCTGGAGGCATCGTGCTACCTGACTTCAAACTATACTACAAGACTACAGTAACCAAAACTGCATGGTACTGGTACCAAAACAGATATATAGACCAATCGAACAGAACAGAAGCCTCAAAAATAACATCCCACATCTACAACTATCTGATCTTTGACAAAAATAACAAAAACAAGCAATGGGGAAAGAATTCCCTATTTAATAAATGGTGCTGGGAAAACCAGCTAGCCATATGTAGAAAGCTGAAACTGGATCCCTTCCTTACTCCTTATACAAAAATTAACTCAAGATGGATTAAACATTTAAATGTTAAGACCTAAAACCATAAAAACCCTAGAAGAAAACCCAGGAAATACCATTCAGGACATAGGCATGGGCAAGGACTTGATGACTAAAACACCAAAAGCAATGGCAACAAAAGCCAAAATCGACAAATGGGATCTAATTAAACTAAAAAGCTTCTGCACAGCAAAAGAAACTACCATCAGAGTGAACGGGCAACCTAGAGAATGGGAGAAAATTTTTGCAGTCTACCCATCTGACAAAGGGCTAATATCCAGAATCTACAAAGAACTCAAACAAATTTACAAGAAAAAACAAACAACCCTATCAAAAAGTGGTCAAAGGATATAAACAGACATTTCTCAAAAGAAGACATTTATGCAGCCAACAGACATATGAAAAAATGCTCATCGTCACTGGCCATCAGAGAAATGCAAATCAAAACCACAATGAGATACCATCTCACACCAGTTAGAATGGTGATCATTAAAAAGTCAGGAAACAATAGATGCTGGAGAGGATGTGGAGAAATAGGAATGCTTTTACACTGTTGGTGGGAGTGTAAATTAGAAGACAGTGTGACAATTCCTCAAGGATATGTAACTAGAAATACCATTTGACCCAGTGATCCCATTACTGGGTATATACCCAAAGTTTTATAAATCATGCTACTATAGAGAAACATGCACATGTATGTTTATTGTGGCACTATTCCCAATAGCAAGGTCTTGGAACCAACACAAATATCCATCAATGATAGACTGGATTAAGAAATTGTGGCACATATACACCATGGAATACTATGCAGCCATAAAAAAGGACAAGTTCAGGTCTTTTGCAGGGACAAGGATGCAGGTGGAAATCATCATTCTCAGCAAACTATCACAAGGAGAGAAAACCAAACACTGCATGTTCTCACTTATAGGTGGGGGTTGAACAATGAGAACACATGGACACAGGGCAGGGAACATCACACCTTGGGGCCTGTTAGGGGGTGGGGGGCTGGGAGAGGCATAGCATTAGGAGAAATACCTAATGTAAATGGCAAGTTGATGGGTCCAGCAAACCAACATGGCACATGTATACCTATGTAAAAAATCTGCATGTTCTGCACATGTGCCATAGAACTTAAAGAATTTAAAAAAAAAGTAAAGATGAAAAAGAGCCCCAGATTAGTCAGTGAAAAAAAAAGATAACATGTTGTATAATTTTATTTATAAGAAATACCCACAAAGGCAAAACTATAAGACAAAAAGTGAATTAGTGGTACCTACAGCATAAGTAAGAAGTGTAACAGTAATTATTCATGAAAGATAATATCAAGATGATGAAAGTGTTCTAAAACTGATTCATGGTTTTAATTGTACAACTTGGTAAATTTAATTTAGTCTCAGTTTTATTCATTTCTGCTCTCATCTTTATTATTTTTTTCCTACAAATTTTGAGTTTGGTTTGTTCTTGCTTTTCTAGTTCTTTAAGATGCATTATTAGGCTATCTCCTAGTATTGCTTTAATTGTATTCCATAGGTTTTGGTGTGTTGCATTTCCATGGTCATTTGGATCAAGAAATTTTAAAATTTTCTTCTTAATTTCTTTATTGACCTATTGGTCATTCAGGAGCATGTTGTTTAATTTCCATGTATTTGTATAGTTTCCAAAGCTCCACTTGTTATTGATTTCTAGCTTTATTTCCTTGTGATCAGAAAAATATACTTGATACCATTTGGACTTTTGAAAAATTTGATGGGACTGGTTTTGTGGCCTAACATATGGTACATCCTGAAGGTTGTTTCATGTGCGGTTACAAAGAATGTGAATTCTGCAGCTATTGGATGCAATATTCTGTAAATATCTATTACATTAATTTGGTCTATAGTGCAGATTAAGTCCAATGTTTGTTGATTATCTGTCTAGGTGATAGGTCCATTATTGAAACTGAGGTGTTGAAGTGTCCTGCTATTATCATATTGCAATATATCTCTCCCTTTAGATATATTAATATTTGCTTATATGTTTGGGTGCTACAATATTTGTCACATATATGTTTACAATTGTTATATCCTCTTGCTGAATTGACCTCTTTATCATTATATAATATAATGAACTTTCTCTTTTTACAGTTTTTGACTTAAAATCTGTTTTATCTGATATAAATATAGCTATTCTTGCTCTTTTATGGTTTATATTTGCATAAAATATCTTTTTCTATCCCTTCACTTTAAGTCTATGTTTGTCTTTATAGATTAAGTAAAATGAGTTTCTTGCAGGCAGCATACAGTTCAGTCTGGATTGTTATCCATTCAGAAACTATGTTTTTTATTTGAAAAATTTTAAATTTCAATGTTTAATGTTATTATTGATAAGTAAAGACTTACTATTGTCATTACTTGTCTGGAGTTGGGAGAGAGGTGATGCAGGCACTCCCTTGGTTGCCACAGCTTGTGTCGTGCTGGGTCACATCCCAAGTCTACAGCCTCTAAGACCAGTTGCAGAACCACACTTAGACTTGCCCAAGGATCTCAGTCACTAGTTACCTGGTTGCCACTGAAATTTATTTGAGGCCCAAGGCCACTGTAGTTAGCCAGTCATAAAGTGGGCCAGGACTTTAATTCCTCCCACTAGGGCAGTAGATTCATCTCTGGCTCAGGACTGGTCTAAATGCTCTATCCAGAAGAACCTGTGGAAATTTGTCTGGTGTTGTGTTCCACCATGACACTATGAGATAGGGCAGCACTGAGTTCCAATGCAAAGTCCCACACTCACTTTGCACTCCCTCCCTAGAGTGTACAGATTCTCTCTCTGGGCTGCACTGCCTGGGATTGGGATGGGGGTGTAAGCAACACAAGACTGTTCTTCTTTCCCTCTTCAATGCATCTTTTCTTTTTATTATGCGAAAACCAGAAACTCTGATATCTCATTTGATTTTTTACTTCTTATAAAGGTATTTTATGCGTGGAAAGTTGTTCAGTTTAATGTTCCCATAGGGGGATTGATTGCTGGAGAGTTCTATTTAGCCATCTTGCTCTGCCTCCAATTGGTAAATATAATTTTAAAAATCATTCATTCACACACTTGAAAAGGGTGCATTACATGATACACAAAATAAGCCCAAGTAGAACTATTTTAAAAACAAATAAAACTGACATGAACTTTATTGTACAAGCCTTTTTGTGTATTTACATAAGTAGGTCATTGCTGAATCCTAGGAGAGGCATGTGTTTAGATTTAATAGATAATGCCAAACAATTTTTAAAGTTTTTATACCAGTTTACACTCCCATTAGTAATATCTAAGAGTCCAAATTGCTCTACATCTTTGCCAAAATTTGGAATTGTTAGACATTTTAATTTTAGCCATTGATAATTTTCTTTATATGTTAATCATTTATTTGTTTTGCATCTATATATGTGTTTTGCATATATATATTTCACCCATTTTTCTTAGGTCTCATTTTACTTAAGATATTATTTACATTTTTGCTTGTTAGTTTTGGATTTTTTAAATTTATTTACTCATTTGCTAAAAGTGTATTGAACATCTATTTTTTACCAAGCATATACTGATAGGACCTTTTTATTTTTTTGAGACAGGTCTCACTGTCACTCAGACTGGAGTGCAGTGGCACAATCATGGCTCACTGCAGTCTTGGCATCCTGGGCTCAAACAATCTTCCTACCTAAGTCTCCCCAGTAGCTGGGACCACAGGTGTGTACCAACATGCCTGGCTATTTTTTATTTTTTATTTTTTTGCATAGATGGGAGTCTCACTATGTTTCCCAGGCTGACTTCAAACTCCTGGGCTCAAGTGACCCTCTCACATTGGCCCCCCATAGTGCTGGAATCATGGGTGTGAGCCACTGCATCTGGCCCGAGTTTCTTTTTTTTAAAAATGTTGTTGATTCATAATAATTGTAAATATCTATGGGATACATGTAATATTTTGATACATGCACAAAATGTGTATTGATCAAATCAGGGTAATTAGGACATCCATCACCTGACAAATAATAAGTATTTATCATTTCTTTGTGTTGGGAACATTCAAAATCTTCTTTTATAGCAATATTGAAATATACAATAAATTATTATGAACTATAGTCACCCTACTGTGCTGTTGAACACTAGAACTAATTCCTTCTATCTAACTGTATTTTGGTACCCATTAACTAACATTTCACTCCACTCTACCCATCCCAGCCTGATAATCATTATTCTACTCGCTATATGCATGAGATGAGTTTTTTAGTTCCCACATATTAGTGAGAACATGTGATATTCATCTTACTGTGCCTGGCTTATTTCACTTAACATAATGTTCTGCCGTTCCATCCATGTTGTTGCAAATGACAGAATTTCATTCCTTTTATAGCTGAATAATATTCCTTTGCGTGTATATGTCATACTTTCTTTATCTTTTCTTTTATTGATGGACATGGGTTGATTCCATATCTTGGGTCTTGTTAATAGTGCTGCAATACACATGAGAACGCAGAGATCTTTTCAATATACAGATTTTCTTTCTTTTGGACATGTAAGCAGCAGCGGGATTGCTGGACCATATGGTAGTTCTATTTTAAGCTTTTTGAGAAATGTTCATACTGTTTTCCATAGTGGCTGTACTAATTTACATTCCCTTCAACAGTGTATATGAGTTTCCTTTTCTTTGCATCCTTGCCAGCATTTGTTATTTATTTTTTGATAATAGTTATTTTAACTGGGATGAGATTATATCTCATTGTGGTTTTGATTTGCATTTCCCTGATGACTGGAAATATTGAGCATCATTTTTAATATACCTTGGCCATTCATTCATGTATCTTCTTTTCAGAAATTTGTATTCATATTTTTTACTATTTTTTAATCAAATTATTTGAGTTTTTTTCATTGAGTTGTTTGAGTTTCTTATATATTCTGGTTATTAATCCCTTGTCAGATGGATATTTTGAAAATATTTTTCCCATTCTGTAAGTTGTCTCTTTACCCTATTGTTTTCTTTGCTGTGCAGAAGCTTTTTAGCTTAACGTGTTCCCATTTGTCTACTTTTGCTTTTGTTGCCTGTGCTTTCGAGGGCTTAAAAAGAAAATATTTGCTCAGACCAATGTCCTAAAGCATCTTCCCAGTTTTGTCTAGTAGTTTCATAGTTTCAGGTCTTACATTTAAGTCTTTAGTTCATTTTTATTTGATTTCTGTATACGGTGAGAGATAGGGGTCCAGTTTTATTCTTTCTCATACAAATATCCAGCTTTCCCAGCATCATTTATTGAAGAGTCTGTCATTTCCCTAATGTATGTTTTCGGTGACTTTGTTGCAAATGAGTTGGCTGTAAATGTGTGGGTTTATTTCTGGGTTCTCTATTCTGTTCCATTGGTTTTTTGCGTCTGTATTTATGACAGTACCATGCAGCTTTGTAGTACATTTTGTCATCAGGCAGTGTGATGCCTCCAGCTTTGTCCTTTTTGCTCAGGATCATTTTGGCTATTTGGGATCTTTTGTAGTTTCATAAAAGTTTTAGGATATTGTTTTCTGTTTCTGTGAAGAATGTCATTGGTATTTTGATAGAGATTGCATTGAATATGTAGATTTCTTTGGGTAGTATAAACATTTTAACAATATTGATTCTTCTAATCCATAAGCATAGGATATCTTTCCATTTTGGGGTTCTCTTCATCTCTTTCATTAGTGTTTTTATAGTTTTTATTGCGTAGATCTTTCACTTCTTTGGTTAAATTTATTCCTAGATGTATTATTTTCTTGTAGCTATTGTAAATGGGATTGTTTTCTTGATTTTTTCAAATTGTCTGCTGCTGGTGTACAGAAATGCTACTAATTTATGTGTGTTGATTTTGCTTCATGCAAACTTACTTAATTTGTTAGTTCTAACAGTTTTTTTGTGGAGTCTTTAGGTTTTTCTAAATATAAGATCATGTCTTCTTTGAACAAGGATATAAATTAGCAACTTCCTTTCCAATATGTATGTCCTTTATTTTTTTCTCTTGCAAAATTGCTCTGGGTAGGACTTCCAGTACTATATTGAATATGGTCTTTAAAATATTTTTCTCTACACTTTATATTATGATAAAATATACATAACATAATATTTACCATTTTACCTATTTTTAAATCTACATTTCAGGAGCATTAAGTACAATCACACTGCTGTGAACCATCATCACCATACATCTCCAGAATATTTTCTTTTTCTTGAACTGAAACTCCATACACATTGAACAATAACTTCCTTTCCTCCCTACCCCAAGCCTCTGAAAACCATGTTTCTACTTTCTGTCTCTGTGAATTTGACTGCTCTAGATACCTAATTAAAGTAGAATCATACAATATTTGTTCTTTTGTATCTGGTATTTTCACTTAAAGGAAAAATTTATCTATAAACTGACAGAATTTAGAAATAAATACAACAATATGTAAACAGTTTTAATATCTGTGATAGTAACAAATTCTTTAAATCTGGAAAATAATAGTCACTTAAAATTTTAAAAAATTGTTCAATTAATAAATGATCCAAGTTAGAAATATGAACAAAATAAACCTCACCAATAATTACTATAGAGAGGAAATTTTAATTACTGCAAAGCTTTCCATCCTATAAATACATTATCAAATAGTTTAACCATTTCTTTAATGCTGAGATTTAGATTATTTCCAATTAACTCAAAAGCATCAAGCAAATGTTATGATTTCTAAGAATAAACATAACTTTCCATTTTGGCTTTTGTATATATGTATATTTCTAACGGCTGTTAAAGCCAGCATTAAGAAGGAGAAGCAGAAAGTCAGTATTGGGACTGGGGTTATTTATAAGCCAGGCAACTGGTTAATTGTGGTTAATTGTCTGGTATGTTTACTAGTCACGTAGTTGTATACACCATACTAGTTTTTCATCACAGGCCCTCATTCGCCCCCACTGCCATCGGACTTCCTCCTCCTCCCCTCACAGGAAATGTTTCGAGAATTTTTCAACCTAAAATCATATAGCTTGTGAAAAATACCGACAAACATAATATAGAATATTTAAATAACTGACACGCCACCTAAAGACCATCAGTGCTAATTCCTGGTGTTTTTAATCTTTGAAGCGTTTGTTTATCAGCTCTTCCACCATCCACCTCTCCCCTCCCCAGGTCCCCGATCTAAAATCAAAGAGATTGATTTAGGATGGGTGGGTGCCTTGTCTTCTCTCATTGTTCGACATTTTAGTTACGTTTTCTCTGAGCTCTCTGGAAAGCATAAAAGTATAATATCTGTTAAAAGTTGGATGAATGAACTAATGAACGCAATGGGATTCCAGAAAACTCTGCGGGAGATGGGCTAGAGGACGAGGAGGAGGTGGATGAATCAGCCATGTTAGAGAGCCTGGGAAGGTGAGCAGAGTTGAAAACTTGATAGATCTAATAATTTACTGGCTCTGGGTTTGTCAGTCACTACATTGCAGCAAATGAGATTAGAGCATAGTTGTGGGAGGGAAGGAGGTGACGCAGCAATCTATTTGCACCTAGAAATTTTAGGCAAGTGATAGCTGCGTAATCATACTGCGGCACCGTTTTTTTCTTGCAGCAGTAGCTGCTTGCGGAGGAGGTCTGCCCACTGCAGCTCTCTGCAGTCTCCGGCTCTCTCCTGCAGGATCGGTCAACGCAGCCGTCGCCGCCCTCTGCACCCAGCCCAGGTCGCCACTGCTTCAGTCCGGTTCTCAAAGCCTCAGCACCATCTTTTATCCCCGAGCAGCCTGGATCGTCGTTCCCTCAGTCCGGACGCCACTGCTAGGTCCGACCACCGCCGCTTCTGATATTTCGGTGAGTCTTTTCCTGTGGAGGTTTGGTCTCCCGATCTCTGTGGTAGCCACCTTAGGCGTGTACGGTCCTTTGAAAAATGGCCGAGTCAGAGAACCGCAAGGAGCTGTCAGAATCCAGTCAAGAAGAGGCTGGTAATCAGATAATGGTGGAAGGGCTCGGGGAACATCTGGAGCGCGGTGAAGATGCCGCTGCTGGGCTTGGAGACGATGGGAAGTGCGGTGAAGAAGCTGCCGCTGGGCTTGGGGAAGAAGGGGAAAACGGTGAAGATACTGCTGCTGGGTCCGGGGAAGATGGGAAAAAAGGTGGCGATACTGATGAGGACTCAGAGGCAGACCGTCCAAAAGGACTTATCGGTTATGTTTTAGATACAGACTTTGTTGAAAGTCTACCTGTGAAAGTTAAGTACCGTGTGTTAGCCCTTAAAAAGCTTCAAACTAGAGCGGCCAATTTAGAATCCAAATTCCTGAGGGAATTTCATGACATTGAAAGAAAGTTTGCTGAAATGTACCAACCCTTACTGGAAAAAAGACGTCAGATCATCAATGCAATCTATGAACCTACAGAAGAGGAATGTGAATATAAATCAGACTCTGAGGACTGTGATGATGAGGAAATGTGTCATGAAGAGATGTATGGTAATGAGGAGGGTATGGTACATGAATATGTGGATGAGGACGATGGTTATGAGGACTATTATTATGATTATGCTGTGGAAGAGGAGGAGGAGGAGGAGGAGGAGGACGACATTGAGGCTACTGGAGAAGAGAATAAAGAAGAGGAGGATCCTAAGGGAATTCCTGATTTTTGGCTAACTGTTTTAAAAAACGTTGATACACTCACTCCTTTGATTAAGAAATATGATGAGCCTATTCTGAAGCTCCTGACAGATATTAAAGTTAAGCTTTCAGATCCTGGCGAGCCCCTCAGTTTCACACTAGAATTTCACTTCAAACCCAATGAATATTTCAAAAATGAGTTGTTGACAAAGACCTATGTGCTGAAGTCAAAGCTAGCATATTATGATCCCCATCCCTATAGGGGAACTGCGATTGAGTATTCCACAGGCTGTGAGATAGATTGGAATGAAGGAAAGAATGTCACTTTGAAAACCATCAAGAAGAAACAGAAACATCGGATCTGGGGAACAATCCGAACTGTAACTGAAGATTTTCCCAAGGATTCATTTTTCAATTTTTTCTCTCCTCATGGAATCACCTCAAATGGAAGGGATGGAAATGATGATTTTTTACTTGGTCACAATTTACGTACTTACATAATTCCAAGATCAGTATTATTTTTCTCAGGTGATGCACTGGAATCTCAGCAGGAGGGGGTAGTTAGAGAAGTTAATGATGCAATTTATGACAAAATTATTTATGATAATTGGATGGCTGCAATTGAGGAAGTTAAAGCTTGTTGCAAAAACCTTGAGGCATTAGTAGAAGACATTGATCGTTAGAGCAGAGTATACATGGCCCTGAAATTAACTGCCCTAGATATAGTTACTCAAGGTATAAGAAGCCTTGTGTTCTGTATTTTTCTTGTAGTGTTAGTTAAAACATATGTTTCAAAAATATAAGAAAAGTTCAAAAACTAATTAATTTGACCTTGAGTTTTAGTAGTAGAATGTTTTCAAGAAATGTACACTGTGGTAAATGATTTAAAACACTAGTATAGTGTTGTGTAGCTTAATCCTTCTGAAGTCTTTTTGTCATGTAGCTATTAATCTGTGGCTATGAAATGATCAGAAATGCTAAGTGAGATCAATATTTGTTTGGAAAAAAAATCTTGGGAAACAACCCAAGGGTTTTCGCTGTTGTTGTTTTTCTTTTTCTATTTTTGTTTACTTAGTCCTTTAGCTAGTGGATTTAATTTTGTTGTGCCTGCTTCATTTTGCAATAACAATGCAGTAGAATTTAAAACTTGGATGCTTAAGAGGCCTGCATATAGATAAGAATTTCAGGCAAAACTACATTTATTGTTAATAACAGCTTGTTCATAGGCTCTTGTATTTTATGTAACTGTGATAAATAATGAAACTTAGTTATATTGAGGTTATTGTTTGTCGGTGAAGTGTTAGTCACAGTATTTTCAAAAGTTTGCACATATTGTTCTGTGTAATTGTGTAAGCCATAATTACAGTGTTTAATTCTCTTTTCCTATTACATCATTCATTGAAAGTGATCACTTTACCATTTTGAAAAGATATTTCGTGTTCTTTCACTGCAAAATAAAAAGAATAAAAATTTCAGAGTGTCTCATGTTTAAAACTTAATGTATTTCTTGTTATAAAAGTAATATGTTCATTGGGGGACATTTGGGCAATACTGAAAAAATTCATTAATTAAACACAAAATCCATATACCACCCACCTACCCCAAAATAAGCACTGTTAATGTTTTGATTTATTTTCTACAATTATATTTCTATATGTTTATACACGCATGCAGATTTACTAAGACTATACTAAAATGTGCAAAGAAAGTATACCTTTCTTAGTGTTTATAATTGATCTGTTCATAATCTCAAGTCTACTTTCACTACACAAGGTTGCAGGGAAACAAAATTCTCAATTCTAATCAATCCAGTAATCTCAGTGCTATTTAATAATTTAAGCACCCTTTTGAAATAACAGGTTCCTGTGTGTTAGTTTGTATTTCATATTTCTTGCCTACCCTTCCACAGTGTCATCTGGATATATATGGGATTGCATTACTAATTGTGGCTGGGCTTGGAGTGCAGTGCCCTGATTCAGGAAAATGGGATGTGGTTGATCAGACCCTTGTCCCAGAGCTGACTTTGCCTTTCTTGCATGTGGAAACAGGCTTTGCTTCTCCCTTTGGCAGACTCTGAAAAGGTCACATTCATACCTCTAGTACAAGAGAGAACTTCTTGGTCCCCTCCATGCCACGTGGGAACTGAGAGTGACTAGGAAATGCTAACTCTGTCTCTTTATTGCTGCCTATCCACTCTTCCATCCCAGGTGGTTGGATGGATGTGATCTTGCACAAATATAAACCAAAAGTGGAGCAGAAGTTCTGTCTGTGACTTATTCTTCCACTATTAAACATGCCTCCTCCTTCAGATCTTGACCCAGACAGGTAAGTTTATAGCAGTGCCAACTTTTCATATTTCTGTTTCATACCTCTCTACAATCAACTGAGGAAGAAATTATGAGCTTTTTCTTTCCTTTTCCTGTCTGTACAGGACTCTCCTCTAATGTTAAATCTTTCTCCCAAAGACGGGGTAGATGTTCCCTGCTTTTCCCTGTGGTTGCAATAGTTGACAGGATATGGGGAAACAGACAACTTACTATTATAAGGAAATCTAAATAAGGAGATACTTTCTATGTATGCCTGGTAAGTATAGACTTATTTTAACACTTTTCAACACCATTAATCTTGACGTCTGTGAAATTATTGACTCTCCGCAGTCCCCTGTCACACACAGAGATTGGGCCCCTTTTAATTGTCTCTACTGTTGTTGCGCATTAAAAAGTCAGGGACATGGGTGTATCACTCCTGGTATTTCACAGAGGAGACTCAGACATTTTGCAGTTTCTCCTATACCTTTCTCTTACCTTCATTAGACAGAATAGTAAAGATGCTTCTGGGTTTGCTCTGAGGGCAAGCCAGACCCCTTTGCTCTAACTCTCATGTCAATGGCCTCCAGCCAAAGGCAAAGATATACCTATAGGTGAAGAAGTTGGGTTTATTCTTCACTGCAGTGAGAGAGAACATGCTTCAGGGAACCATGGAATGTATCAGTAAGTGGGTGTTAGAAAAAACACTGGGTTGTAAGATTTGGTGGTGGGTCCAAGGAAAATAAGGTTTACTCTAGATCCGATGCTGACAGAAAATGTGGGCAATTTTATGATTGGTAGTTCAATAAATCTTATCCATAGGGAGGGGAGACTAGAACAAGGATAGCCTGGGCAGGGTGGGGGAGGTGTTTGTATGTCGTGGGTGGCACAGTGACCTTGTTTTTGTCTCTGCTTAGACAAAATTAAGTGGTCTTGCTTTGTCTCATTTTATCATAGTCCCAGAGTTACCCTATGGTTGGTATTCTATGAAATAGTTTGTGTCCAATAGGAGAATAGCCTGGCCTAGCTGTGAGTGCCAGGCTAGCTTCCTAAAGTTAGGAACTGTTCCTTATTTTTCTTTCTCTTTTGCCTCTTCTTAGGAATACAATTTGAGCCTCTCATCCCTCCCACAGCTTGTGGAGGGAGGTTCATTCAATTGGTTTTAGACTAGTGTAAAAACACTTTGGGCTTTGAGGGTAGGCCACCAGCTTCAGTCCACATACCATACAGTTCTGTACTAAGGTTAAGAACCTATGTGTGACAAATCAAGTTTTACCTTTGTTCTCTTCATATTTGTCTTAAAAAATTAATCATTATATGGTCCTGGAGGCGTCATAGAGGTGGCTGTTGGGCCTTGTTAGAATTTTGATATTCCCAGGGAATATACTGAAATACAAATATACAATAAAATTCCATTTTGGGATACATGGTAACTTATAGTTCAGAATGATTAGTCATTCTAAACTGCCTGGATTCAAATCCCAATTCTGCAACCTGTTAGTTGAGTGACTTTGTCCAAGTTACTTTATGTATCTCTGTTTTCATACCTGTCAAAATGTAATAATTGTGCATCTACCTCATAAAATTATTATGAAGAATTAATTAGTTTATGTGCTTAGGAATATGCTTGGCACATAAATGCTATATAGATATATGTATTTTGTTATTTTTATAACTAAGTTTGTATCTCTAAAATACTCAAAATGGGTATACAGTAAAGGCAGAGTAAATTCTTTTTTGGGGGAGGGGACAGGTCTCACTCTGTCACCCACACTGAAGTGCAGTGGTGTGATCATGGCTCACTACAGCCTCGACCTCCCAGGCCCAAGCAATCCTTGCACCTCAGCCTCCTGAGTAGCGGGGACCACACACACCATTTGGAAGTCTGATGTGTATAAATATATGTCTGTACATGTATACAAGAAGTGGTGCATATAAAGTGAATATTACTGGTTCTGACACCTGCTGAGCACTTTCATGTCACTACTAGTGTAGGTATATTTGGAAGAAAAAGTAGATCATGTGTTAACTATCTAGTAGTAGTTCACTGCCTCTGTAATATAGAGAACCTGTTAATTTAAACCTTACACAAAAGATTCTGTACCCCGATTTGAATGTATCACTTGGCAATGAGAAAAAAGCTATCCTACCAGTTTTATTTGATTAGTGCTGAAATAAAAATTTCACAAAGCAAC
Organism: Homo sapiens; assembly: GCF_000001405.40. Taxonomy (NCBI): domain Eukaryota; kingdom Metazoa; phylum Chordata; class Mammalia; order Primates; family Hominidae; genus Homo; species Homo sapiens. Next base: position 73,209,291 of record NC_000023.11, on the reverse strand, counting down.
TTGACAAAAATGGTAAAGGTAACTGTACATTTCTATTAAATTTTATATTCCACACTTAACTTACTAGTAGGCTCTTTTTTATTATTATTATTATGGAGTTTCACTATTTTTGCCCAGGCTGGAGTGCAAATGGCGCGATCTCGGCTCACTGCAACCTCCGCCTCCCAGGTTTAAGTGATTCTCCTGCCTCAACCTACCGAGTAGCTGGAATTACAGGCATGCACCACCATGCCCCACTAATTTTTGTATTTTTAGTAGAGACGGGGTTTCACCATGTTGGCCAGGCTGGTCTTGAACTCCTGAACTCAGGTGATCTGCCTGCCTTGGCCTCCCAAAGTGCTGAGATTACAGGCATGAGCTACCATGCCCAGCCGGCTCTCTCACTCACACACATACACACACACACACGCACACACACACACACACACACACGCATGCAAACACACACAGACACACAGGACAATATGATCCAGAGTGAGAGAAGTTCGTAGAGAGATTCCCAACAGGTGGAATCAATATCAGTGGTGCTTTGTCACTTAATATTTCTCCATCAGTTTTCAAGGTGAAGAGAGGTAATAAAAAGTGATATTTTGTACGTGTGTGCATGCTCGCATCTGTGCATGTATGTGCATATTTCACTGAGGAATGTACTGGCAATAAGTAGTAATAATATTTAGATAATAATCTTTGTTATCCAAAATATCACCTAGAATTTGTCAGGAATCCTATGGATAAGGGAAGACTGAATGATTTGTAATGAGTTCTCTTCTCCACTATGACGATGTAATTTTTATTTTATAGCTTAGAGGAATGGAAAAGCTTTTCCTTGCCAAGACTCATGTCATCCAATTCAAAGCATTTACATTTCATGTTCAAGCATTAAACTTGCATACTCTTACCATAACATGGTGTTTGTAGAACATTTCAGCATTATGTTCTTAGCAGAGTGAGTTTGGACAGGGGTGCTTATCTCCATTCTTCAGATGAGAAATCTGAGATGTAGGCATTGTAACTTGCCAGTATCATCCAACTAGTAAAGGAGAACTCAGCTCTGATCTTACTGCTCGTGCTCTTTTCACCATACTATGCTGCCTTCTGTGAAACTGAATGATGCTGCTAGTTTGTTTAATATTTAAAAATCCCTCTATGATTATTAAAACTGCCCAAGGCCAGGTGCAGTGGGTCACACCTGTAATCCCAGCACTTTGGGAGGCCGAGAAGGGTGGATCACCTGAGGTCGGGAGTTCGAGACAAGCTTGACCAACATGAAGAAACCCCATCTCTACTAAAAATACAAAAATTAGCTGGGCGTGGTGGCGCATGCCTGTAGTCCCAGCTACTCGGGAGGCTGAGCCAGGAAAATCACTTGAAACCAGGAGGCAGAGGTAGCAGTGAGCCGACATTGTGCCATTGCACTCCTGCCTGAGCAACAAGAGTGAAACTCCATCTCAAAAAAAGAAAAAAAAAAACTGCCCAAAACTAGCACAGGAATGGATATTAACTTATACTCCTTTGTCAGGTTTATTATCTCATAGACTTAGAACTTTTAACAGCCTAGCTGAAGCTTTTTAATAAAACATCCCAATACAGCTTTAAAATATGAAAACCTTACAGGAATTAATTAAATCTCATTTTATCTAAGATATTCTCTAACGTAGACTTTCCTAAAGTGGCCTATTTTTTCTCACATAATCATAGATTTAATTTAAGTTATTTGCCTTTTTAAAACATCAATTTTTTTCTGGATGATTGCCTCTCTGTGAAACTTGTATATTATGTGACCTGGAACAAACTAATAAATCCCATTTTTCAGCAGTTTCCTCATCTGTACAAGGGAGATAATTAGTAGTGCCTACATATATAACATATATATATGTATATATATGTGTGTGTGTATATATATATACTATATGATTCTTTTGATGATTTGTTGTAATAATGACTGTCAAGCACTTAGCACAATGCCTGGTACTTAGTAATCCCTAAAACACTATGTGATTATGACTGTAATTACCATAATCACCTCTTAGGATTGTTATGAGGATAAAATTGTAATATGATGTGATACATAGTAGGAACTTAACAAATTATAGCTACTCTTTTGTAGGTTTATACCTCTGGAAGTGATCACAAGCAGAAAGGAATGTGAGATGATTGTCACTTTATGTTTTTTAATTTTTTATTTGGAATAATTATAGACTCAGCAGGAGATGAAAAAATAGAACATAGAATCGCATTAGCTTTGTAGGTTTAAGCTTTCTGACAAATTTTGAAAATGTTCAGCATTTTTTTCATTGAATTATATCTGCTATTCAACTTTCTTTTTGTAACTCTGATGACATAAATGTTAGATCTTTTGTTATTGTCACAGCTCTTATGATTCTTTTCATTTTTTTCAGTCTGTTTTCCTTTGTTGTTCAATTAGGACAACCTATTTATCCGTTTTCAAGTTCACTAATTCTGTCCTGCCATCTACATTTTCCTGTGGAGCCAATCCAGTGAGATTTTTGTGTTAGTTATTTTATTTTTTTCAATTTTGTAATTTTCATTTTGTTTATTTTTACAACTTCTATTTCTTTGCTGAGATGTTATATTATTCATATGTTTCAAGAGTGTTCATAATCGCTTGTTGAAGCATCTAATGATGTCTGCTTTAACATCCTTGTCAGATAATTTCAACAGCTGAGTCATCTTGGTGTTGGCATCTGTTGACTGTCTTTGCTCATTCAAGATGTGGTTTTCTGATATTTCATATGATGAGTTATATTCATTATATCCTGGACATTTTGAGTATTGTTATGAGACACTGGATCCCATTTAAATTTTATATTTTAGCAAGACGTCACTCAGTTTAGGTTTAGTGTCTCTGTATTGGTTTACTTGTTTTTGATGACCTTCATGATTTTAAAGAGAAGTAGTTAGGCCCTTTGTAGAATGTCCCTCAATTCAGATTTGTCTAATGTTTGTCTCATAGAGCAGGTTTATGTGTTTTAGGAAGATTACAGAGATGACATGTCTTCTGCATCATGTCATATTGAGGGAAAATCTTATCAATATGACATAACTGATTATGTTAACTCTAATCACCTAATTGAGGTCGTGTTTGCCAGTTCTCTCCACTGTAAAGTTACATTCATCCCCACCTCCACTTTCCATAATGTTACTCTTTAGGAGCCTGTTACCAAATGTAGTCTACACTTAAGGGGTAAGGATTTGTGCTACATCTCCTAAAAGGGTGTCCACATAAATTAGTTGGAATTATTATTTACAGAAAATTGTCTCTTTTTCACTATTTAAGCATTTTTTAAAAATATCAGGATGGACACATGGATATGTATTTTATGATTTTTTTCTTTTTTACACAAGGTATTTCAGCTTTGGCCATTGATGGAAGCTCTTTTAGTTTTTTCCTCGCGTCCTTAGGTATATCCTTATTTGTGTGTTTGTGTCTGTGTCTGTGTGTGTGTATGTGTTACCCACATTTTTACTTTCTGGCACTACAAGATGCTTCAGGCTCATCTTCTATATTTTCTATCCCAGTCCTAGAATCAGCCATTTCCCCAAGGAGCCCTTGTTCCTTTTATTGGTGAATGGAATCAGAAACCAACTACTATTTATTATTCTTAGACAATAATTATAAAATATGTAATAATATTTAATTATTTAAGAATGAGTAATCATTAATTATACAAAGCATAATTTGCTTATCTATTAATCAATGAATGGACATTTGGGTTTTCTCCCCACCTTTTACCTATTGTGAATAATGCTGCTACAATCATGGGTGTACAACTATCTGTTTGAGCTCTGCTTTGAAATTTTGGGGCATATATCCAGCAGTGGAATTGCTGAATCATATAATAATTCTTTTTAACTTTTTGAGGAACTGCTGTACTGTTTTCTACTGAGGCTGCACCATTTCACATTTCCATCAGTAAATTACAAGGCTTCCAATTTCTTTATATCCTTGCCAACACATGTCATTTTCTGCTTTTAATGGCCATTGTAATGGTTATAAAGTTGTTTTTCATTGTAGTTTTTGTTCAATTTTTCAGACTTATTAGTGATGCTGAGAATGTTTTCAGGTGCTTCTTGTTAATTTGTGTATCGTCTTTGGAGAAGTGTCTATTCAAGTCCTTTGCCTCTTTCTATTTTAGAATTTTTTTCCTTGTTGATGATGAATTGTAGGAATTCTTGCTTATGTTCTGAATACTAATTCCTTATCACATATATGGTTTCAAATACACTCACACCTGGAAGATATTGCGGGTTCAGTTTCAGAACACTGCAGTAAAGCAAGTAATACAATTTATTTTTTGGCTTCCCAGTGAATATGAATTATGCTTATAATATACTATAATCTATTAAATGTGCAATAACATATGTATAAAAAACAATGTACATACCTGAATTAAAAATACTTTACTGCTAAAAAATGCTAACAATCATCTGAGCCTTCAGCGAGTTATAATCTTTTGGTGGTGAAAGGTGTTACCTTGATGTTGATGGCTGCTGACTGATCAAGGCGGTGATTTCCAAAGGTTGGGGTGCCTGTGGCAATATCTTAAAATAAGACAATGGTGAAGTTTGCTCCATCAAATGACATTTCCTTTCATAAAAGATTTCTCCATAGTATGTCATGATATTTGATAGCATTTTACCCTCAGAACTTCTTTCAAAATTGGAGTCAATTCTCTTCAACCCTGCTGCTGCTTTATCAACTAAATTTATGTAACATTCTAAATCCTTTGTTGTCATTTCCACAATTTTCACAGTGTCTTCAGCAGGAGTAGATTCCATCTCAGAAACCACATTTTTTGTTCACCCATCAGAAGCCACTCCTCATTCATTCAAGTTTTTATCACACAATTTCAGCAATTCAGACACATCTTTAGGCTCCACTTCTAACTCTAGTCCTCTTTTGACTTTCCTCACATCTGCAGTGACTTTCTCCATGAAAATCTTGAACCCCTCAAAGTCATTCATAAGGACTGGAATCACTTTCTTCCAAACTCCTGTTAACGTTGATATTTTGACCTCCTCCCATGAATCACACATTTTCTTAATGGTAAATCCTTTCCAAATGGCATCTAGAGTGATGAATCCTTTCCAGAAGGCTTTCAGTGTACTTCTCCCAGATACATTAGCAGAATCACTATCTGTTATGGTTTGGCTGTGTCCCCACCCAAATCTCATTTTGAATTATAGCTCCCATAATTCCCATGTGTTGTGGGAGGGGCCCAGTGGGATCTAATTGAATCATGGGGGCAGTTTCCCACATGCTGTTCTCATGGTAATAAATCTCACAAGATCTGATGGTTTTATAAGGGATTTCCCTTTTCACTTGGTTCTCATTCTCTCTCTTGTCTGCCACCATGTAAGAAGGGCCTTTCACTTTCTGCCATGGTTGTGCAGCCTCCCCAGCCACATGGAACTGCAATTCCATTAAACCTCTTTTTCTTTATACCAGTATCAGGTATGTCTTTATCAGCAGTGTGAAAATGGACTAATACAGTAAATTAGTACTGGTAGAGTGGGATGCTGCTGGAAAGATACCCTAAAATGTGGAAGTGACTTTGGAACTGGGTAATAGGCAGAGGTGGAACAGTTTGGAGAGCTCAGAAGAAGACAGAAAGATGTGGGAAAGTCTAGAACTTCCTAGACACTTGTTGAATGGCTTTAACAAAAATGCTGATAATGATATGAACAGTGAAATCCAGGCTGAGGTGGTCTCAGATGGAGATGAGGAACTTGTTGGGAACTGGAATAAAGGTGACTCTTGCTCTGTTTTAGCAAAGAGACTGCCAGCATTTTGCCCTGCTCTAGAGATTTGTGGAACTTTGAACTTGAGGGAGATGATTTAGGGTATCTGGCAGAAAAAAATTTCTCAGCAGCAAAGCATTCAAGATGTGACTTGGGTGCTGTTAAAAGCATTCAGTTTTAAAAGGGAAACGGAACATAAAAGTTCAGAAAATTTGCAGCCTGACAATGTGTTAGAAAAGAAAATCCCATTTTCTGAGGAGAAATTCATGCTGGCTGCAAAAATTTGCATAAATAACAAGGAGCCAAATGCTAATCACCTAAACAATAGGGGAAATGTCTCCAGAGCATGTCAGAGACCTTTGTGGCAGCCCCTTCCATCACAGGCCTGGACGTCTAGGAGGATAAAATGGTTTCTCAGGATGGGCCCAAGGACCCCTGTTCTGTACAGCCTAGGGACTTGGTGCCCTGTGTCCCAGCTGTTCTAGCCATGGCTAAAAGGGGCCAAGGTACAGCTCAGGCCATGGCTTCATAGGGTGCAAGCCCCAAGTCTTAGCAACTTCCATGTGGTGTTGAGCCTGCGGGTGCATACAAGTCAAGAATTGAGGTCTGGGAACCTCTCCCTTGATTTCACAGGATGTATGGAAATGCCTGGATGTCCCAGCAGAGGTGCTTTAGGGGTAGAGCCCTCATAGAGAACCTCTGCTAGGGCAATGCAGAAGGGAAATGGGTGCAAGCCCCCACACAGAGTCCCCACTGGGGCACTGCCTAGTGGAGCTGTGAGAAGAAAGCCCCGATCCTCAAGACCCCAGAATAGTAGATCTACCAATGGTTTTCACTGTGCGCTTGGAAAAGCCACAGACACTTAATTCCAGCCCATGAAAGCAGCTTGGAGGGGGGCTGTACCCTGCAAAGCCACAGGGGTGGAGCTGCTCAAGACCATGGGAACCCAACTCTTGCATCAGCATGACCTGGATGTGAAACATGGAGTCAAAGGAGACCATTTTGGAACTTTAATGTTGAATGACTGACCTATTGGATATCGGACTTGCATGGTGCCTGTAGCCCTTTTGTTTTGGACAATTTCTCCCATTTGGAACAGGTGTAGCTATACAATGCTTGTATCCCCATTGTATCTAGGAAGTAACTAACTTGCTTTGGTTTTACAGGCTAATAGGTGGAAGGGACATCTCTTGTCTCAGATGAGACTTTGGACTGTGGACTTTTGAGTCAATCTTGAAATGAGTTAAGACTTTAGGAGACTGTTGGGAAGGTGTAATTGGTTTTAAAATGTGAGGACATGAGATTTGGACAGGGCCAGGGGTGGAATGATATGGTTTGGCTCTGTCCCCATCCAAATCCCATCTTGAATTGTAGCTCCCATAATTCCCCCATGTTGTGGGAGAGACACTGTGGGAGATAATTGAATTATGGCGACGTTTTCCCCCATACTGTTCTCAAGGTAAAGAATAAGTCTCATGAGATCTGATGGTTTCACAAGGGGTTTTCTTTTTCACTTGGTTCACATTCTGTCTTTTGACTGCCACCATGTAAAGCATGCCTTTCACCTTCAACCATGATTGTGAGAACACATGGAACTGTGAGTCCATTAAACCTCTTTTACTTTATAAATTACCCATTCTTGGGTATGTCCTTATCAACAGTGTGAAAATGGACTAATACACTATGGTAGTTTTGTTTTATATAATGTATTTCTTAAATAATAAGACTTGAAAGTCAAAATTACTTCTTGATCCATGGGCTGTAGAATGGTGTTGTGTTAGCAGGCTTGAAAACATTACTCTCCTGGCATATGTCAATCAGAGTTCTTGAGTCACCAGGTACATTGTCAATGAGTAATAATATTTTCGAAGAAATATTTTTCCCTAAGAAGTAGCGTTCTGCGATGGGCTTAAAATATTCAGTATATCATGCTGTAAACAAATGTGCTGTCATCCAGGCTTTGTTTTTGCATTTAGTCCGCACAGGTGGACTAGATTTACTATAATTCTTAAAGGCCCTAGGATTTTCAGGATGGTAAATGAGCATTGGTTTCAACCTAAAGCCACCAGCTGCATTAGCTCTTAACAAGAGGGTGAACCTGTTTTTTTGAAGCTTTGAAGCCAGGCATTGACTTCTTCCTATCTATGGAAGTTCTAGATGGCATCTTCTTCCAATATAAGGCTGTTTTATCTACATAGAAAATCTGTAGCTTAGTTAGCCACCTTCATCAGTATCTTAGCTAGATATTCCGGGTAACATGCTGCAGCTTCTACATCAGCACTTGCTGCTTCACTTTGCACTTCATGTTGTTTCTTTCCTTAAAACTCATGAACTAAGCTCTACTAGTTTCCAACTTTTCTTCTGTGGCTTCCTTACCTCTGTCAGCTTCATAGAATTGAAGAGAGTTAGGGCCTTGCTCTGGATGAGCCTTTGGGTTAAGGGAATATTATGACTCATTTTATCTTCCATCCAGATTACTAAGCTTTCTCCATATTAATAATAATAATGTTTATTATTATTATTATTCATGTTAGCTTGTGTGAAGTTCACTGAAGTAGCACTTTTAATTTTCTTCAAGAACTTTGTCTTTGCGTTCACAACTTGACTGTTTGGCACAAGATGCTGAGTTTTGTCCTCTCTCAGCTTTAGAGATGCCCTTCTCACCAAGCTTAATCATTTCTAGCTATTGATTTAAGTGAAAGATGTACCACTTTCTTTCACCTGTACCGCTAGAGGCCATTGTAGGGTTATTAACTGACCTAATTTCAATATTATCATGTCACCTGAAATAGGCAGGCCTTAGGAAAGGGAGAAAAATGAAGGAATAGCCAGTTGGTGGAGCAATCAGAGCACCCACAATATTTATTGATTAAGTTTGTGGTGCTCAAAACAATTACAACAGTAACATCAAAGAGCACTGATTACAGCTTATAATAACAGATATAATGGTAATTATATTACTATTATATTAATCGTATTACTGAAAATGTTTGAAATGTTATCAGAATTACTGAAATGTGCCACAAAGACACAAAATGAGCACATTCTACTGGAAATATAGAACCAATTGAATTTCTTGCTGCAGGGTTGCTACAAACTTTTAATCTGTAAAAATCTCAATATCTGCAGAGCTCAATAAAGCAAAGTAAAATAAAACAAGATATGTTTTTTTCTCCCATTCTGTAGATTTCCTTCTATGTGTTGAGCTACTATAATCTTGAGCTACATAAACATAAGCAGGTTGTTAAAACCATTTAAACTAAGGAATTTATAGACTTTGTTGTGCTGTCCTAAGGTGGCTAATTTAAGAAAATGTATATGTTTATCTGCATAAACCTCATAGCTGGGAACACTATACCCAAAAGGCTTTATCACTAGGTATTAGGATATCTTCTTGGTAAGTTTATTTTAATTCTATGGGAAGCAGAAAATTTTTATAGTTGAGATGAATGGAAAGGGGCCAGGGGCAAAGTCCATTGAATTGATGGTAATAACCCAGGGGGTAAAGCTCCTTATTTTTCCAGCTTTTTAGGAATTTGTTTGCCCATCCTTGATTTGGAGGATCTGAATTAATTCTGTCTCTCAAAATCAGCCATTATAATCTCACACACCCACCTCTTCTGCGATAGTCCCTGGACCTAGAGAGAAAGGTGCTTATATAATTTAGGCACCAGGGGTTTAGCAATGAAAATACATTGGGTTTAGTGGGATTTGAAGTAATTTTTAAATTTTGAACCTAACAGATACACATGCAGTTATTTCCACTCTTCCTTCCACTTTCAAAAGGCAGAGATGCCTCTCCCCATGGCCACCACCACCACAGTTCCTGGGGTGTACTGACAGACTACCACCAATGTTTCCTTAAGGCCAAAAGCCTCTTCAGTTAGTTTGCATGAATGCTACCTGGTGCCCTTCAGGGCAGCAGGTTCCCCTCTGGCACAAGGCAGATCCAGAAATGCCATCCAAGAGCCAATTCCAGGAATTAGAGACTCCAAGAGCCTGCTTGGTCCTCTACCGCCCTGTAGTCAAAACTTGAGTTCTTGCAAGCTTTGCCATTATGGGCTACATGCTCTGGGGCCTCTAAGGTGTTCTTGTACCTTAGGTGGTGCCAAAGGTGCAAGACAAAGTTCTCTTTGCCTTTCCTTCTGCTTTTCTCATGTGGAAGGAGTCTTGCTCCATAGCCACCACAGCTGGAAATGTGCTGATTCTCACCAGAAACCAGCAAGTCCCAAGGCTCAACCAAGGCTCTCACTGTAATACATGGGTATTGCTTCTGATTATTCAGGGCTCAAGAGCTCTTCAGTTAGCAAGTGGTGAATCCTGCTGAGACTGGGTCCTTCCCTTCAAAGCAGCATGTATCCTTCTTACCCGGGGTGTGTCTAGAAATATTGTCCAGGAGCTAGGGCTTGGAAAGGTGGCCCTATGACTCTGACTGTTACTCTTTTCTACTGTGGCTGAGCAGATATCCAAGATGCAAAACAAAGTTCTTCCCACTCTTCTGTCTCCTCAAGCAGAGGGAAGGGGTCTCTTTTGTAGCCATGAGTTCTACAGCCTGGGGTTAGGGAGGGGTGATGCCAACACTCCCTTATTGCCCCAGCTGGTGTTATATTAGGTCATGTGTATCCCAAGTCTACTGGCTCTGGGCCCAATTTGGCACTAGGACTCATCTAGGGCACAGCCCTTGTGGCCTAAACTGCCTTTTAAGTTTATTTGGGGCCCCAGAGAACTGTACCCCATAATGGCAAAGCTTGCAGGAACTCAAATTCTGACCACTGGGATGGGCAATTCACCTCTACCTAGGGCTGGTTTAAGTGCTCCCTCCATGGCTGGGTGTCAGCTGAGTTTGGTCCAGTTTTGTTTTCTGTTATAATAGAGAATCACTGAGTTCAATGCCTCACAAATTCTGGATTCTCTCCCCAGCCTATAGAAATGCTTACACATCATGCCACTGTTGCCACGTGTGGAGGAGGCATGGCATCTATAACTCAAGATTCTTTTTCCTACCTCCTCAGTGCCTCTTTCAGTGATATGATGTTAAAACCAGGTACTATACATGCTCAACTGATTTTTGGTTCTTATGAAGGAGTGTGTGTGTGTGTGTGTGTGTGTGTGTGTGTGTGTGTGTGTGTGTGTATTTGTTAAATTGGTGTACTTGTGGGTCAGACAATTGGTGGAGCCTTCTATTCTGACTCCATGCTCTGCCCTCTCCCAGGGTTCCTCTATCATATTTTAGCTGGGACAAATAGATAATGTTTTAAAAGTAATACAAATACCAAACCAGACAGGATTTGATTTAGGAGCCATACACAGGCTGTCATTGTAAAAAGGGTAAAGTCTTAGCTAGTGAACTACAGCAGGAGACAGTTGCCATTGCTCTTTCTAGAAGAAAAACTAGAGGTAGTTTAGTCTTGGCTAGCAAAAGGTGGCTTGTTATATAGATGAAACCCCTGAAGTAGTCAAAAATAATTAACTTTTTTTTTTTTGCTGGCCTTTTTTAATTTTTATTTTTCATTTTGCATCTGCTGAAGTTTTAACCAATTCACAGGTCTTGTTTTTCATAATTGGGAATTCTCCTTTGGATTTAACCAAATAGGATACAGTTGGTCAAACCCAATGTGAAAAAGAAAAAAACAACAAGAAGAAAATACAAACAATGAAATCAGAAACAAATGAATAAACACAAAACAGTTAAGCAAAACAAACAAATGATTATACAATTTATACTATAACTGAGCACTCTAATGAAAAGGAGAAATCAAGACCAGCTTATTGTAAATCATAACTTTTAGTTATTAAGGAGAATTTTTAATACAAAACTCCAGCTCAGGTACTTACCTAGGAAAGGGGCCCAGGCTGAAAACTGCTCTCTACCATTTTAAAAGCTGGAAAAGCAAATCTTCCTTTTTGGAAGTGAGTAAATCTCAAGAAAAAGAGTTGTACAGCAAAATAAACATTAGTTATTTCCCAAATTTTGGGAGATTGGTGATCCTCTGGGAGGGGGAAGGTTCCAGATGTCAGCAAATTTTCCTATTGGTTTGAATAATCAAAATAGCCAAAGCCTAAGCAATGTTTGATTCATATGTATATATAAGCTATACCAAGCACCATGGAGTCCTGTCTGTTGGTCACTAATTTGTAAGCCAAAAAGTATCTGAGACAGGTCTCAACAAATTTAGAGTATATTTTTCGTTCTTATGAATACGCTTTTCTGTTGGCTCTTGACACAGTCTCAGGAGGTTCTGAAAACTTGTGCTTGATTTTACTGCTGGATTTTATACATTTTAGGGAGAGAGAAATTACAGGCAATATATGTAAGTTTTACATTGATTGGCCCAGAAAGCAGGACACCTCAAAATGGGGGTTCCCAGATGATATGTGTATTCAGAGATTTTCTGATTGGCAATTGGTTGTAAGAATTAAGCTTTGTCTGAAGAGTTGAAGTCAAATTAGGTTAAGGTAAGGGGGTGTTGTGGAAGCCAAGGTTCTTATCATGTAGATGAACCCTACAGATATCAAGTTTCAGAGTGAATAGTTGTGAATGTCTCTTATGAGACCTTAAAGGGTGTCAGACTATCATGAAAAGACCTAGTAGGGGATGGAGATTCTCTACAGAATATTAATTTCCCACATAAGAGGTAACTTTTCAGGACCATTTCAAAATATGTCAAGGCAATATATTTTAGGGTAAAATACTTTGATTTCCCTCAGGGCCTGCTATTTGTCATGTGATGTTATAGCAGTTAGGTTGGAATTTGGTGTTTTATTGCAACAAAGCATCTATTTTGTCAGTCTTAAGATCGCTGCTTTAATGTTAATTCTTGCCAGTTGTGTCTAAACTCCAAAGGGAGGAGGGTATAATAAAACATGTCTGATCCTCCCTTCCTATCATGGCCTGAACTAGCTTTTCAGGCTTTTTGGGGATCATCTTGGCTGAGAAGAGGTTCCATTCTGTTGGTTGGTAGGCTTAGAATTTCATTTTTTGGTTTACACTATCCATTATTAAAAATAAAGTTTTAAAATTTCAGTATTATTGTACAGTTGTCTGGTTCTCCCTTCAACTCCATCAATGTGTGCTTCATACGTATATATAGGCTGTGATATTTGGTGCATGTATTTTTATAATTGGTTTTTTCTTTTTGTTGAAATGATTATTTTATCAATACATAAAATCCTTCTTTTCTTGTGAAACAATTTTTGACTTAAAATTTATTGTATCTGATGTTACTATAACCACCCTGATCTCCATTGTTTACTATTTGCATGCAATATCTTTTTACATTTTTTTTAAATTTCAACTTAAGCTTGTCTTTATATGTGGAAAATCTTTTGTAGTCTGCATATAGTAGGGTAACTTTTTCAATTGATTCTGCCAATCTGTGCTTTATTATTAGGGAGTTTCACCTATTTACATGAAGCAATTACTTGCTGCAAAGAACTATTTCTAATTTTCTGTATCTTACAGTGCTTTTATCCCTCATTTTTTTCCCTACAGTCTTCCTCTGTGCCTAGTTGATTTTTTGCAAAGATACATTTAAAAAAAATTTTTGTGTGTGTATTCTATACATATATTTTGTGATTACCCATGGGAGTCACATATAACAAAATAAACTAATAACAATCAATTTTGAATTGATATAAACTTAACTTTAATCACATGAAAAGACAACTCCTTTATAGCTCTATCCCCTATCACCACCCTCCACACCTTATTATATTGATGTCACAAGTTACATCTTTATATATTGTGTACCTATTAACATAGATTTATAATTATTTTTATACATTTGTTTTTTAAATCAAGTAGAATAATTCAAATTATAGTTACTAACCAAAATTACAATACTGTTTTTTTTATGTTTTTTTTTTCCACTTGACCCAGCAATCCCATCATTGGGTATATACCCAAATGAACATAAATCATTCTATTATAAAGACATACACACATGCATGTTAATTGCAGCACTATTCACAATAGCAAAGACATGGAATTAACCTAAATGTCCATCAACAGTAGGCTGGCTAAAGAAAATATGGTACACCATGGAATAGTACACAGCCATAAAAAAGAGTGTGATAATGTCCTATGCATCAACATAGAAGTCCTATGCATCAACATAGATGCAACTGGAGGTCATTTATTTTAAACAAAGCAGGAACAGAAATCCAAATACAGCATGTTCTCACTTATAAGTGGGAGCTAAGTATTAAGTACACATGAACACAAAGAAGGGAGCAATTGGCACAAGGGTCTATTTGAGGATAGAGAGTGGGAAGAAGGTGAGGATTAAAAAACTACCTATTGGTTACTATGCTTATTACCTGGGTGACAATCTGTATAGCAAACTCTTGTGAAACATAATTTACCTATACAAAAAATTCGCACATGCACCCCTGAACCTAAAATAGAAATTTTAATTACTCAATAATGCTGTTTTCATATATTTGCTCCTGTATTTACCTTTATCAGATATTTTTATATCTTCATATGACTTCAAGTTACTGTTTAGTATCCTTTTATTTCATCTTAAATAATTGACATGATTTTCCATTTCTTGTAGGCCAGGTTGAGTCATAAAATGTATAAAATTTATCTTCATAAAATGTATAAAACCAAGCTGTAACCAAAACACCTTGTGTACATGTTCTTAGGATCTCCTGAGGCTGTGTCATGGGTCATTGTCTTAACTTTTGGCTCAGAGGAAACCTCCTCAAATATTTTACACAATTTGGCTTTTATTTTTTTCAATACATCCCACTGCCCAATAGCTTCCATGATTTCTGCTGATAAATCTTTTGAAAATCTTATTGAGATTCCCTTGTATGTGACAAGTAGCTTTTATCTTGCTACTTTAAAGATACTTTCTTTGTCTTTGAATTTTGACAGTTTGATTATAATGTGTTTCTGTCTGGGTCTCTTTGGGTTTATACTACTTGAAATTTGTTGACTTCCTTTTATTTGTATTTATATCTTTTCTCAAATATGAGAAATATTTAGCCAATTATTTATTCAAATAAGCCCTCTGCCCCGTTCTTTCACTCTTCTCTTTCTGGAAATTCTATAATATATATATTGGTCCTTTTGATAGTGTCTTGTGTTCCTTAGGTTTTGCCCACTTTTCTTCATTTTCTTCTCCTCATACTCAATAATTTTAATTGTTCTATTTTTGAATTCAATGATTCTTTTTTCTGTGTGCTTGAGTAATTTGTTGAAGTTCTCTAATGAATTTTTAAATCCAGTTATTGAATTTTTAAGCTCCCAAATTTGTTTGGTCTCATTTTATAATTTTTCTTTGTAAACATTTTTTTTTAGATGGATTCTCACTCTGTTGCCCAGGCTGGAGTGCACTGGCATGATCTCAGATCACTGCAACCTCCACCTCCCAGGTTCAAGCAATTCTTGTGCCTCAGCCTCTCCAGCAGCTGGGACTACAGGTGCACGCCACCACACCCAGCTAATTTTTTGTATTTTGGTAGAGACAGGGTTTCACCATGTTGCCCAGGCTAGTGTCAAACTCCTGAGCTCAGGCAATCCATCCATCTCAGCCTCCCAAAGTGCTGGGATTACAGGCGTGAGCCAATGTGCCCTGCCTAATATTCTAATTTTTATATATAATTTCTCTGATATCCTTTAGTTTTTTGTCTGTATATTTTGGCAATTTGAGCATATTTAAGTCTGTTGTTTTAATTACTTTGTCTAGTTATTCTGATGCCTGTGTTTCTTTTCTTTTCTTTTTGAGACAGAGTCTAACTCTGTTTCCCAGACTGCAGCACGGTGGCATGATTTCAGCTCACTGCAGCCTCCGCCTCCCAGGTTCAAGTGATTCTCCTTCTTCAGGCTTCCCAAGTAGCTGGGACTACAAGTGCTTGTCAACACACCCAGCTAATTTTTGTAATTTTAGTAGAGACGGGGTTTCACTATGTTGGGCAGGTTGGTGTTGAACTCCTGATCTCAAGTGATCCACCCACCTCAGCCTCCCAAATGCTGGGATTACAGGCATGAGCTATCACACTCAGCCTGTCTGTGTTTCCTGAGTGTTGATTTTCACCACTTTAATTTATTTATTTCAATACACTATGTTTTCCTGTTTCTATGAATGCCCGGTGGGTTTTTGTTGTTGTTTTTGCAGTTGCTATTGAAAATTGCACATTTGGAAAAAAGCCACCTCTTCCAATCTTTGCAGACTGCTTGTACCTGGGAAGTCTTTCACTAATTAGCAGGGCAGGTTCTGACCCTAGGGATCAGCCTGAGTAGAAAGATTAATATCTCTTCACTTCTTTTCTGAGCATACATATTGCCTGGGCTTATATGTTGCTTTTTCAATTCTCTCACATACATGGCTGTTGCAGGAAGTCAGGGACCCTGAATGGAGGGACCAGTTGGAGCCGCGGCAGAGGGACATAAATTGTGAAGATTTCATGGGCATTTATCACTTCCCTAATAATACTCTTATAATTTCTTACACCTGTCTTTACTTCAGTCTTTGAACATAAATTGTGAAGATTTCATGGACATTTATCAGTTCCCAAAATTAATACTTTTTTAATTTCTTAGGCCTGTTTTACTTTAATCTCTTAATCCTGTTATCTTCATAAGCTGAGGATGTACGTCACCTCAGGACCACTATAATTGTATCTAATTGTACAAATTGATTGTAAAACATGTGTGTTTGAACAATATGAAATCAGTGCACCTTGAAAAAGAACAGAATAACAGCCATTTTAGGGAAAAAGGGAAGACAACCACAAGGTCTGACTGCCTGCGGGCTCTGGCAGAATAGAGCCATATTTTTCTTCTTGCAGAGAGCCTATAAATGGACGTGCAAGTAGGAGAGATATCACTAAATTCTTCTCCTAGCAAGGAATATTAAATATTAAGACCCTAGGAAAAGAATTGCTTTCCTGGGGGGAGGTCTATAAATGTCCACCCTGGGAGTGTCTGTCTTATGTGGTTGAGATAGGACCGAAATACGCCCTGGTCTCCTGCAGTACCCTCAGGCTTATTAGGGTGGGAAAAAAATCCCACCTTGGTGAATTTGAGGTCTGACCAGTTCTCTGCTCTCGAACCCTGTTTTCTGTTGTTTAAGATGTTTATCAAGACAATATGTGCACAGCCAAATATAGACCCTCATCAGTAATTCTAATTTTGCCTTTGCCTTGTGATCTTGCTTTGCCCTTTGCCTTGTGATCTTTATTGGCCTCAGAAGCATGTGATCTTTGTGACCTACTCCCTATTCATACACCCCCTCCCCTTTTGAAATCTGTAATGAAAACTTGCTGGTTTTGAGGCTCAGGGGATATCATGGACCTACCGATATGTGATGTTACCCCTGGAGGCCCAGCTGTAAAATTCCTCTATTTGTACTCTTTCTCTTTATTTGTCAGACCAGCCTACACTTAGAGAACATAGAAAGAACCCATGTTGAAATATTGGGGGCTGGTTCCACCAATACATGGCTGCTTTAAATATTTTAATTTTCCAAACACTGTCACCTCAGCTTTTCCTCACAGCCTTCAATGGTTGAGTGTACATCTCCATTTGTAACATCTTGGCCCAGACATTTGTGGATGCTTTTATTAGTCTGGGTTCTATAGAGGGACAGAACTAATAGGATATATAAATATACAACAAGGAGTTTAATAAGAATAATTGACTCACACAATTGCAAGTTGAAGTTCCACGATAGGCCATCTGCAAGTTGAGGAGCAAGAAAACCAGTGGTGGCTCAGTCCAAATCCCAAAGCCTCAAAAGTAAGTAAGCCAACAGTGCAGCATTTGGTCTGTGGCCAAAGGCCCAAGAGCACCTGGCAAGACACTGATGTAAGTCCAAGAGTCGAAAAAGCTGAAGAACTTGTAATCTGATGTTCAAGTGCAGGAAGCATCCAGCATGGGAGAAAGATGAAGGCCAGAAGACTCAGCAAGTCAGCTTCATCCATTTTCTTCTGCCTGCTTTTTCTAGCTATGCTGGCAGCCAACTGGATGGTGCTCTTTGAGTTTTCCTGAGGATGGGTCTTCCTCTCCCAATCCACTGACTCAAATGTTAATCTCTCCTGGTAACACCCAGAAACACCCAGATACACCCAGAAACAATACTTTGCATCCTTTAATACAATCAAGTTGACACTGAATATTAACCATCACAATCCTAGTCCTTCTACAGATTTTATAAGCCCTGTTTGCTGCTTTCTGCTGCTTTTTCTGACATGAGCTGTAAGATAGATACAACAGAGGCTTGTTCTTCAGGCAGCTCTCAGACAGTTTAGGACATGAAAATATTGTCCTCTTTTCTTCCTCCAGTTGGAAGGTGGAAGTTAAGAACTGGGCTACTGCCTCCTCCAGAGCAAGACTATGACACTCTGGGGGAAGGTAGGTGGAGTGAGAAAAATACTAAAAAATGTTTTACTATTTGGTATGTGTTTTTTTCTTTATTGTCCTTTCACTTAGTTGTTGACTCTTTTTCAGGGTTCCCAGAAGATTGTTTTAGCCAAATTTTGGTTGCTTTTCAATATTTCCTTGGGGGAACAATGTATTGGAGCTTCCTAGTCCACAATTCTACTGACATCACTCCTACACGGCTGCATTCACATGCCTTAATTTTCAAAAGAGTCTCACTCCAGCTTCTCCTCATAGTATTAGATGGCCTATTGTGTATCTCACCTATAATCATTCTTTTATTATTCTACTTTAAGTTCTGGGATACATAGTTATAAATGTGCCATGGTGGTTTGCTGCACCCATCAACCAGTCATCTACATTAGGTATTTCTCCTAATGATGATGGCCTATTTTGTATCTCACCTATAATCTTTTTTTATTATTATACTTTAAGTTCTGAGATACGTAGTTATAAATGTGCCATGGTTGTTTGCTGCATCCATCAACCAGTCATCTACATTAGGCATTTCTCCTTATGATATCCCTCCCCTATCCCCCACCTCCCAACAGGCCCCAGTGTGTGATGTTCCCCTTCCTGTGTCCATCTGTTCTCATTGTTCAACTCCCACTTATGAGTGAGAACATGTGATATTGGTTTTCTGTCCCTGTGTTAGTTTGCTGAGAATGATGGTTTCCAGCTTCATCCATGTCCCTGCAAAGGACATCAACTCATCCTTTTTTATCGCTGCCTAGTATTCAATGGTGCATATGTGCCACATTTGCTTTATCCAATCTATCATTGATGGACATTTGGGTTGGTTCCAAGACTTTGCTATTGTAAATAGTGCTGCAATAAACAAGTGTGAGTGTGTCTTTATAGTAGAATAATTTATAATCCTTTGGGTATATACCCAGTAATGGGATTGCTGGCTCAAATGGTATTTCTGGTTCTAGATCCTTGAGGAATCACCATACTGTCTTCCACAAAGGTTGAACTAATTTACACTACCACCAATAGTGTAAAAGCTTTCCTATTTCTCAACATCCACTCCAGCATCTGTTGTTTTTGACATTTTAAGGATCACCATTCTAACTGACATGAGATGGTATCTCATTGTGGTTTTGACTTGCATTTCTCTGATGACCAGTGATGATGAGCTTTTTTTCATATGTTTGTTGGCTGTACAAACGTCTTCTCTTGAGAAGTGTCTGTTCATATCTTTTGTCTACCTATTGATAGGGTTGTTTGTTTTCTTCTTGTAAATTTGTTTAAGTTCCTTGTAGATTCTGGATATTAGCCCTTTGTCAGATGGATAGATTGCAAAAATTTGCTCCCATTCTGTAGGTTGCCTGTTCACTCTGATGATAGTTCCTTTTGCTGTACAGAAGCTCTTTAGTTTAATTAGATTCCATTTGTCAATTTTGGCTTTTGTTGCATTGCTTTTTGTGTTTTAGTCATGAAGTCTTTGCCCATGCCTATGTCCTGAATGGTATCGC
The DNA here is from genome assembly GCF_000001405.40 of Homo sapiens. Taxonomy (NCBI): domain Eukaryota; kingdom Metazoa; phylum Chordata; class Mammalia; order Primates; family Hominidae; genus Homo; species Homo sapiens. Next base: position 73,189,659 of record NC_000023.11, on the reverse strand, counting down.
CTAGGTTTTCTTCTAGGGTTTTTATGGTTTTAGATCTTCAGTTTAAGTCTTTAGTCCACCTTGAGTAAATTTTTGTATAACGTGTAAGGAAGGGGTCCAGCTTCAGTTTTCTGTATATGCCTAGCCAGTTTTCCAACACCATTTATTAAATAGGGAATCTTTCCTCATTGCTTGTTTTTGTCAGCTTTGTCAAATATCAGATGGTTGTAGATGGGTGGCATTATTTCTGAGGCCTCTGTTCTGTTCAATTGGTCTATATATCTGTTTTGGTACCAGTACCATGCTGTTTTGATTACTGTAGCCTTGTAGTATAGTTTCAAGTCAGGTAGCATGATGCCTACAGCTTTGTTCTTTTTGCTTAGGATTGTCTTGGCTATATAGGATCTTTTTTGGTTCCATATAAAGTTTAAAGTAATTTTTTCTAATACTGTGAAGAAACTCAGTTGTAGCTTGATGGGAACAGCATTGAATTTATAAATTATTTTGGACAGCATGGCCATTTTCATCATATTGATTCTTCCTATCCATGAACATGGAATGTTCTTCCATTTGCTTGTGTCCTCCCTTATTTAATTGAGCAGTGGATTGTAGTTCTCCTTGAAGAGGTCCTTCACATCCCCTGTGAGTTGTATTTTTAAGCATTTTATTCTCTTTGTAGCAGTTGTGAATGGGAGTTCACTCATGATATGGCTCTCTGCTAGTCTATTATTGGTGTATAAGAATGCTTGTCATTTTTGCATATTGATTTTATATCCTACCAGTTTTTGCCCATTCAGGATGATATTGGCTGTGGGTTTGTCATAAATTGCTCTTATTATTTTGAGATACATCCTATCAATACCTAATGTATTGAGAGTTTTTAGCATGAAGTGCTGTTGAATTTTATCAAAGACCTTTTCTGCATCTATTGAGATCATGTGGTTTTTGTCTTTGGTTCTGTTCATATGCTGAATTTTGTTTATTGATTTGAGTATGTTGAACCATCCTTGCATCCCAGGGATGAATCCCACTTGATCATGGTGGATAAGCTGTTTCATGTGCTGCTGGATTTGGTTAGCCAGTAATTTATTGAGGATTTTTGCATTGATGTTCATCAGGGATATTGGTCTAAAATTCTCTTTTTTTGTTGTTTCTCTGCCAGGCTTTGGCATCAGGATGATCCTGGCCTCATAAAATAAGTTAGGGAAGATTCCCTATTTTTCTATTGATTGGAATAGTTTTTGAAGGAATGGTACCAGCTCCTCCTTGTACCTCTGGTAGAATTCGGCTGTGAATCCATCTGGTCCTGGAATTTTTTTTGGTTGGTAAGCTATTAATTATTGCCTCAATTTCAGAGCCTGTTATTGGTCTAGTCAGAGATTCAACTTCTTCCTGGTTTAGTCTTGGGAGGGTGCATGTGTCCAGGAATTTATCCATTTCTTCCAGATTTTCTAGTTTATTTGGGTAGAGGTGTTTATAGCATTCTCTGATGTTCGTTTGTATTTCTGTGGGATCAGTGGTGATATCCCCTTTATCATTTTTTATTGTGTCTATTTGATTCTTCTCTCTTTTCTTCTTTATTAGTCTTGCTACCAGTCTATCAATTTTGCTGATCTTTTCAAGAAAACCAGCTCCTGGATTCATTGATTTTTTGAAGGGTTTTTTGTGTCACTATCTCCTTCAGTTCTGCTCTGATCTTAGTTATTTCCTGCCTTCTGCTAGCTTTTGAATGTGTTTGCTCTTGCTTCTCTAGTTCTTTTAATTGTGATGTTAGGGTGTCAATTTTAGATCTTTCCTGCTTTCTCTTGTGGGCATTTAGTGCTATAAATTTCCCTCTACACACTACTTTAAATGTGTCCCAGAGATTCTGGTACATTGTGTCTTTGTTCTCATTGGTTTCAAAGAACATCTTTATTCATTATATCTGCCTTCATTTCGTTATGTACCCAGTAGTCACTCAGGAGCAGGTTGTTCAGTTTCCATGTAGTTGAGCGGTTTTGAGTGAGTTTCTTAATCCTGAGTTCTAGTTTGATTGCACTGTGGTCTGAGAGACAGTTTGTTATAATTTCTGTTCTTTTACATTTGCTGAGGAGTGCTTTACTTCCAACTATGTGGTCAATTTTGGAATAAGTGTGATGTGGTGCTGAGAAGAATGTATATTCTTTTGATTTGGGGTGGAGAGTTGTGTAGATGTCTATTGGGTCAGCTTGGTGCAGAGCTGGTTCAATTCCTGGATATCCTTGTTAACTTTCTGTCTCGTTGATCTGTCTAATTTTGACAGTGTGGTGTTAAAGTCTCCCATTATTATTGTGTGGGAGTCTAAGTCTCTTTGCAGGTCTCTAAGGACTTGCTTTATGAATTTGGGTGCTCCTGTATTGGGTGCATATATATTTAGGATAGTTAGCTCTTCTTGTTGAATTGATCCCTTTACCATTATGTAATGGCCTTCTTTGTCTCTTTTGATCTTTGTTGGTTTAAAGTCTGTTTTATCCAAGACTAGGATTGCAACCCCTGCCTTTTTTTGTTTTGCATTTACTTGGTAGAGCTTCTTCCATCCCTTTATTTTGAGCCTATGCATGTCTCCGCATGTGAAATGGGTCTCCTGAATACAGCACACTGATGAATCTTGACTCTTTATCCAATTTTCCAGTCTGTGTCTTTTAAACGGAACATTTAGCCCATTTACATTTAAGGTTAATATTGTTATGTGTGAATTTGATCCTGTCACTATGATGTTAGCTGGTTATTTTGCTCGTTAGTTGATGCAGTTTCTTCCTAGCCTTGATGGTCTTTACAATTTGGCATGTTTTTGCAGTGGCTGGTACCGGTTGTTCCTTTCCATGTTTAATGCCTCCTTCAGGAGCTCTTTTAGGGCAGGCCTGGTGGTGACCAAATCTCTCAGCATTTACTTGTCTGTAAAGGATTTTATTTCTCCTTCACTTATGAAGCTTAGTTTGGCTGGATATGAAATTCTGGGTTGAAAATTCTTTTCTTTAAGAATGTTGACTATTGGCCCCCACTCTCTTCTGGCTTGTAGAGTTTCTGCTGAGAGATCAGCTGGTAGTCTGATGGGCTTCCCTTTGTGGGTGACCCGACCTTTCTCTCTGGCTGCCCTTTACATTTTTTCCTTCATTTCAACTTCAGTGAATGTGAACAATTATGTGTCTTGGAGTTGCTCTTCTCGAGGAGTATCTTTGTGGCATTCTATGTATTTCCTGAATTTGCATGTTGGCCTGCCTTGCTAGGTTGGGGAAATTCTCCTGGATAATATCCTGGAGAGTGTCTTCCAACTTGTTTCCATTCTCCCGTCACTTTCAGGTACACCAATCAGACGTAGATTTGGTCTTTTCACATAGTCCCATATTTCTTGGAGGCTTTGTTTGCTTCTTTTTACCTTTTTTCTCTAAACTTCTCTTCTCACTTCATTTCATTCATTTGATCTTCAATCACTGATACCCTTTCTTCCAGTTGATCGAATCAGCTACTGAAGCTTGTGCATTCATCACGTAGTTCTCATGCCATGGTTTTCAGCTCCATCAGGTCATTTCAGGACTTCTCTACACTGGTTATTCTAGTTATCCATTCATCCAATCTTTTTTCAAGGTTTTTACCTTCTTTGCAATGGGTTTGAACTTCCTCCTTTAGCTCAGAGAAGTTTGATCATCTGAAGGCTTCTTCTCTCAACTCATCAAAGTCATTCTCCATCCAGCTTTTTTCCATTGCTGGTGAGGAACTGCATTCCTTTGGAGGGGGAGAGGTGCTCTGACTTTTAGAATTTTCAGCTTTTCTGCTCTGTTTTTTCCCCATCTTTGTGGTTTTATCTACCTTTGGTCTTCGATGATGGTGATATACAGATGGGGTTTTGGTATGATGTCCTTTCTGTTTGTTAGTTTTCCTTCTAACAATTAGGACACTCAGCTGCAAGTCTGTTGGAGTTTGCTAGAGGTCCACTCCAGACCCTGTTTGCCTGGGTATCAGCAGCGGAGGCTGCAGAACAGCGAATATTGATGAACAGCAAATGTTGCTGCCTCATCGTTTCTCTGGAAGTTTCATCTCAGAGAGGTACTCAGCTTTGTAAGGTGTCAGTCTGCCCCTACTGGGAGATGCCTCCCAGTTAGTCTACTCGGGGGTCAGGGAGCCACTTGAGGAGGCAGTCTGTCCGTTCTCAGATCTCAAACTCCATGATGGGAGAACCACTACTCTCTTCAAAGCTGTCAGACAGGGACATTTAAGTCTGAAGAGGTTTCTGCTGCCTTTTGTTCGGCTATGCTCTGCCCCCAGAGGTGGAGTCTACAGAGGCAGGCAGGCCTCCTTGAGCTTCAGTGGGCTCCACCCCATTCGAGCTTCCCGGCCACTTTGTTTACCTACTCAAGCCTTGGCAATTGTGGGTGCCCCTCCCCCAGCCTCACTGCTGCCTTGCAGTTGATCTCAGACTGCTGTGCTAGCAATGAGAGAGGCTCCATGGGCATGGGACCCTATGAGCCAGGTGTGGGATATAATCTCCTGGCGTGCCGTTTGCTAAGACCATTGGAAAAGTGCAGTATTAGGTGGGAGTGACCCGATTTTCCAGGTGCCATCTATCACAGCTTCACTTGGCTAGGAAAGGGAATTCCCTGACCCCTTGCACTTTTCGGGTGGGGCGATACCTCATCCTGCTTCGGCTCATGCTCAGTGCACTGCACGCACTGTCCTGCACCCCCGCCCGACAAGCACCAGTGAGATGAACCTGGTACCTCAGTTGGAAATGCAGAAATCATCCATCTTCTGTGTCGCTCATGCTCCATTCTGTGTCTTTTAATTGGGGCATTTAGCCCATTTACATTTCAGGTTAATATTTTTGTGTGTGAATTTGTTCCTGTCATTATGATGCTAGCTGGTTATTTTGCCCATTAGTGGATGTAGTTTCTTCATACTATCGGTGGTCTTCACAATTTGGTATGTTTTTGCAGTGGCTTGCACCAGTTTTTATTTTTAATATTTAGTGATTTTTTTCAGGAACTCTTGTAAGGCATACCTGGTGGTGACAAAATCTCTCAACATTTGCCTGTCTGTAAAGGATTTTATTTCTCCTTTGCTTATGAAGCTTAGTTTGGCTGGATATGAAATTCTGGGTTGAAAATTATTTTCTTTAAGAATGTTAAATATGGGCTGGGTGCAGTGGCACATGCCTGTAATCCCAGCACTTTCAAAGGCTGAGGAGGGTGGATCACCTGAGGTCAGGAGTTCCACACCAGCCTGACCAACATGGTGAAATTCTGTCTCTACTAAATACAAAAAATTAGCCAGTTGTGGTGGCACATGCCTATAATCCCAGCTACTATGGAGGCTGAAGCAGAAGAATCACTTGAACCCGGGAGGCATAGTTTGCAGTGAGTTGAGATCGTGCAATTGCACTCCAGCCTGGGCAACAAGAGTGAAATTCCATCTAAGAAAAGAGAATGTTGAATATTGGCCCCTACTCTCTTCTGGCTTGTAGCGTTTCTGCAAAGAGACCTGCTTTTAGTCTGATGGGTTTCCCTTTGTGAGGAACCTGACCTTTCTCTCTGGCTTGCCTTAACATTTTTTCCTTCATTTCAATCTTGGTGAATCTGACAATTATGTGTCTTGTGGTTGCTCTTCTTTAGGAGTATCTTTGTGGTGTTCTCTGTATTTCCTGAATTTGTATGTTGGTCTGTCTTGCTAGGTTGGGGAAGTTCTCCTGGATGATCCTGGATGATATCTTGAAGAGTGTTTTCCAACTTGGTTCCATTCTCCCTGTCACTTTCAGGTACACCAATCAAATGTAGGTTTGGTCTTTTCATATAGTCTCATATTTCTTGGAGACTTTGTTCATTCCTTTTCATTCTTCTTTCTCTAATCTTGTCTTCATGCTTTATTTCATTAAATTGATCTTCACTGTATGATATCTTTTCTTCCACTTGATTGATTAGGCTATTGAAACTTGTGTATGCATCATGAAGTTCTCGTGTTGTGTTTTTCAGCTCCATTAGATCATTTATGTTCTTCTCTATACTGGTTATTCTAGTTAGCAATTCGTCTAACCTTTTTTCAAGGTTCTTAGCTTCCTGCACTGTGTTAGAACATGCTCCTTTAGCTTGGAGGAGTTTGTTGTTAGCCACCTTCTGAAGCCTACTTCTGTCAATTTGTCAAACTCATTCTCCATCCAGTTTTGTTCCATTGCTGGAGAGGAGTCGTGATTCTTTGGATGAGGACAGGCATTCTGGTTTTAAAAATTTTCCACTTTTTGCACTGGTTTTTCCTCATGTTTGTGAATTTATCTACCTTTGGGTCTTTGATGTTGGTTACTTTCAGATGGGTTTTTTGTGTGAACATGCTTTTTATTGATGTTGATGCTATTCCTTTCTGTTTGTTAGTTTTCTTTCTAACAGTCAGGCCCCTCAGCTGCAGGTCTGCTGGAGTTTGCTGGAGGTCCATTCCTGACCCTGTTTGCCTGGATATCACCAGTGGAGACAGCAGAACAGCAAATGATTGCTTCCTCTGGAAGCTTCATCCGAGAGGGGCACCTGTCAGATGCCAGCCAGAGCTCTCCTGTATGTGGTGTCCATCGTCCCCTGCTGGGAAGTGTCTCCCAGTCAGGTGACATGGAGGTCAGGGACCCACTTGAGGAGGCAGTCTGTCCCTTAGCAGAGCTCAAGCACTGTGCTGGGAAATCCACTGCTCTCTTCAGAGCTGGCAGGTAGGAACGTTTAAGTCTGTCAAAGCTGTGCCCACAGCTGCCACTTTTCCCACGTGCTCTGTCCCAGGGCGATGGGAGTTTTATCTATAAGCCCCTGAGTGGAGTTGCTGCTTTTCTTTCAGAGATGCCCTGCCAAGAGAGGAGGAATCTAGAAAGGCAGTCTGGCTACAGCGGGTTTGCCAAGCTGCAGAGGGCTTTGCCCAGTTTGAACTTCCCATCAGCTTTGTTTACACTGTGAGTGGAAAACTGCCTACTCAAGCTTCAGTAATGGAGGACTCCCCTTCCCCCACCAAGCTCAGACATCCCTGGTAGACTTCAGAGTGCTGTGCTGTCAGTGAGCATTTCAAGCCAGTGAATCATAGCTAGCTGGGCTCCATGGGGGTGGGATCCGCTGAGCTAGACTACTTGGCTCTCTGGCTTCAGCCCCCTTTCCAGGGAAGTGAATGGTTCTGTCTCACTGGCATTCCAGGCACCACTGTGGTATGAAAAGAAACCCCTGCAGCTAGCTCAGTGTCTGCCCAAATGGCCACCCAGTTTTGTGCTTGAAACCCAGGGCCCTGGTGGTGTTGGCACCTGAGGGAATCTCCTGGATTGTGGATTGTGAAGACCATGGGAAAAGTGTAGTATGTGGGCCAGAATGCACCATTCCTCATGGCACAGTCCCTCACGGTTTCCCTTGGTTAGAGGAGGAAGTTCCCCAACCCCTTGTGCTTCCTGGGTGAGGCAACACCCCACCCTGCTTTGGCTCACCCTCCATGGGCTGCACCCACTGTCTAACCAGTGTCAATGAGATGAGCTGGGTGCTTCAGTCGAAAATGCAGAAATCACCTGCCTTCTGCATAGATCTCGCTGGGAGCTGCAGACCGGAGCTGTTCCTATTCATCCATCTTGCCAGCCATTCTCACCTATAATCTTTGCACCAGGTGTGTGCAGCTCAATAGACACCCAGCAGCTTTTAAAAGCAGTGCCACTGCTTTCTGCTGAACTTATTCTGAGTTATGATGCTTTTCCTTGACTGACATCAGAGTTAAGCAGAACAGAAACTAGTCCTTTATGTTGGATTATATGGATTAGAACATTACAAGTATAATCTGTTTTGCTCCCTTGAATTTGAGGGAGTGAATTTGGAACTGGGTTGCCACGTCTTCCAGGCTCAAACTAAATACTGTGCCAGGGAAAGAGCTGGGTCAGAGCTTGTAAAAATGCAATAAAATTTCCTGTCAGTTTGAATATAGCTTTATGTTGATGGGTTATTTGCTTGGTTGCCGTAGACTTTTGAATGTTTTCCAAAGCTTAATTTAGTCATTTTTGGTGGTTATTGGTGTGTGTGTGTGTGTGTGTGTGTGTGTGTGTGCGTGCACGTGTGTATGTGTCTGTGTGTCACCTGGGGAAAGGTTTTGGAGTTTATTAGATATTTTTCTGTCCTCTATTATTAACATCTTACATTGGCATGGTGCATCTGTTACAATTTATGAACAATATTAATATATTATGATCAACTAAAGTCTATAGTTTACTCAGAGTTCCTTCATTTTTACCTAATGTCCTTTTCTTATTCCAGAATCTCATCCAATGTACTATATTACATTTAGTTGTTATGTCTACTTAGGACGTTTTGGCTATGACCGTTTTTCTTGATTTTGATGTCCTTGAAAGTTCTGAGGAGTACTCATTAATTATGCCCCGCCACTAGAATTTTTTAATGCTTTTTTTTTCTAATTATACTGGGACTTTGGGTTTTTGGAAGCAAGATCACAGAGGTAAAATCACATTGACATAATGTCATACAGAGGTAAAATGTATCACATTACATCAAGGACACACTGTGTCCACATGATTTATATCTATTGATGTCAATCTTGATCAGCTAGTAGAAGTAGTTTGTCAGGCTTCTTCATTGTAAAATTTTATGTTTCTTCCCTAAGTTCATCCTGTATCCTTTCAAAGCAAGTTAGTATGTGCAGTATGCATTTAAGGAGTGGGTATTTCTGCTCCCCCTCCTTTAGGGTATAGTATCTACATAATTTATTTGGAATTCTTCTGCACAAGAGATTTTTCTCCTCTGTTTTTAATTTATTCAATCATTTATATCACTATGGATTCATGAATATCTATTTTACTTTTGGGGTTATAATTGAATACTATTTTATTTATTTATCTTGTTGCTCAAACTTTTTCAGCTTATGCTATGGCTCGATCTTTCAGATAGCTTCCATCCTTTTGACATACCCACTCAATGTGACGTTTTGTTTAAGTATTTCCTTACTTTTGACAATATAACCTCTTGGATCATTTTCTATGTTTCCTGCCTCAGTCCTAGAGGAAGCTGTTTCTCCACGGAGCTCTAGTTCCTTATTGGAGAATAATATTGGAGATTAAGATCTGAGGGTTAGGTGTGCTTGTTGCTACTGGAATATAATTTCTTTTAGGCACTCTTAGTTGGTGGAGCAAAGCAATACTTGTATGCACACTAGCCTGTGTATATGCATATAGGTATGCATATATATATGCATACCTATATGCATATATATATGCATACCTATATGCATATATATATGCATATAGGTATGCATATATATATGTATACATATATATGCATATATATATGTATACATATATATGCATATATATATATACATCTGCTTTTTTATTGATTTAACATGAGATCTTACTGAAGTCTTCAACTCTAACCCATTGCTATATGGATTATTCCAGCCTTCTCCTTTGCTAAGTTGTGAATGTCCATTCCAATTGTTAAAGAAAAAAACTGGCTCCCTCAATTTGCTGTCCATTTACTTAATTATTAATTTCAGTATACTTGCATAGCAGTATCAGAATTGTTCACCATACCCCCATGGGAAAAATTTTATTTAGTAGAGTATATTACTTGTGTACAGTTTATTCTGTCTTTAAACTGGCATATTTTATACATTCGTAGTTACTTAGGTGAGAAATTTTTCCCCACTCCATTTAGTGAGTTATTTCATACATTTGTAATACAGTTTGATTCTTTTGTTGCAGCATAAATTTATTCCTAATATAATGCAATCAACTATATGATTTATTAAAATCTGCATATATTAAGTTTCACATTGTATCATAAAGTTCTGGATGCCTTGATATATGCATAATTTCATATATCCACCCATGCAGTATGACACAAAATAGTCTTGCCAGTCTGAAAATTTCCTGCACTTCGCCATTCATCCTAATCCTTTCCCCACTCCTTCTATACACACCTACCCTCTGGCACCCACTGAAATTTTTACAGTTGCTACAGTTTGGTCTTTTCCCAAATGTATATAACATGAATCACAAAATGTTTAGCCTTATCAGACTGACTCCTTTACTGCACCATATACACTTAAGGCCCCTGTATATCTTTTCATGACTTCATGGCTAATTATTCATTTATTTATTTTCTCATTCATTTATTTTGGTGAATAAAATGTCATCATATTGATGTGCTACCATTTGTGTGTCCATTTATGAAAACTCTTGATTTCTTCCAGTTTGGGGACATAATGAATAAAGTGGCTATAAACATTCATGCACAATTTTTGTGTCAATATAAATTTTCAACTCTATCTGATAAATACTTGAGCGCATGACTGTTGGATTGTATAGTAAGACTATGTTTAGTTTGCAAAGAATCTGCCAAACTTTCTTCCAAAGTGGCTGTAACATTTTGCAGTCTCATCAGCAAAAAATGAGAGTTCCTGTTAATCCTTGCCTATGTTTGATATTGTCAAGATTTTTTCTTATTTTAGCCATTTTAATAGGTACATAGTGGTATCTCATTTCTACTTTAATTTGCAATTCTATCAGAATATATAATGATAAGCATTTTTTCACATGCTCACTTGCAATATATATGTCTTTTTGGTAAATTCTATGTTGAGATTTTTTGGTCCACTTTTTTATTGAGTTGTTTATTTTCTTGTGGTTAAGTTTTAAGTGTCCTTTTTATGTTTAGGATACAATTTATCAAATATGTGTTTTATAAATATTTTCTCCAAGTTTGTGGCTTGTCTTTTTTTCTCTTAATGTGTCTTGCAGAGCGGAGTTTTATGTGATAATAAAATCTAACATGTTTTTCATGGATTGTGCTTAGAGCATGTAAAATGTTATATCTGAATTCTCATGATCAAATTCAATGTAATCTAGATTCTATCTAATTTTCTTCTAGAGGTTTCACAGTTTTCTGTCTTACACTTAGGTCTACAATTCATTTGGAGTTAATTTTTGTGGAAGATGTAAGGTCTGTGTCTATATTGCTTTCACACGTGAACATCCAATTGTACTAGCACCATTTATTACAACAGTAATGATTCTTCAACTTTGTCTTTCTTTAATATTTTGGTGGCTATTTTTCCATTCCATATCAACATTAGAATAATTTTGTCAATATCTACAAATAGTTTGCTGGGATTCTGATTGAGATTACATTTACCATATAGATCAACATAGAAAGAATTGGCATCTTAAAAATATTGAGTGTTCTAATTCATGAACTATATTATTTCACTGTTCATTTAGATCATTAATAATTTTACTATAATTTTATAATTTAGCATATATAGATTCTGTACATGTTTTGTTACACTTATACCTAATTATTTTATTTTCTTGATGTAAAATGGTGTTATGAATTTGAAATTAATTTCAAATTTTCATTTTTACTCACTGTTATAAAGGAAAAAATGGATTTTGTACTTTAATCTTGTATCTCGTGACCTTACAATAGTAGCACATTACATCCAGGAGTTTTTGTTGTTGTTGATTCTTTGTCATTTTCTACATAGATACTTATGTTATCTGTGCACCATGATAGTTTTATTTTTTTCTTTCCAATCTGCATATACTGTATTTCCCTTTCTTGTCTTACTGCATTAGCTAGAACTTCCAGTATGCTATTGAACAGAAATGGTGAGAGGGAACATCCTTACCTTGCTGTCATCTTAGGGGAGAAAACATACAGTATCTCATCATTAAGTGATATTAGCTATAGGGTTTTTTTAGAAATTTTTTGTTGACTTGAGGTATTTGCTCTCTATTTCTAGTTCACTGAGAGTTTTTATCATTAATAGGTATTAGATTTGGTCAAACACTTTTTCTGCACTAATGATTATAAGCATGTGATTTTTTTTCTTTCACATGATGATGTGGTGGATTAAATTATTTGAATTTCAAAAATTGAACCAACATATGTGGAATAAACCCCAATTAGTAGTATTGCAGAAGAGGGGGAAATGGTGGATAGGAGGCAGGACTAACTTGCAACTCCCGGTAAGTCAGACAGAGCAGTGTATAGAGACCCACATCATGAACTTTTGCTCCAAAAACTACCACAGGAACATACCAGGAAAACCAAGAGAATCCGCAGACCCTTTGAAGGAGGTGGATTGCCACTGCAGTCTTCATGGAACAGCCAAGGAACTGTGAGTTTGCTTGTTTTCTTTCTTCTTTTTTATTTTTATTGTACTTTAAGTTCTAGGGTACATGTGCACAACGTGCAGGTTTGTTACATATGTATACATGTGCCATGTTGGTGTGCTGCACCCATTAACTCCTCATTTAACCTTAGGTATATCTCCTAATGCTATTCCCTCTCCCCTCCCCCCACCGCACGACAGGCCCCAGTGTGTGATGTTCCCCTTCCTGTGTCCAAGTGTTCTTATTGTTCTATTCCCATCTATGAGTGAGAACATATGGTGTTTGGTTTTTTGTCCCTGAGATAGTTTGCTGAGAATGATGGTTTCCAGCTTCATCCATGTCCGTACAAAGGATATGAACTCATCATTTTTTATGGCTGCATAGTATTCCATGGTGTATATGTGCCACATTTTCTTAATCCAATCTATCATTGTTGGACATTTGGCTGGGTTCCAAGTCTTTGCTATTGTGAATAGTGCCACAATAAACACATGTGTGCATGTGTCTTTATAGCAGCATGATTTATAATCTTTTGGGTATATACCCAGTAATGGGATGGCTGGGTCAAATGGTATTTCTAGTTCTAGATCCTTGAGGAATTGCCACACTGTCTTCCACAATGGTTGAACTAGTTTACACTCCCACCAACAGTGTAAAAGTGTTCCTATTTCTCCACATCCTCTACAGTACCTATTATTTCCTGACTTTTTAATGATTGTCATTCTAACTGGTGTGAGATGGTATCTCGTTGTGGTTTTGATTTACATTTCTCTGACTGTCAGTGATGATGAGCATTTTTTCATGTGTTTTTTGGCTGCATAAATGTCTTCTTTTGAGAAGTGTCTGTTCATATCCTTCGCCCACTTTTTGATGGGGTTGTTTGATTTTTTCTTGTAAATTTGTTTGAGTACTTTGTAGATTCTTGATATTAGCCCTTTGTCAGAGAAGAAAATTGCAAAAATTTTCTCCCATTCTGTAGGTTGCCTGTTCACTCTGATGGTAGTTTCTTTTGCTGTGCAGAAGCTCTTTAGTTTAATTAGATCCCATTTCTCAATTTTGGCTTTTGTTGCCATTGCTTTTGGTGTTTTAGACATGAAGTCCTTGCCCATGCCTATGTCCTGAATGGTATTGCCTAAGTTTTTTTCTAGGGTTTTTATGGTTTTAGGTCTAACATTTAAGCCTTTAATCCATCTTGAATTAATTTTTGTATAAGGTATAAGGAAGGGATCCAGTTTCAGCTTTCTACATATGGCTAGCCAGTTTTCCCAGCACCTTTATTAAAAAGGGAATCCTTTCCCCATTTCTTGTTTTTGTCAGGTTTGTAAAAGATCAGATGGTTGTAGATGTGTGGTATTATTTCTGAGGGCTCTGTTCTGTTCAATTGATCTATATCTCTGTTTTGGTACCAGTACCATGCTGTTCTGGTCATTGTAGCCTTGTAGTATAGTTTGAAGTCAGGTAGCGTGATGCCTCCATCTTTCCTCATTTGGCTTAGGATTGTCTTGGCAGTGTGGGCTCTTCTTTGTTTCCATATGAACTTTAAAGTAGTTTTTTCCAATTCTGTGAAGAAAGTAATTGGTAGCTTGATGGGGATGGCATTAAATCTACAAATTGTTTTCTTAGCTGGGCAGCCTGTAACCTGGGGCAAGTTCTCAGCCCTGCTGACTGGCTGCATGAAAATAAAGAGTGCTGTTGTGAAGGGCATGGTGAGAGTGAGACTGGGCCTTCAGGCTGTGGGCTGCATGGGAGCTGGGTGAGGCAGGTGGCTGCTGGATTCCCCAATTTCCCTGGCAACCTGTGTGACACAGCAGAAGCAGCCACAATCCCCCTGGGAACATAACTCCATTTGGCTGGGAACCACAACCCCATCCCCCACAGCAGCTACAGCAAGCCCTGCCCAAGGAGAGTCTGAGCTCAGACAGGTCTAACCCCACCCCCACTTGATGGTCTTTCTCTACCTGCCCTGGTAGCTAAAGACAAAGGACATAATCTCTTGGGAGATCTATGGCCCTGCCCACTGCCTGATCCTTCCTATGCTACCACAGATGATGTACTCTTGAAAACGCCACCTCCTGGCTGGAGGCCAACCGTCACAAAACCATAACACCTAACATAAACACAACCAAGGACCATCACAGAGTCCACTTTGCTCCCCTACTACCTCCACCAGAGCAGGTGCTGGTATGCATGACCGAGACCTGAAGATGAATCACATCACAGGACTCTGAAGACACTCCCCAGTACCAGCCCAGAACCTGGTAGTTCTGGCTAAATCCAGAAGAGAAGAAAATCACTGCAGTTCAGCTCTCAGGAAGCCCTAACCCTAGGGGAAGGGGAAAGCACCACATCAAGGGATTGCCTCATGGGGCAAAAGAACCAGAACAGAAGCTCTTGAGTCCCTGATCTTCCCTCTGACATAATTTACCCAAATGGCAAGGAATCAGATAAACAGTTCTGGTAATAAGACAAAACAACATTCTTTAACACTCCAAAAATATCACACTAGCTCATCAGGAATAGAACCAAACCAAAAACAAATATCTGAATTGCCAGAAACAGGACTCACTGATCAAGGATGCACTACAGAAAGGTGAAGTCCCAACCTAAATAAATTTTTAAAAATCAAGATATAAATGGAAAAAAGTCTAGTGAAATAGCATAAATAAAAAACAATCACAACTTCTGGAAATGAAGGACACACTTAGAGAATTGCAAATGCACTGGAAAATCTCAGCAACAGAATCAAACAAGTAGAAGAAAGAATGACAGAGCTTGCAGACAAGGCTTTTGAGTTAACCCAATCCAACAAAGAGAAAAAAAAGATTAAAAAAAATGAGCAAAGCCTCCAAGATGTTTGGGATTATGTTAAACAACAAAACCTAAAAATAATTGGCATTGCTGAGGAAGAAGAGTAATCTAAAAGTTTGGAAATTATATTTGAGGGAATAATCAAGAAAAACATCCATGGCCTTGCTAGAGATCTAGACATCCAAATACAAGAAGCTCAAAGAACACCTGGGAAATTCATTGCAAAATATCATCACCTAGGTGCATAGTCATCAGGTTATCTAAAGTCAAGATGAAGGAAATAATCTTAAGGGTTGTAAGGCAAAATCATCAGGTAACCTATAAAGGAAAACCTATCAGATTAAACAGCAGATTCCTCAGCAGAAACTCTACAGGCTAGAAGGGATTGGGATCCTATTTTTAGCCTCCTTAAAGAAAACAATTATTAGCAAATAATTTTGTATGCAGCAAAACTAAGCTCCATAAATGAAGGAAAGTTAGCCATTTTCAGTCAAATGCTGAGAGAATTTGCCACTACCAAGCCAGCACTACAAGAACTGTTAGAAGCAGCTCTAAATTTTGAAACAAATTTGTGAAATACATTAAAATATAAGCTCTTTAAAGCATAAATCTCACAGGGCCTATAAAACAACAACTCAATGAAAAAAGCCAAGATATTCAGGCAATAAATAGCACAATTAACGGAATCATAGCTAACATCTCAATACTGACATTGAATGTAAATGGCCTAAATTCTCCACTTAAAAGCTACAAAATGGCAGAATGAATAAGCAGTCACCAACCAAGGATCTGCTGTCTTCCAGAGACTCATCAGACACACAAGAACTTATATACACTTAAGGTAAAGGGGTGGAAAAATATATTCCATGCAAATAGACACTAAAAAAGGGCAGGAGTGGTTATTCTTACATCAGACAAAGAGAGACATAATATAATGATAAAAGGAGTAGTCCAACAGGAAATATTGCAATTCTAAATATATATCCACCTAACACTGGAGAACTCAAATTAATAAAACAATTACTACTAGACCTAAGAAATGTGATAGACAGCAACACAGTAATAGTGGGGGACTTTAATACTCCACTGACAGCACTAGACAGGTCATCAAGACAGGAAGTAAATAAAGAAACAATACACTTAAACTGTACCCTGGAATAAATGAACTTAACAGATATTTACAGAACATTATATCCAACAACTGCAGAATATGCATTCTATTCATTAGCACATGGAACATTCTCCAAGACAGACCATATGTTAGACCATGAAACAAGTCTCAACAAACTTAGGAAAATTGAAATTATAGCAAGTATTCTCTCAGACCACCTTAGTATAAAACAGGAAATCAACTCCAAAAGGAACCCTCAAAACCATGCAAATACATGGAAATTAAATAACACACTCCTGAATGATCATTGGGTCAACAATAAAATCAAGACAGAAATTAAAAATTCTTTGAACTGAACAATAATAGTGGCACAGCCTATCAAAACCTCTGGAACACAGCAAATGCAGTGCTAAAAGGAAAGTTTATAACTTTAAATGCCTACAACAAAAAGTCTGAAAAATCACAAATAGACAATCTAAGGTCACACCTCAAGGAGCTAGAGAAACAAGAACAAACCAAACCCAAACCCAAACCCAGCAGAAAAAAAGAGGTAACCAAAATCAGAGCAGAACTAAATAAAATTTAAACAAACGAACAGAAAATACAAAAGACAAATGAAACAGAAGCTGGTTCTTTGAAAAGATAAAATTGATAGACCATTAGCTATATTAACCAAGAAAAGAAGAGAGAATCCAAATAAGTTTCATTAGAAACAAAATGGGTGATATTAAAACTGATACCACAGAAATAGAAAAGATCATTCAAGGCTACTATGAACACTTTTATGTGCATAAACTAGAAAATCTAGAGGAGATGAATAGGTTCTGGAAATACACAACCCTCCTAGTTTAAATCAGAAAGAAATAGAAACTCTGAACAGACCAATAAGAAGCAGTGAGATTGAAATGGTAATTAAAAAGTTACCAATACAAAAAAGCCCAGGAGCAGATGGTTTCACAGCTGAATTCTACCAGAATTCAAAGAAGAATTGGTACCAATCCTATTGACACTATTCCAAAAGATAAAGAGGGAATCCTCCATAAATCATTCTATGTAGCCAGTATCATCCTACTACCAAAACCAGGAAAGGACACAGCAAAAAAAGGAGAACTACATATCAATATCCTTGATGAATATAGATGCAAAAAACCTCAACAAAACAATGCCTAACAGAAGCCAACAGCACATCGAAAAGATAATCCTCCATGATCAAGTGGGTTTCATACCAGGGATGCAGAAATGGTTTAACAAATGCAAGTCAAAATTGTGATACACCACATAAACAGAATTAAACACAAAAATTACATGATCAACTCAATAGATGCAGAAAAAGCACTTGACAAAAATCCAGCATTCTATTATGATTAAAACCCTCAGCAAAATTGACATAGAAGGGACACACCTTAATGTAATAAAAGCCATCTATTACAAACCGACAGCCAACATTGTAATGAACCGGGGAAAGTTGAAAGCATTCCTCCTGCGAACTGGAAAGAGACAAGGGTGCTGCTATGGTTAATACTGAGTGTCAACTTGATTGGATTGAATCATACAAAGTATTGATCCTGGGTGTATCTGTGAGAGTGTTGCTAAAGGAGATTAACATTTGAGTAAGTGGGTTGGGAAAGGCAGACCCACCTTTAATCTGAGTGGGCACAATCTAATCAGCTGCCAGCATGGCTAGAATATAAGCAGGCAGAAAAATGTGAAAAAGAGAGACTGGCCTAACCTTCCACCCTACATCTTTCTCCCATTCTGAATGCTTCCTGCCCTCGAACATCGAACTCCAAGTTCTTCAGTTTTGGAACTTGGACTGGCTCTCCTTGCTTCTCAGCCTGCAGATAGCCTATTGTGGGACCTTGTGCTTACGTGAGTTAATACTTAATAAACTCCCCTTTATGTATGTATATCTATTCCATTAGTTCTGTCTGTCTGGAGAACCCCGACTAATATAGATTTTGGTACCAGGAGTGGTTCTAGAGGAACAGAATATTAAGGATGGAGTTCTTTCATTGGTTTTGGGGTTTCTGGAGTTGGCTGCTTAATATGATTACACCTAAAAATGCTAAGGACTCTACTTCTAATAGTATGGAGAACACCGATAGTCCTTGGATTGAACTGTTTAGAGATTTATGAAAAAGAAATGCATTTGACACTCCTGATTTACCGCTCATGAGAGGCAAGGAGTTTAGTGACTCTATAAATAATACCTTTGACAATATGTGGAGAACCAAGGAATATAATGAAGCTGGTTGGTTGGTCCTAAATTCAGTGGACAAAGTGGTGAAAGAAAATGGTGAACTCAGGGTTTCTATCTCCTGGTTTCAGAAGCAGATACTGAGCCACAAATCTGCTAAGACTGCCCTGAGTGAGAGTCTTATCTCCTGTAGAGAAAGAGCTGAAATTGTGGAAAAGCAGACACAAGCTCTTCTCATGTAAGTGGCAGACCTGCAATGAAAGGTGCATGCCAGGTGTCTATTGCTAAACTGAGGGCATTGATTGGAAAAGAATGGGACCTTGCAACTTGGAATGGGGACATGTGAAAGGACCCTGATGAAGCTAGGGACACTGAATTTGTAAATGCTAATGAACCTTTTTTTGCCCAGAGGAAACAGCTTCCCCATCTCCAGTAGTGGCTATACTCCCTCTCTGACCCATGCTGCCATCAGCTTTTCCACCTTTACCTGAAGAGATAAACCCTGTGCTCCCTGAAGCAGTAGTAATGACCTCCCATGAGGCAGTTGCCAGGCAAAATAATGTTGATTCTCCTCAGGTGTTACCCTCAACTCCCCTGTTTGCTTCTAGACCTATCAATAGACTGAAGTCCTGGCAGGCCCCTTGAGGTGAGGTTGAAAGTGTGACTCAAGAGGAGGTGCACTACACTCGAAAAGGGAGGCCACAGCAGGCGGATCATGAGGTCAAGAGATCGAGACCATCCTGGTCAACATGGTGAAACCCCATCCTTACTAAAAATTCAAAAATTTGCTGGGTGTGGTGACACACGCCTGTAGCCCCAGCTACTCGGGAGGATGAGGCAGGGGAATGGCTTGAACCCAGGATTGGGTGTTGCACTGAGCCAAGATCATGCCACTGCACTCCAGCCTGGTGACAGAGTGAGACTCTGTCAAAAAAAAAAAAAAAAAAAAGCTTGAATTTTCTAATTTATATAAACAGAAATCTGGAGAACAGGCATGGAAATAGATATTAAGGGTGTGGGATAATGGTGGAAGAAACAGAGTTGAATCAGGCTGAATGTATTGATTTGGGCCCACTAAGTAGGGAATCTGCATTTAATGTTGCAGCTCAGGGAGTTAAAAAGGGTTCTAATAGTTTATTTGCTTGGTTAACTGAAATATGGATTAAAAGATGGCCCACTGTAAGTGAGATGATCTTCCTTGTTTTAATGTAGAGGAAGAGATCCAAAGATTTAGGGAGATTGGGATGGTGGAATGGATTAGTCATTTTAGACCTACTCTTCCCAGCTGGGAGGGTCCAGAAGATATACCCTTGACTAATGTCTTGCAAAACAGATTTATGAGGGCAGCATCTGCATCTTTGAAGAGCCCTGTAATTGCTCTTCTCTGTATGTCAGATCTAACAGTAGGAACCGGAGTCACTCAACTACAAAATTTAAATACAATAAAAATAATTAGATTCTGAGGCGGCAGGGGCCAAGGGGTGGCCCCCAACCTTCAAAGGCAAGATGTGCATAGCTACTGTAATGGACAGAAGACACAAAGCAGTAATCAGAACATCTGACTCTTGTAGACCTCTGGCATTGGTTAAATAATCACAGTGTTCCTGGAAGTAAAATTGATAGGAAGCCTACTGCATTCCTACTTAATTTATACAAGCAGAGAACTTCCAGGTCAAATGGACAAAAGACTAATTTGAATTACAAAAACAGAGAATCATGGCCCCTCAATCAATTTCCAGACTTGAGCCAGTTTACAGACCCAGAACCCCTTGAACGAAGAGGAGGCTGAGTCCCCGGACTCATCCTGTGGTCATTTCCCCAGTGCCAGAATACACAATTGGCATAGACATACTTAGTAGCTGGCAGAAACCCCACATTGGCTTCTGGATTGGCAAGGTGAGGGTTATTATTGTGGAAAAAGCCAAATGTAATCCATTAGAGCTGCCTTTACCTAGAAAAATAGTAAGTCAAAAACAATATTGCATCCCTGGAGAGATTGTGGTGATTAGTGCCACCATCGAGGACTTGAAAGATACAGGGATGGTGATTCTCACCACGTCCCCACTCAACTCTCCCATTTGGCCTGTGCAGAAGACAGATGAATCTTGGAAAATGACAGTGGATTATTCTAAGCTTAGCCTAGTAGTGACACCAATTGCAGCTGCTGTACCAGATATGGTTTCATTGCTTGTGCAAATTAACACACCTCCTGGTGCCTGCTATGCAGCCATTGACTTGGCAAATGCCTTTTTCTCCATTCCTGTCCATAAGGCCCACCAGAAGCAATTTGCCTGTAGTTGGCAAGGTTAGCAATATACCTTTACAGTCCTACCTCAGGGGTATATCAACTGCCAGCCTTATGTTATAATCTTATTCAAAGAGACCTTGATCGCTTTTTGCTTCTGCAAGATACCACACTGGTCCATTACATTGATGACATTATGCTGATTGGATCCAGTGAGCAAGAATTAGCAAACACACAAGACTTATTGGTGAGACAATTGCATGCCAGAAGATGAGAAATAAATCCAACTAAAATTCAGGGACCTTCTACCTCAGTAAAATTCCCAGGGGTCCAGTGGTCTGGGGTCTGTCAAGATATGCCTTCTAAGGTGAAGGATAAGTTGCTGCATTTGGCCCTTCCTACAACCAGGAAAGAGGCACAATGCCTAGTGGGCCTATTTCGATATTGGAGGCAATACACTCCTCATTTGGGTGTGTTACTCCAGCCCATTTATTGAGTGACCTGAAAGGTTGCAAGTTTTGAATGGGGTCCAGAACAGGAGAAGGCTCTGCAATAGGTCCAGGCTGCTGTGCAAGCTGCTCTGCCACTTGGGCCATATGAACAGCAGATCCAATGGTGCTTGAGTTGTCATTGGTAGATAAGGATGCTGTTTGGAGTCTTTGGAAGGCCCCCATAGGTGAATCACAGTGGAGGCATCTAGGATTTCAGACCAAGGCCCTGCCATCTTCTGCAGGTAACCATTCTTCTTTTGAGAGACAGCTCTTGGCCTGTTACTAAGCATTGGTAGAAACTGAATGTTTGACTATAAGCCATGAAGTCACCATGTGACCTGAGCTTCCTATCATGAACTGGGCACTTTCTGACCAATCTAACCATAAAGTGGGTAGTGCACAGCAGCATTCCATCATCAAATGGAAGTGGCATATACATGATCAGGCTTCAGCAGGTCCTGAAGTCACAAGTAAGTTACATGAGGAAGTGGCTCAAATGCCCATCGTCTCCACTCCTGCCATCCTGCCTTCTCTCCCCCAACCTGCACTGATGGCCTAATGTGGAGTTCCCTATGATCAGTTGGCAGAGGAAGGGAAGACTAGGGCCTAGTTCATAGAGGGTTCTGCACCATATGCAGACACTGTCCAAAAGTTGACAGCTGCAGCACTACAGCCCCTTTCTAGGATATTCCTGAGGGACAGTGGTGAAGAGAAATCTTCCCAGTGGGCAGAACTTTGAACAGTGCACCTGGTCGTGCACTTTGCATGGAAGGAGAAATTTCCAGATGTGTTATTATATACTGATTCATGGACTGTAGCCAATGGTTGCACTGGATGTTTAGGGACTTCAAAGAAGCATGATTGGAAAATTGGAGACAAAGAAATTAGGGAAAGAGGAATATGGATGGACCTTCTCTTTGTCAAAAACTGTAAAGATATTAATATCTCATGTGAGTGCTCACCAATGGGTGACCTCAACGGAGGAGGATTTTAAGGATTTTAATAATCAAGTGGGTAGGATGACCCATTCTGTGGACCCCACTCAGCCTCCTTTCCCAGACACCCCTGCCATCACCCAATGGTCCAATGAACAAAGTGGACAAGGTGGCAGGGATGGAGGTTACACATAGGCTCAGCAACATGAATTCCACTCACCAAGGCTGACCTGGCTACTGCCACCGCTGAGTGTCCATTTTGCCAGCAGCAGAGAACAACACTGAGCCTTCAATATGGCACCATTCTTTGGGGTGATCTGCCAGCTGCCTGGTGGCAGGTTGATTATATTGAACCTCTTCCATCATGGAAAGGGCAGAGGCTTGTTCTCACTGGATTAGAAACTTACTTTGGATATGGACTTGCCTATCCTACCCGCAATGCTTCTGCCAATACTACCATCCATGGACTCACAGAATGCCTTATCCACTGTCATGGTAAACAACACAGCATTGCCTCTGACCAAGGCACTCACTTTATGGCTAAATAAGTGTGACAGTGGGCTCATGCTCATGGAATTCACTGGTCTTACCATGTTTCCTATCATCCTGAAGCAGCTGAATTGATAGAACGGTGGAATGGCCTTTTGAAGTCACAATTGCAACATCAACCAGGTGACAATACTTTGCAGGCCTGGGGCAAAGTTCTCCAGAATGTCATGTATGTTCTAAATCAGCATCCAATATGTAATACTGTTTCTCCTATACCCAGGATTCACGGGTCCAGGAATCAAAAGGTGGAAGTGGAAGTGACACCGCTTGCCAGCCCCCTAGTGATCCATTAGCAAAATTTTTGTTTCCTGTTCCTGCTACATTTCACTGTGCTGGCCTAGAGGTCTTAGTTCCAGAGGGAAGAATGATGCCACCAAGAGACACAACAATGATTCCATTGAGCTGGAAGTGAAGATTGCCACCTGGACACTTTGGGCTCCTCCTGCCTTTGAGTCAACAGGCTAAGAAAGGAGTTACAGTGTTGGCTAGGGTGATTGACCAGGACTACCAAAATGAAAACAGTCTACTACTCCACAATGGAGGTAAGGAAGAGTATGCATGGAATACAGGAGATCCATTAGGGCATCTCTTAGCATTACCATGCCCTGTGGTTAAGTTCAATGGGAAGCTACAAGAGCCCAATCCAGGCAGGACTACAAATGACCCAGACCCTTCAGGAATGAAGGTTTGGGTCACTCCACCAGGAAAAAAAGCACAACCTGCCGAGATGCTTGCTGAAGGTGAAGGGAATACAGAATGAGTAGTAGAAGATAGTAGTCATCAATACCAGCTATGATCATGTGACCACCTGCAGAAATAAGGACAGAAATTTTCATGAGTATTTCCTCCTTCTTTTGTAAAAAACATGTTTGTGCATGTACACACTTGTACTGAGAAAATATCTTCATTTCATTTCCTTTCTCTTTTATCATGTGACGTAAGATTTATTGATCTCACGTCAGCATTTAAGCATAGTTAACTTTATGTAATAGTATTTGGGTTGGGGGTTGGTGCCTTTCTGGTTGTGCAAAGGATAGTTGTATTATGTTAGGTGTAATTATTATCTCATTATTGTCTTTATTTGAATATTATGTCTCTACTAAAAAAATACAAAATACATAATACAAAAAATTAGCCGGGTGTAGTGATGGGCACCTGTAGTCCCAGCTACTCAGGAGGCTGAGACAGGAGAATGGTGTGAACCCAGGAGGCGGAGCTTGCAGTGAGCTGGGATTGCACCACTGCACTCCAGCCTGGGTAACAGAGTGAGACTCCATCTCAAAAAAAAAAAAAAAAAGAAGAAGAAGAAGATTATGTATGATCTCAGGAGGTACTTATGTGTTCACATTGACAAGGGGGGAACTTGCAATGGTTAATACTGAGTGTCAACTTGATAGGATTGAAGGATACAAAGTATTGATCTTGAATGTGTCTGTGAGGGTGTTGCTAAAGGAGATTAACATCTGTGTCAGTGGGCTGTGAAAGGCAAACCCACCCTTAACCTGGGTGGGCACAATCTAATCAGCTGCCAGTGTGGCTAGAATATAAGCAGGCAGAAAAATGGGAAAAAAGGAGACAGACCTACCTCCAAGCCTATATCTTTCTTCCATGCTGGATTCTTCCTGCCCTCGAACATCAAACTCCAAGTTCTTCAGTTTTGGAACTCAGACTGGCTCTCCTTGCTCCTCAGCCTACAGATGGCCTATTGTGAGACCTTGTGATAGTGTAAGGTAACACTTAATAAACCCATATATATATAATAGAACTGGAAATCCTAGCCAAAGCAATCAGATAAGAGGAAGAAATAAGGGGCATCCAAACAGGTAATGAGGAATTCAAGCTGTTGCTCTTTTCTGATGGCATGATCATATACCTAGAAAACCCTATAGACTCCTTCAAAAAGCTCCTAGAACTGGTAAATGGATTCAGCAAAATATTGGATACAAAATTAATGTAAACAAATCAGTGCCAAAAACCTAAAATACTTAGGAAGACAACCAAAAAAGTGAGAAATCTCTACAAGAAAAACTACAAAACACTGCTGAAAGAAATCATAGATGACATAAATGACTAGAAACACATTCCATGCTCATGGATTGGTTGAAACAATATTGTAAAAATGACCACACTGACAAAAGCAATCTACAAATTCAATGCAATTTCCATCAAAATACCACCATAATTTGTCACAGAACTAGAAAAAACAATGCTAAGGTTTACATGAAACTAAAAAAGAGCTCACGTAGCCAAAGCAAGATTAAGCAAAAAGAACAAATCTGGTGGCATTACATTACCCAACTTCAAGCTATACTATAAAGCCATAGTCACCAGAACAGCATGGTACTGGTATAAAAATAGGCATATAGACCAATGGAACAGAATAGAGAATGCAGAAATAAAGCCATATACTTACAGTCAACTGATCTTCAACAAAGCAAACAAAAACATAAAGTGAGGAAAGGACACCCTATTCATCAAATGGTGCTGGGGTAATTCGCAAGCTACATACAGATGAATAAAACTGGAACCTTGTCTCTCATCTTATACAAAAATCAACTCAAGATGGGTCACAAACTTAAGTCTAAGACACAAAACCATAAAAAATCTAGAATATAACATTGGAAAAATACTTCTAGACATTGGCTTATGCAAAGGCTTTATGACCTGGAACACAAAAGCAAATGCAACAAAAACAAAGATAAATAGGTAAGCCCTTAATTAAACTAAAAGCCTTCTGTCCAGTGAAAGAAATAATCAGCAGATTAAACAGACAACCCACAGAGTGGAAGACAATCTTTGCAGTCTATATGTCAAACAAAGGACTAATACCCAGCATCTACAAGGAACTCAAACAAATCAGCAAGCAAGAAAGAAAAAAATCCCATCAAAAAGTGGGCTAAGGACATGAATATACAATTCTCAAAGAAGATACACAAATGGCAAAAAAACCACAATGCAATACAACCACACTCCTGCAAGAATGACCATAATAAAAAAATAATAGATGTTGGTGTAGATGCAGTGAAAAGAAAACACTTTTACACTGTTGGTGGGAATGTAAACTAGTACAACCACTATGAAAAACAGTGTGGAGATTCTTTAAAGAACTAAAAGTAGATGTATCATTTGATCCAGCAATCCCACTCCTGGGTATCTATCCAGAGGAAAATAAGTCATTATAACAAAAAGATATCTGCACACACATTTTTATAACAGGAGAATTCAAAATTTAAAAAACTTAGAACTAACCCAAAATGCCCATCAATCAATGAGTGGATAAAGAAAATGATGTGATATATATATGTATATATATATATATATATATATATATATATATGCATGCCTTGGAATACTACTCAGCCATGAAAAAGAATAAAATAATGGCAACCTGGATGGAATTGGAGATCATTGTTCTTATTGAAGTAACTCAGGGCTGTAAAAGCAAACATTGTTGTTCTCACTCATAAGTGGGAGCTAAGCCATGAGGATTCAAAAGCATAAGAATAATGCAATGGACTTTGGGGACTCAGGGGAAAGAGTGAGGGGGGTAAGGAATAAAAACTACACATTGAGTACATTGTGCAGTGCTCAGGAGAGGAGTGCACCAAACTCTTAGAAATTAACACTAAATAACTTATTCATGTAAGCAAACACCACCTGTTCCCCAAAAACCTATTGAAATTTTTTAAAAAGAAGCAGGAAAATAAATAAATAAATAAATAAATACATACATACATACATACATACATACATACATACATACATACATACTTGAAACCCCATTAGTCAGTGTGAACGTCTTTTATACATTGTTGGACTTATTTACTAATACTCTTTTGAGCATTATTGCATCTATGCTCATGAGAAATCTTGATCTGCAGTATTGTTTTTCTTGTAATGTTTTTGGTTTTGGTATTAGGTATTAGAGTAATGCTGATCTCATAGAATGAGGTAGAAAGTGGTTTATCCTGATTTCTGGACTTGATTGTAGAGAATTGGTATAATTTCTTACCTAAATGCTTTGCAGAATTTTCTAGTGAACCCATCTTGGAAGAGTTGCTTTCTTTTTTGGATTATTAAATCAATATTTTTAGTAGTCATTGACAAGTTTAGAAAATCAATTTTTTGCATAAGCTTTGTTTTTTGTGCCTTTCTTATTTTTTCATTTTATTCACGTTTTTATATTTATGGGTATTTAGTTTTTCAGTTGTCCTTTATTACTCTTTTTATGCCCTTAGAATCAGTAATGCTGATCTCTTATTTCTTAAATTTGTAGAGCTTCTTGCATGTGTAAATTAATGTATTTTATAGAATGAGGAAATATTAAAGAATTCAGAACATTTGGAGCTATAATTTCTTCAAAATTCTTTCTCTTCATTTATTTATTCTCCTTCTGCAACTCCCATAATGCATGTGCTCTTATGTTTGATGGTTGTATTAGTTTCCTAAAGCTGCCATAATTAGGTAGCAGAAACAGGGTGGCTTAAAACAACAGAAATTTATTCTCTCACAGTTATAGAGGCTGGAATCAGAAATCAAGGTATCAACAGAATTGATTTTTACTAGAGGCTCTGGGGGAGAATCTGTTTTTATGATTCTCTCCTAGCCTCTGGTGGTTGTCAGCAACCCTTTATGTCTCTTGACTTATAGACATATCACCCCAACCACCACGTCTATCTTTCCATGGCATTCTTCCTCATGTCTATCTTTTCTGCTTTATCTTCCTATAACAACACCAGTAATTGGATTGGGGCCCTTCCTAATTTCATGTTGATGTTATCTTAACTAATTATATCTACATAGGCTCTATTTCCAAAAAAGGTCAAATTCTAAGATTCTAGGTTAACACAAAGTTTTTTTGGGGGGTAGGCACTATTTAACCAGGAACAATGATGTTCCACAGGTCTTTAGGCACTGTTCATTTTCCTCTTTACCTCTCCTCAGACTAGATAATTTCAATTCATCTAGCTTCGATTTTGCTGATTATTTCTTCTCTCTTCTTAAATCCTCTGTTTATCTCCTCTAGTATAATTTTCATTTAAGCCATTGTACTTTCAGGTCTAGAATTTATGTTTGGTTCCTATTAATAATTTATGTATTTTAATTGATATTTTCTGTTTGTTGATACATTATTCTTATTTCCTTTATTTCTTTGTTCATGAATGCCTTTAGATCTTTGAGCATATGTAGCACAGTTGAGTTAAAGCAGTTTTCTGGGAAGGTGGAGTAAGTTAGAAAAATAGAAGCCTATACTATTTGTCCTCCTGCTGGAACAGCAAATTTTGACAACTATCTGCACACCAATGCACCATTACAAGAACAAAAAATTAGCTAGTAGCTCAGCCACAGTGGGGCAGAGCAATAAACAGGTTCTTGGGGACCCTGAGTCCAGGCCTAGGCTTTTGGACAGCATTTCTAGACCCGCCCTGGGCAAGAGGGGAGCCCACTATGCTGAAGAGTGAGTCCAAGACCTGGCAACATTCACCATGAGCTGACTGACCAGACCTTGGGCTTTAAGTCAATATTGGAAGTAGATGAGCAGAACCCCTTGTGGACCAGTGGTTGTAGTGGCAACATGGAGAGGCTCCTCTGCCTATGGAAAGGAAAAAGAAGAGTGGGAAGAACTTTGTATTGTTTGAGTGCTTATGGTGGCAACATGGAGAGGCTCCTCTGCCTATGGAAAGGAAAAAGAAGAATGGGAAGAACTTTGTATCGTTTGAGAGCTTAGCTGCAATGGACTATAATATTAGGTAAACTGCTAAGGTTTTTTGCTTCAATTTCTGGCTTCCAACAGCATCTCTATGCCCATCCATGGCATGGGGGAAATTGCTGCCCTGAAGGGAAGGGCCTTCAGCAAGACCCAGTGCTATTCTGGCTTCAGGTCTGACCCAGTGCAGTACCAGTGGTGGTGGCCACAGGGGTGCTTGCATAACCACACCTCTATTCCCAGGTGGCTCAGCAAAGACAGAGACACCCATTCATTTAGGAGAAAGTAAAAGAAAAGAACAAGAGTCTCTACCTGGTAATCCACAGAATTCTTCCAGATTTTATCCAAGACAACCAAGACAGTACCTCTACAAGCCTGCAAAAAAGACAGCATTATTATACTTGGGGCTCAAGTCCCTTTGAATACCTAAAAAGCCTTCCCAAGAAGGACAGGCACAAACAAGCCCAGACTGTAAAGACTACAATGAATACCTAACTCTTCAATGCCCAGACACTGACAAATATCTGCAAGCATCATCCCCTTCCAGTAAAACATGACCTTACCAATAA
This sequence comes from Homo sapiens, assembly GCF_000001405.40. Classification (NCBI taxonomy): domain Eukaryota; kingdom Metazoa; phylum Chordata; class Mammalia; order Primates; family Hominidae; genus Homo; species Homo sapiens. The sequence goes on along the minus strand of NC_000023.11, from coordinate 73,160,935 downwards.
AACTAAACAAGTTACCAGAGACCAATCCTGGAGAAACAAAGATATATAACCTTTCAGACAAAGAATTCAAAATAGTTGTTTTGAGGAAACCCAAGAAATTCAAGAAAACACAGAGAAGGTATTCAGAATGCCATCAGAAAAATATAACGAAGATTGAAATAATTAAGAGAATCAAGTAGAAATTATAGAGGTGAAACATGCAACTAATATGCTGAAGAATGTATCAGAGTCTCTTAATGGCAGAATTAAATAAGCAGGAGGAAGAATTAGTAAGCCTAAAAACAGGGTAAATGAAATCAGTCAGAGGAGACAAATTAAAAAAAAAACAACAATAATAAAACATGACTCCAAGAACTAGAAAATAGCCTCAGAATGGCAAATATAAGAGTTATTCGCTTTAAAGAGGAGGAAGAGAAAGAGATAGAGGTAGAAAGTTTATTCAAAGGGATAAAACCACATGACTTCCCAAACCTACAGAAAGATATTAACATTCAACTAAAAGAAGGTTACAGAACACCAAGGAGATTTATATCAAGAAAGACTGCTTCAAGACATTTAATAATCAAACTTCCAAAGGTCAAGGTTAAAGAAAGGATTATAAAAGTAGCAAAAGAAAAGAAACAGCTAGCATACAATGGATCTCCAATATATCTGGTAGGAGACCTTTCATTGGAAACCTTACAGGCCAGGAGAAAGTGGCATGATATATTTAAAGTGCTTAAACAAAAATACTTTTATCCTAAAAGAGTATATCCAGTAAAAATATCCTTCAAACATAAAGGAGAAATAAAGACTTTCCCATGTAAATAAAAGCTGAGGTATTTCAACGTCAGACCTGTCCTACCAGAAATACTAAAGAGAGTACCTCAAACAGAAAGAAAAGGATGTTAATGAGCAATAAGAAATCATCTGAAAGTACAAAATGTACAGGTAAGAATAAGCTCACAGAAAAAAAAAAACAGAATAGCATGACAATATAATGGGGGTGTATAAACTACTCTTATCTTAAGTAGAAAGACTAAATAATGAACCAACTAATAATAATCACAACTTTTTACAACATAATACAATAAAACATAAAGAGAAACAAGAAAACATTAAAAAGTGAGGGTATAATGTATAGTGTTTATTAGTTTTCTTTTTGCATGTTTGTTTGTTTATACAATCAGTGTTAAGTTGTCATCAGCTTAAAATAATGGGTTATAAAGTAGTATTTGCAAGCCTCATAGTAACCACAAATTGAAAAACATACAATGTGTTTTAAGCCATTTTTACATTGAGGCAGGAAAATGTGGTCTAGAGGCAGGGAACATAAGGCCAATTCACACTTCAGCTATAAGAGGAAATATCCTCTCCATAGGGCATATGCCATAAATGACTTTGTAACTTTGCTTCATCCTCTTCATTTACACAGGGCATACCCAAAGTAAACAATGGAATCCTCTAGGGGGTATTTAAACTCCCAAAAATTCTGTAATGGGGCCTTTGAGCCCCTAGGCTCAGACCTGCTCCCAAACTGTGGAGTGTACTTTCATTTTGAATAAATCCCTTCATCCCTTCCTTGCTTTGTTTGTGTGTTTTCTCCAATTCTTTGTTCAAGATGCCAAGAACCTGGACACCCTCCACCTTTAACATATTTTGGCAAGCCAGCCTGGAGGAAGAGGTAAGCCCAAAATTTGGGATTTATTCTTCTCCTTTCTTCTTTCCCTTTCTGCTCCAATACAAGGGAATCTCTTTCCCTCTCTGTTCCTTTCCAACCTGGGACCCTTGGTGAGCAGCGCCTAAACATAGAAGCAACTGCAGGTTTCTGGCCATGGCCACTGAAACTAAGGAGTTTCCATGTGGAGAAGCTTGACCACCACTGCTCGGTTAGCTTAAGGAACCTGAGTCTTTTTCATGGTTTTTTTCCTCTCTTTATTTTCAGTCTTTCAGTGGCTGTTTCCTAGTAGCTCCTTGGAAATTGAGGGCAATTGGCTGGGGTCACTTCCCAGTACTGCCTGAAGACCTAGGAATGAATGGTAATAATTGCCCTGTCCCAAAGGCAATTTATATCTTTTCCGAGCACTGTCCCTGATTCCTACATGCAGCGCAGCTCAGAGCAAACTCGCACATGTTTCAGGCAACTTAAACCTTTTCATGTGCTGAATTCTTCCCTTATTGTACTCAACTGGCTAAGGAACAAAAAGGCCCACCCAGCATCCAGTTCACATTACAGTTCATGGCTATTCTTATAAAGCCCATAGTATGCTCTGGAGGGGAAGACCTGCATGTGGTGCCCACCTAAGGCCAGAGACATTTGGAACTCGCTCCGTGGGTTCTGTGGACCCCAACCACTCCAAAGAGAACATTCTTGGCAGAGGTTCTGAGGTCTAGTATTAAGCACTCCTTAGAATTTTCTTTCACGGTTGCAATGCTTCTTAGACCCAACATTGTTTGAAATCTGGAGTTTAATGTTGAATGAGAAAGTGGAATGGCTTTGCATGTATCCTGGCTTTTGTGCTGTGGTTCTAAGCAGGGAGCCTGGTTAACGTGTGATGACCTCCTTTGGTACTGTTTGGCCCCAGGGCTCTTTGGAGTCTGGGGAGGTTTGGCCTTTAAAAATCAAACTGCCATGAAGACTGCTTTACACAAAATTTTGGTTCTCAGCCTCCACTGGATTATTTATTGGGGCAAAATAAAACCAGAAAGCTTATATTGCTATCTCATGGCTAAGGTTCCAAGCTATTGGATCTTCATTTATGTGTGTGTATACAGGTCTAGATGTGTTTATTTGCATGCACACTTATTGTTATATGTTGTGTCTACCAAATTGGCTTATAAGTAAAAGAGCTCTCATAAATTAAGTAAATAAGTCTAAGCAATTTTCAAGTTCATGTGACTTAAGGTATCACTTTACTAAACAAGCTAGCTTTAAAATTATCGGTGGAATAAAAATAGAAATGCCTTCAGAAGCTAATTGGAAACAAAAGAATGCAACCATTTGTCTCTCACCTGTGATCTGAAAGTTCCCAAGCCTCCTCACCTTGAGTTGTCCCACCTTTCCAGACCAAATCAATGTTTGTTTTACATAAGTTGATTGATGTCTCATGTCTCCTTTGTTAAAAGTAAAAAGTTAAGTACAGTGAATAGGATGAGTGTCTTAGGTAAACTGTTTGTGTAAATTAAAATCTTTGAGTTATTTTTAATGCTCATTTGATATCTGGGTCATTTCCAATTAAGAAAGAGTTATAATATGGAGAAATATGTCTCTAAAATTGTGGAATTGTTCTTGTCTATAAACGCCCATATCAAATAGTTCAACATTTCTTGCTTTTTGGGGTTTCACTAAAGTTTTAGGTTACTAATGATAAAATTCTAGTTAACATGTCATTCTGTAAACAAAATGTTCCAGAAAGTGTTATGTTATTCATGGAAAAAAGAATAATTTTGTTTAATTCAGAAGTTATCTAAAAGTTCAAATTATAGATTTGAAAAAGTTATTTATAAAACAATGTAGTAAGGTATCATTAAGTAGGGGAGAAAAATGTGGGAAAAGTTTAAATTATAAAATATTCTTTAAAACCTGATAAAAAATTGGAAATGTATGGCTAATTAACATTTTCATAGTTAAAGCTCATAGTCTTGATCAAAGTAAGAAGTATTGTAAAAATGCATCAGCAGTTTGGCAAGTCTCTTTTTAACATAGTTAAGCATGAACCTGGATTTCATGTGAAGCCAAATTTCACATACATGCTTGCATTGCTTCACACTATATTTACCATTTTGCATTTACCGTTTTGCTGGAGTGCTTATTGGTCATGTGCCTAAAGTGAATTTCTTAATTGCATAGGATGTATGATAATATCAGTGAGCTTAAGGATACTGAATTGTGTATCAGGAATAAAATATTCATTATGTAGGTTTTCTGGGTCCCTATCAAATACCGTAGCCTCCAGGTTAAATTGAGTGGAAAATTTAGGTTGGTTTCCTATTTATTTGTTTTTGCTTATAGTTTTTATTCATTTGATGTTTATTCTCCTCTGGCTTTTCTTGGGTATCCATATATATAAAACCATGATACTTTTTTAGTTTCTAGTGGAAGGCTTTTATTTGGTTCTGTAAATAGTTATTTTGTTTCCTATTCCTATATATTTCTACCAAGTCATCATTCATTTCATTTATCTGGAATTCCTAAGCTACCTTTGTTGGGCTGCAGGAATTAATGGAGCATACCAGCTTTTTATCCTTATAAATTAACTTTTTAGATTTTAGTTTTCCTGATAATTTAAGTGTGTTAAGTATACTTTCATAGATAGAATTTGAGTCGTATTTCCCTCTCTAATTTCTCCAAAATTTATAAAGTATTTGTGACTATTCTTAATTCACAGCAATGTGTTTGTTTGCATACAGTCAAGCAGGGTCACTAGGGCTGCTCAGGGAGAGAGAACCCAGAAACCTGGCATGCCATCAAAAGGGTAAGAATTTCTTACCAGTCAGTCTCTGGCCTCTTTCTCTTTGCAAACTGGTTAAATATAAAATAAAAGTCAATGTTTATCTACTCTGTAAAGTTTTAATTAATTGGTTCAATAATAATAAGAGCTTAAATCAAATATTTTGTCAGAAAACTAGAAAGTGTAATGCTTTTTAATTCACGTGACTTTAGCAATCTTTTGGAAATAAAAATAATTTTAAAGATTATTGGTAAAATACAATCGTCTTCATTATGTAAGCATGTGTTCTAAATTATGTTTAAATATTAAGTTTCCTAAATACTTTAAGGTCATAAACTGCTTATTTGGCTTTTGAAAAGTATTTAACTTGCCTGCTTTCCAGCTAGGTAAGGCCTGGGGACATCTGGAATTGGCCATGCTCTACCTATGTTGGAAATAGTCAAACCTTATCAGAACATAACCTACCAGGTTTTACCTTAAAGTTAAAATTGCTAAGAGTCTCAATTGTAACATGCAATTAAGACTACTAGAAACAGTTTTGCATGCAAGGTGTGTATAAACAGTAGAATGTGGGGTTTTTTTGGTAAAAGGTTTTTACTTCTTTAAAATTTCTTCATCATCATTTTGGCAATATAAATAATTTATGGTAACCTGGAATTCCAAAATCAAACTTCAGTTTCAAAATTGTCTTGTCTAATGCCTGGCTTTCTGAGTGGATCACAGGGCCCCTAAAAACTTCCAGAAAAAAGTTAAATGAATTATTTGACATGCGTAGGTATGTGGGATTGCCAAAATGATGTTCAATCTTCTTTAGGTTATATTTTTGTGAATAATACTAATATATATTTCAAAATTGTATGGGATTTATAGAATTTGAATATCTAAGTAAATGCTGCCAATCACAATTATAACTACTATGTTAAGTTATTGTAAACCACAGAAATAACCAAGTTTTCTTGTATAAAGTTACTAACCCAAGTAAAACAGAAAAATAATTAAATATCAAGAAAATACTTTTATATTAAACCAGCTAAAACTGAAATTGTTTAAAATAGTTTATAATCAATGTTTGATCCCATATTCCTGGGTAAACAATTTAAGCTCAGGTACATTGGGTCACCTCGTCACCTATTTAAACATTTTATAACGGGATTTCATTTCATTGTTATTTTCAATGCATGTTTTCTGGTTATGTGAAAGTTTTCCTATGCAAGAGGGCTGGTGTTATAACAGTAGATTATTATGCTACAGTGTATTTTCACCAAGTAAAGAAAGAAAGCTTTTTATGTCCTGAATCTTCTGGAAACACCAGAGAAATACTATCCTTGCCATCCACGCTACTACAAAACTTCAGGACCTTGAACTTTGGGTTCATAATCTCACAATTGAGAAGGGTCCCTCCATGCTCTTGAAGCTGTGGACCCATTGGAACCCTTAAGGTAAAACTAACCAGGGAAATTTCTCCCAAGAAGAGGATGGCATCATTGATATGAACAACTTTTCCCAAGTTCACAGATTAAGACTTCTACTATCATTAAACTCTTATTCTTCAATATTTTGTCTTACTTATGCCTCTATGAACAATAGAAGTGGAAAAGGGGTCCGTTATGTGCACTTATGGGGTATACTTTTATTTGTGAAGGAGTTCACAGCCAGCCTTATACATGGATAAACTTACACTTTGATAGATAAAATATGAAGGCCCAATGTAGGTAAGAAGATTTAATGGTACATGAATTGCCTCATAATCAGTCAAAAACAAAAGATTGGTTCACGCCTTCTAATCCACATCATAGATTAAAGAGAACATTGCCAGAAGGCCTTACTCTTCTAAAAGGGCATCATTTGTTAGGTCCTTTTTTATGATTTAAATTAAAAGATGCAATGATTAGAAATGTATCCCTTATGATAGGTTCTATAGCAAATTCTACTGTAAAGGCTACAATTACACAATAGACCCTAAGTTCTCTTGTGAAAGTTATGATAGAATTGGCTAAACAGAGAAGTGTCTGTGCAGCTGCTGGCACTTGTGGCCTATGGAGAAATACATCAAATGAAAATTATAGATATTCAGTGGTAGGGGATTGATGAAGAAATTGCCTAGTCAAGTGAGTAAACTCTTTATTTGGCTCATTCTTTGATTTATTTGATTTTAGGATGTTTGGTTTATGGGGATGTTGGATAAGAAGCACACTCCAAACTCTTGATATTATCCTCCCAATAGTCATATTTATAGTCTCCCTGGTACACTGTGTTTTCTCAAAGGTTTTAAATGCTTGCATGCAGCCATCTCTAGAAAGTCATGTCATCTCTCTTCAACTGGAATAACAGGAGTTGAAAGAAATGTGCAACCACGAAGACACCATAATCCATAAACGATGTGCTGAAACTGGAAACCCAAAATGATGGTAACAGAGTTGTGCTAAGGCCCTAAGTTTTGATTATCTCTCATCTAAGTGAGAACCTGACCAAAAAGGGGATTTTTTTAAACAAAATTATGGGAGGCCATTGTTTTGGACTAAGCCAATGCAATAGGTCCCAACAAACCAAACCAAACAAAAATGGAGTCACTTGTGCTAAGACTTTAAGAAAACACATAGATTCTAGAACAAACCAAGCTTTGTTTTCTCTCCTGCAAATCTCTGTAACAAACATTTCTGACAGCATAGGTGTACAACCCTGAAGTCCTCATTAAATATTTTAACCAAATTTATTTTTTCTCACCTAGAGACCATCAAGCTTCAGATATTTATGCAACAAAGGTTCCATCCAGTTCCAAGTGAAGACACCACCTCTGGCCACCAAGAAGTTACCCTGCTTCCACTAGATAAAGCAGGGTGAGTTCTGTGATCCCCAATAGGTAAGGACTACACCCCAGGCCAGCATGAGACAGCTACAGAAAAAATACCATCGATCCCTCTGCCTCTCATAAATATTTATGGGGATCACATCTTTCAGCGGGGAGATGAGGGAGGAAAATAGAGTCTGGAGGCAGGAAACATAAGGCCAATTCACACTTCAGCTATAACAGGACATATACACTCCATAGTCTGTACACCATAGATGACTTCATAACTTTACTTCATCCTCTCCATTTACATAGGGTGTACCTGAAGTAACCAAATGGACATCTAAAGTGAGCAGAAGTAGCTATTCTTATATCAGACAAAACAAACTTTAAAGCCACGGCAGTTAAAAATGCCAGAGAGGAACATTACATAATGATAAAAGGCCTCGTCCAACAGGAAAGTATCACACTCCCAAATATGCATGCATCTAACACTGGAGATCCCAAATTTATAAAACAATAATTACTAGACCTAAGAGATGACATAACAACACAATAATAGACGGGTACTTTAGTACTCCACTGACAGCACTAGACAGATCATCAAGACAGAAAGTCGACAAAGAAACAATGGACTTAAACTATACCCTAGAACAAATGGACTTGACAGATATTTACAGAACATTCTACCCAACAACCTCAGAATATATATTCTATTCATTACTGCATAAAACATTCTCCAAAGTAGACCATATTATAGGCCACAAAAAGTCTCAATAAATTTAAGAAAACTGAAATTATATCAACTACTCTTTTAGACCACAGTGAAATAAAATTGGAAATCAACTCCAAAAGGAACCTTCAAAACCATCCAAATACATGGAAATTAAATAGCCTGCCCCTGAATGATCATTGGGTCAACAACGAAATCAAGATGGGAATTAAAAAATTATTTGAACTGAACAACAATAGTGACACAACCTATCAAAACCTCTGGGATACAGCAAAGGTAATGCTAAGAGGAAAGTTCAAAGCCTTAAATGCCTATATCAAAAGGTCTGAAAGAGCACAAATAGACAATCTAAGGTCACACCTTAAAGAACAAGAGAAATAAGAATTAACCAAGCCCAAACCCAGCAGAAGAAAAGAAATAACCAACATTAGAGCATAAATAAATAAAATTGAAATGAAAAAACACAGAGGACAAATGAAACAAAAGCTGGTTCTTTGAAAAGATAAATAAAATTGATAGACCATTACTGAGATTAACCAAGAAAAGAAGAAGATCCAAATAAGCTCAATTAGAAATAAAATGAGGGATATTACAACCAACAAGACAGAAATACAAAATTTCATTCAAGGCTACTGTGAACAACATTATGTGCATAAACTAGAAAACCTAGGGGAGATGGATAAATTCCTAGAAACTTACAACCCACCTAGCTTAAACCAGGAAGAGTGAGAAACCATGAAGAGGTCAATAACAAGCAGTGAGATTGAAATGATAATGAAAAAAATTGCCAATGAAAAAGTCCAGGAAAAGATAAATTCACAGTTGAATTCTATCAGACATTCAAAGAAAAATTAGTACCAATGTTATTGACACTATTCCACAAGAGAAAGAGGGAATCCTCCCTAAATCATTCTATGAAGCCAGCATTACCCTAGTACCAAAACCAGAAAAGAACATAACAACAATAACAACAACAAAAAAAAAAACTACAGACCAATATCCCTGATGAACATAGATTGAAAAATTCTTAACAAGGTAATAGCTAACAGAATCCAACAGCATATCAACAAGATAATCCATCATGATCAAGGGAGTTTTATACCAGGGAGGCAGGGTTGGTTTAACATATGCAAGTCAATAAATGTGATGCACCACATAAACAGAATTAAAAACAAAAATGACATGATCATTTCAAAAGATGCAGAAAAAGCATTTGACAAAAATCCAGAATCCCTCTATGATTAAAACCCTCAGTAAAATCAGCATAGAAGGGACATATCTTAATGTAACAAGAGCCATCTATGACAAACTCACAGCCTACAAAATACTGAATGGGAAAAAGTTGAAAGCATTCCCTCTGAGAAGTGAAAGAAGGCAAGGATGCCCACTCTCACCACTTTTATTCAACATACTACTGGAAATTCTAGCTAGAAAAATCAGACAAGAGAAAGAAATAAAGGGCATCCAAATTGGTAAAAAGGAAGTCAAATGGTTGCTGTTTTCTGATTATTATGATTATATTCCTAGGAAACCCAAAAGACTCCTCCAAAAAGCTCCTCCTAGAACTGATGAAAGCATTCAGCAAAGCTTCAGGATACAAAATTAAGGTACACAAATCAGTAGCTCTGCTATATACCAACAGTGACCAAGCTGAGAATTAAATCAAGAACTCAACCCCTTTCACAATAGCAGCAATGAAGTAAAATACTTAGAAATATACCTAACCCAGGACGTGAAAGAACTCTACAAGGAAAACCACAAAACACTGCCAGAAGAAATCATAGAAGACACAAACAAATGGAAAAACATCCCATGCTCCTGGATGGGTAGAATCAATATTGTGAAAATGACCATACTGACAAAGGCAATCTACAAATTCAATGCAATTCCCATCAAAATACCACCATCATTCTTCACAGAACCAGAAGAGAAATCCTAAAATTCATATGGAACCACAAAAGACCCCACATAGCTAAAGCAAGACTAAGCAAAATGAACAAATATGAAGACATCACACTTCCTGACTTCAAACTATACTATAAGGCCATAGTTACCAAAACAGTATGGTACTGGTATAAAAATAGGCACATAGACCAATGGAACAGAATACAGAACTCAGAAATAAAGCCAAATACAGTGAACTGATCTTCGACAAAGAAAATAAAAATATAAATTGGGGAAAGGACACCCTATTCAACAAATAGTGCTGGGATAATTGGCAAGCCTCATGTAGAAGAATGAAACTGTATCCTCATCTCTCACCATATACAAAAATCAACTCAAGATTGATCAAATACTTAAATCTAAGACCTACAACCTTAAAGATTCTAGAAGATAACATCAGAAAAACCCTTCTAGACATTGGCTTAGGCAAAGACTTCATGACCAAGAGCCCAAAAGCAAGTGCAACAAAAACAATGATACATAGACGGGATTAAATGAAACTAAAAAGTTTTTTGCACAGCAAAAGAAACAGTCAGCAGAGTAAACAGACAACTCACAGAGTGATAGCAAATCTTTGCAATCTATACATCCAGCAAATAACTAATATATAAAATCTACAAGGAATTCAAACAAATTAGCAAGAAAAAAACAAACAATCCCATCAAAAAATGGGCTAAGGACATGAATAGACTATTCTCAAAAGAAGATATACAAATGGCCAACAAACATATGAAAGAATGCTCAATATCACTAATTATCAGGGAAATGCAAATCAAAACCACAATGTGATATTACCTTTCTCCTGCATGAATGACCATAATCAAAAAATTAAAAAAAAATAGCTGTTGGTGGGGATGTGGTGAAAAGGGAACACTTTTACACTGTTGATCGGAAAGTAAACTAGCACAAACCACTATGAAAAACGGTGTGGAGATTCCTTAAAGTACTAAAAGTAGAACTACCATCTGATCCAGCAATCCCACTGCTGGGTATCTACCCAAAAGAAAATAAGTCATTATATGAAAAAGCTACTTGCACATGCATGTTTATAGCTGCACAATTCGCAATTGCAAAAATACTGAACTAGCCCAAATGAGTGGATAAAGAAATTGTTAAATATATATATATATATATATATATATATATATATATATATATATACACACATACACACACACACACACACACACACCATGGACTACTGTTTAGCCATAAAATAGTGGCATTTCCAGCAATCTGAACGGAATTGATTGGAGACAATTATTCTACGTGAAGTAACTCAGGAATGGAAAACCAAACATTGTATGTTTTCACTCATAATTAGGTGCTAAGCTATGAGTATGCAAAGGCATAAGAATGATACAGTGGACTTTGGGGATGGGGGAAATGGTGGGAGGGGGTGAGGGATAAAAGACTACAAATTTGGTACAGTGTAAACTTCTCAGGTGATGGGTGCACCAAAATCTTGGAAATCACCACTAAAGAATTTTGATTACTCATGTAACCAGAAACCACATGTTCCTCAAAACCTATGGAAATAAAAAATAAAATAAAAATGCAATTGGCATACTGAATAATGCGTGAGCCATTTAACAGCAGAATGAATTGGATGGAAGTATTAGTGAGCTTGAAGACAGACTATTTGAAAATGCACAGTCAGAGATAAAAGAGAAAAGAATAAAAAACAGTGAAACAAATCTACAGAATCTAGAAAATAGGTTCTAAAGGGCAAATCTGAGAGTTATTGTCCTTAAAAAGCAGGTACGGAAAGAGATAAAGATTGAAAGCTTACTCAAAAGGATAATTACAGAGAAATTTCCAAACCTAGAGAAAGATATATATATCCAATTACAAGAAGATTATAGAACACCAAGCAGATTTAACCCAAGCATATTTAATAATTAAACTCTCAAACATCAACAGTAAAAAAGGGATCCTAAAATAAGCAAGAGAAAAGAAACAAATCACATACAATGACACTCCAATAAGTCTGGAAGCAGACTTTTCAGTGGAAAACTTACAGGCCAGGAGAGAGTGGCATGACATGTTTAATGCATCAAAGGAAAAAAACTTTTACCCTAGAAGAGTATTTTTGGTAAAAATATTCCTCAAACATGAAGGAGATATAAAGATTTTCCCAAAGAAAAGCTGAGAGATTTTAGCAACACCAGTCCTGTCCTATAATAAATGTTAAACAAACTACTTCAGTCAGAAAGAAAAGAACATTAATGAGCAATAAGAAATCATCTGAAGATACAAAGCTCACTTGTAGTAGTAAGTACACAGAAAAACAGAATATTAGAACACGTAATTGATGTGTAAACTACTCCTATCATAAATAGAAAGACTAAATGATAAACCAATAAAAAATAATAACAGCAGCAACCATTAAAGGCATACACAGAATAATAAGAAAGTTATTTAACTAAAAGTTAAAAAGTGGGGTACAAAGTTAAGGCATAGAGCCTTTATTGGTTAACTTTTTGCTTATTTGTTTATGCAAACAATATTAAGTAGTTATCAGGTTAATATAATGGAATATAGTATTTGCAAACTTCATGGTAACTTCAAGTCAAAAAACGTACAATAGATACACGCGCAAAAAATGAAAAGCAAAAAACTAAATTATATCACCAGAGAAAATCACCTTCACAAAAAGGAAGATAGGAAGAAAAGAAAGAAGGAAAAGAAGACCACAAAACAACCAGAAAACAAATAACAAAATGGCAGGAGTAAGACATTGCTTATCAATGATAACATCAAATGTAAATGGACTAAACTCTCCAATCAGATAACATAAACTGACTGAGTAGAGAAAACACAAGACCCATTGATTTGTTGCCCACAAGAAACACACTTTATCTATAAAGAAACTCATGGGCTGAAAATTTAAAAATGGAAATGATATTTCATGCCAATGGAAACCAGAAAAGAGCAGAATTTGCTATACTTATTTCAGACAAAATAGATTTCAAGACAAAAACTATAAGAAGAGCCAAAGAACGTCACTATATACTGATGAATGTGTAAATTCAGCAAGAGGATATAATAATTTTAAATATACATGCACCCAACACTGGATGGCCCAGATATATAATACAAACATTATTAGAACTACAGACAGACATAGGTCTAATACAATAATAGCTGGGGACATCAACACCTCACTTTCAGCATTGGATCGATCTTCCAGACAGAAAATCAACAAAGAAACATTAGGCTTAATCTGCACTATGGACCAAATAGGTCTAATAGATATTTTTACAGGACTTTTAATTTAATGGCTGCAGAATACAAATTTTTTTCTCAGCACATGGATAATTCTAAAAGATAGACCATATGGTAGGTAACAAAATGAGACTTAAAAATTTTAAACATTGAAATAATTTCAAGCATCTTCTCTAACCACAATGAAATAAAACTGGAAATTAATAACAAGAGGAGTTTTGGAAATTATTAAAATATGTGTAAATTAAACAATATGCTGCTTAATAACCAGTAGGTGAAGAAATTAATACAAAAATCTAAAAATTTATTGAAACAAATGATAATGAAAACACAACATACCAAAACCTTTGGGATACAGCAAAAGCAGTACTAAGAAAAAAGTTGATAGCTGTAAGTGCCTACATAAAAAAAGAGAAAAACTTCAAATAAACAATCTAACAATGCATCTTAAAGAACCAGAAAAACAAGAGGAAATCAAACCCAAAATTAGTGGAAGAAAAGAAATAATAAAGACCAGAGCAGAAATAAATAGAATCAAAGAAAACAATACAAAAGATCAAACTAACAAAAATTAATTTTTTGAAAAGTTAAACAAAATTGACAAACCTCTAGCCAGATAAAGAGAAAAAGAGAGAATATACAAATAAATACAAATAAATAAAATCAGAAATGAAAAAGGGGAAACTACACCTGATACTGCAGACATTCAAAGGATCACTAGAGGCTACTATGAGCAACTATATGCCAATAAGTTGGAAAAACTAGAAGAAATGGACAAATTCCTAGACACGTACAACCTACCAAGATTGAAATAGGAAGAAATCCAAAACCTGAATAGACAAATAACAAATAACAAGATTGAAGCCATAAATAAAAACTCTCCCAGCAAAGAAAAGCCCAAGACCTAGTGTATTCACTGAATTCTACCAAATATTTAAAGAAGAACTAATGCCAATCCTACTTAAATGATTCCAAGAAATAGAGGAGGAAAGAATACTCTCAAACTCATTCAATAAGGCCATATTACCTTGCTACCAATTCCAGACAAAAACACATCAAAAACACAAAACTACAGGACAATATCTCTGATGAATACTGACATGAAAATTCTTAACAAAATACTAGCAAATCAAATTGAACAAGACATTAGAAAGATCATTCTTCATGTCCAAGTGAGATTAATCCCTGGGATGCAAGGATGGTTTACCACATGCAAATCAACCAATCCAATACATCATATCAACAAAATGAAGGATAAAAACCATATGATCATTTCAATTGATACTGAAAAACCATTTGATGAAATTTAGCATCATTTGATGATAAAAACCCTCAAAAACTTGGGGAAAGAAGAAACATACCTCAACATAATAAAAACCATATACAACAGATCCATAGCTAGTATCATACTAAATGGGGAAAAACCAAAAGCATTTTCTCTAACATCTGGAGCACAACAAGGATGCCCACTTTTACCACTGTTATTCAACATAGTACTGGATGTCCTAGCTAGAGCAATCAGACAAAAGAAAAAATTGAAGGGCATCCAAATAGAATGGAAGAAGTCAAATTATCCTTGTTTGCAGATGATATTATCTTTTGTTTGGAAAATACTAAATACTCTACCAAAAAACTACTAGAACTGATAAACAAATTCAGTAAAATTGCATATACAAAATAAACATACAAAAATCAGTAGCATTTCTATATGCCAACAGTGAACAATCTGAAAAAGAAATTTAAAAAGTAATTCCATTTACAATAGCCACAAATAAAATTAAATATCTAGGTATTAACCAAAGAAGAGAAAGATCTCTATAATGAAAACTATAAAATACTGATGAAAGAATTAAAGAGGACACCAAAAAATGGAAAAGTATTCCATGTGCATAAATTGGAAGAATAAATATTGGTAAAATGTCCATACTACCCAAGGAAATCTGCACATTCAATGCAATCCCTATCAAAATGTCAATGATACTCTTCACAGAAATAGAAAAAATTATAAAATTCATATGAAACAAGAAAAGACCCACAATAACCATGACTCTGTCTTAAGCAAAAAGAACAAAACTGAAGAAATCACATTACCTGACTTCAAATTATACTACAGAGCTATCGTAACCAAAACAGCATGGTACTGGCATATAAACAGATGCATAGACCAAAGGAAAAGAATAGAAAACCCAGAAAAAAATTCACACACTTACAGTGAACTCATTTTTGATAGAGGTGCCAAGAGCATACACTGGGGAGAAGACAATCATTTCAATAAATGGTGCTGGGAAAACTGGATATCCATATGCAGAAGAATGAAACTAGACCCTCTTGCCATATACAAAAATCAAATAAAAATGGATTAAAGACTTAAATCTAATACTTCAAACTATAAAACTACTACAAGAAAACAATGGGGAAAATCTTCAGGACATTGGTCTGGGCAAAAATTCTTGTGTAATACACCAGAAGCACAGGCAACCAAAGCAAAAATGGACAAATTGGATCACATCAAGTTAGAAAGCTTTTGCACAGCAAAAGAAACAATTAACAATATGAAGGGAAAACCCACAGAATGGGAGAAAATATTTGCAAACCACCCATCTGACAAGGGATTAATAAGCAAAATATAAGCGAAGTTCAAAGAACTCTATACAAAAAATTGAATAATCCAATTGAAAAAATGTGCAAAAAATTTGAAAACATTTATCAAAAGAAGGCATACAAATGGCAAACAGGCACATGAAAAGGTGGCCAACGTCACTGGTCATCAGAGAAATGCAAATGAAAACTTCAATGTGATACCATCTCACTCCAGTTAAAATGGCTTATATGCAAAAGACAGGCAATAACAAATGCTGGTAAGAATGTGGTGAAAAGTGAACCCTCATACAAAGTTGGCAGGAATGTAAATTAGTACAATCACTCTGGAGAAAAGTTTGAAGGTTCCTCAAAAAGCTAAAAATAGAGCTACCATATGATCCAGCAATCCCACTGCTGGATATATACCCAAAAGAAGGGAATAAGTATATCAAATAAATATCTGCATTCCCATGTTTGTTGCAGCACTGTTCACAATTGCCAAGATTGCCAAGATTTCGAAGCCACCTAAGTGTCCATCAACAGATGAATAGATACAAAAAATGTGGTGCATATACACAATGGAGTACTATTCAGGCATAAAAAATGAGATCCAGTCATTTGCAACAACATGGGTGGAACTGGAGATCATTATGTTAAGCGAAATAAGCCAGGCACAGAAAGACAAGCATTGCACGTTCTCTTTTATTTGTGGGAACTAAAAATTAAAACCATTGAACCCATGGAGATACCGAGTAGATGGTTTGTTACTAGAGGCTGGAAAAGGTGGTGTGGGGGTGCAGGGGAAGTGAAGGTGGTAAATGGGTACAAAAATAGTCAGAAAGAATGAATAAGACCTAGTATTTGATAGCACAACAGGGTGCCTATAGTCAATACTAACTTAATTGTACATTTCAAAATAACTAAAATAGTGTAATTGGATTGTTTGTAATAACACAAAGAATAAATGCTTGAGGGGATAGATACTCCATTCTCCATGATGTGATTATTTCACATTGCATGCCTGTATCAAACATCTCATTTACCCCATAAATATATACATCTAAAATTAAAAAGTCAAATAAATAAAAATTTAAAAATTGTAAATATAGTTTATTACTCAGAGTTCCCCAGAGGAGAGGGTGTGCTATACCATAGTGAGCCACATTTGGGAAGCACTGAGGTCGGTCCCAGGGCAGGGGGAGAAGAAATACATGTGGGCAATAGCCTTTATTGTCATCTCCTCAAGAAGAACAGGAACACATGGCAGGGTATTTAGGCTTAGGATTTGAATAATTTCAGCAGACTGAGGCATAGAGTCTGCCCCCAGTTATTTGGTAACTGGCTCTGAGGTGATTAGGGCAGATATATAGCATCCCATAGTATGAGAGCCTGATAAAGGAGATAGTTGTTGATGTGAACTCTGGATTGGTTGGTTTGTATCTGAAAAGCACACATCTGGGAGAAGGTATCCTCCCAAGACAGGAGTGACGGGGATGGTGATGAGGAAGGCGGGAGGCCAAAGAAAGCGACTTGGGCATATTAATGGGTTGTCCAGAATATGAATGTAGGATAGATGTTAAAGCATCAAGTTTACGGAAACTAGGGAAATGGTTAATATACCAGGCACACACACACACACAAAAGAAAAAAGAAAAAAAGAAAAACTCTTGAGGCTCCAGGAGGGAGAAACATTTATGACCTTTGTTTTGCAAAACTACTACTAGGAGCTTTCTCCTTATTTCAGATAAAAATGTTACTTATTGTTTTAACACCTTGCTGGAAGTACTTTAAATTGAAACTGACTGTTGAGCTTCTCCCCACTCCATCCATACCCCTTAACATTAGCACTGTAAGACTTTCAGCTCAGTTTCAACTTACTGGACAGAGCTTTTTTTGTGCTTTGACTGACACCACTAGTCAAGAAACAAAAGATTAATTAAAACAAAAACTTGAGGAAACCACTGAGTTTCGAAGCTAGACCTTTAAGGTTAATGAAATTTGTTCTAACTGGCTATGTTCAGTACCTCTAAATGGCATGCATAAAACCAATACTGCAGATTGGTCACACTATGCTACTTAGGTTGCTACTGATAATAATTTTGTTGTAAAGCCACCTGGGCAAAGGGCTGATGGGCTGGACAGTAGAGATTCTAGTTAACAAAATAGGCCTAGGGCTGCTATATTTAGAAGGGCCTGTTTGCAAAGTTGGCCACTGGCTAGCCTCTGCAACCTTCTAAAACATTTTGTAACAGATAAAGGTGTTTTGCTGTGCCTCATGCTCTTCTCTGGTAATCTGTAATTTGGGTAGTTGCTAGGCAGAGAATGCCTAAGTGACTGCCACCAATAAAAGCTGTAGTCTCGAAGTCTCAAACTGACTGCCCTGGACAAAAATGTTACATATATGTTGCTGCAATTGTTTTTATCATGGAGGGATAGTGTATACTCTGTTACCTCTCAAGAGAGGTAAAGAGCATAGGAAGCCTGTACATAGATTCCTTTAGACACCACCTGTGTCTTTTTCCATGCCAATCCAGTTGCATAGCCTTCTCGTGTCACTGTAATGAATGTTAGCCATGAGTATAACTGTTAGCCATGAGTATGACTGTATGCTGAGTCTCATGAATACTTTTATCAAGTTTCTGAATGTGTAGGTAGTCTTGAGGAATCCCTTAACAGGCTTTAGTCTGCCAATTTATTAGTTATTTTCTGTCTTTTCATTGTTTCTTATTTCTCTCTTTTCCTTTTCCTGCCTTGTTGATGACATTTAACAATTTTAGAATTCCATTTTGATTTATCTTTAGGTTTTAAACATATCTCTTTACATATGTTATTTAGTGGTTTATCTAGATATTATAATATGCATACATAATATATCATAGTCTACTAGTATTATCATGTTTCCACTTAGATATATAGAAACCTTACTTCTGTTAGGTCCTTTTATCCTGTCCCTCATATTTTAAATATCTTGAGTATTTTCTGTACAGTCACTCAGCCTTATATTAGCAAAATATGATGTCATGTTTTTGCTTCAACCATCAAACATAATTTTTAAAACTCATGAGGTAAAGGATATTGTATTATATTTATCTCTATATTTACCCAATCCATTGTTATTTTCCTTCCTGAATTAGCATATGTATCCCTTCAGTTACTTTTTTTTCTGTTTAGACAACTTCATATAGCCATTATTTAAGTATAGATATGTGTGGAACAGCAATATTACCAAGAAATCACAGACATGATCAGACAGCCAAAGTGGATTCAGAACCCTGATGGATTTTATTTTATTTTATTTTTGAAGTTGCCCATAAACACAAGACCATACAGGAAAGCGGAGGGCATATTCTAGGCACAATGGCTGAACTAATTGGGTTCTAGAGCAGAAGTTCATATAAGGGAATTGAAGGACCAAATAAAAGAGTTTTTTAGTCATCCTGAAGGGCAGATGAAGCCCCAGAGATTTTTTGAGATGAGAGTGATATAACAAAATGCATTTTACTCAAAGGATCTGGCTTGTGTCAGTGCATGGAGCATAAGAGGTAGAGGGGACTGGAATCAGAAAAACATTTGAAAGCTACCATAGGATTGCAGGAAAAAAGTACCAGAGGAACTAAGCCTTCAAAGTGGTCTGGAAATCCAGCTAATGATTTCTGCTGGCTATCCTATATACATAAGACATAATGCTACAGTAGAAGCTCACTGATTCTCTCTCTGCATTTTGAACCAAAGATCTAAGAAAGCAATATATTGCAACTGGAGCCTACCCAAATCACCTTGCTTACCAAGGACATTTGTATCAAAATACCTGCTATCTGATAGGAAGTGGCCAAAGAAGAAAGCTTTCTGTAATGTGAATGTATCTACAAAATATTTTGGTCTGGAGGTATTTTTTCATGATGGATGACAATGGAGAGATGAGTGGAGAGGTAAAGGGGAGAAAGAGCACATGACTGAATGAAACAATGTAACTGAGTCTTGATAGTGACAGCACATTATAACTCACTTACTTGCTTATTTTACCCACTATCAATTCCTGATTCTTGAGGTTGACTCTTTTGGGAAGAAGAGATTCATATTGTTCCTCCAAACTTTGTGCAGATAGTGCCTACCATGGAGGTATGATCCAAGTAACGATCTTTGTTAAAGAAGTCTGTGTTAGACAGATTCAATGCTATGGATATTTTGAGATATGACTGAGAGCATGTGATGTCATTCATATTCATCATCAGCTTTAAGCTTATCATAAACCACAATTGTGAAGAAACAAGCAAATGCCAGTCTTTTTGCTCACTGGAGAAAGACTTCAAAATCTACTTAATGGAACAGTTATTGAAGCGGATGTTACAGTCTAAAATGGCAAGTTCTAGTCCTCATCGAGGGGATGAGAGGATAAACTGGGCAAATCTATAAAGTAGACAATCTAATTATTCTTTATAAAGGCTTACCAACTTTACTAAAGTCTTTTAATATTGATCGATTCACTTTTGGATCCCCACAGTTTCACCTGAACAGGTTTAACACTGTTATTCTGTCTACGGGGTCCTTAACCTCAACCTGGGATCCACAAGTGGCCTTTGGGGAGTCTAGGAACTCCATAAAATTATACATAAAACTGTATGTGAGTAGCTTTTTAAGTGATGACCAGGTGGTGGTCCACATTTTAAACAGAATTTTCTTGAAGTCCATGATCTACAAAAGGCCAATAACTAATTTTATAGATTCAGTTTACCTTGGTTTACCTTACACACAGACCTTGAAGTTATTATATTTGAGTGTTAAGCCCCTCTTCCCTTGGGGATCTTCGTTAAATTCATATCATTGATATAAATGTGATAGGATACAAGTTTCTCTGGTAACAACACAGCTTTAGAAAATCTGACTGTAAGAAAAAAACTCATTCAACCTTTACAAGAATAAGCAGTCTTAGTCTTACCTAGTAGGCAGAATGTGTGTTAGTGTTTGTTAAAAGGGATGGGTTAAGGGGATCACAGGAACAGCTGTCTTCCTGTTTCTACTCCTGTGATTCAGTGTCTTAGTGAGACATGGTTATTGATGGGAGTGCTATATCTTCCAGGAATGTGCTGGCAGTAGGATTTCAGATCACTTGGCATATAATCTATGTAATCACTTCTGGCCATGTCAAGTGTTTAAAATATGTTATCCTTCTGCCCAAGGATTCAGTGAATTAAAATTTAACATGAATGCCTGCAAGAGCTCTTCCTGTGTTGGTAACTGGAGTGTCTTTTTGGTATTTCTTTTATCAAATTGCTCTCCATTCATTATATATGCCTCTAAAATATGGAAATTTAAAAAGGACTTTATTCCTAGAAAAGGGAGGATTCCTTTGCACTAGGGTACTCAGTGGTTTCACTTTAATAGTTGGTGGATCTTATTTTTGGTTTTATGTGAGATAAAGTATCTCTGTGTTTTCCAATGAGTTCTTCTTAATCATGATCCAGGATGTAAAACAGTCTCCTTCACCTACACATTATAATGTCATCCATGATAGAAATTATCTGAATGTTTAAACTTTGCCCTATGTGTTCTAACTGACCGGTAAGTGGTTTTCTATATTGGTGTGTATTCAAGTCAGTAACATCTATTGCACAAAGATGACTTTCTGTCTTTTAAAGTTTTGAATTTATATACCAATAGAAAGTAAAATCTAATAAAACTAGAAAGTAATGAAAAAGTTTTAATTTTCACATTGCATTAAAAGATATCATTAGTATTCATTCTAATTTATTGTTCATATGCCTATTAACTGGATTTGCTCCTAGACCAGGATATTCAGAGAACTTCTTTATTTACTAGAGAAAGAAAAATATAGTTCTTTAAAGATGTCAATGCCTCCCAGCCCAAGGCCACCAGGAACACACCTGCAGTTGAACAAGTTGGGTTTCCTACTTGTTGCAGCAAGGAAGAATGCACAACAAGAGGTATCATGAAGCATTTCAGTAAGTGGGTAACACAGTAAGGTTAAGACTACCTAGCCTTACAAAAGTTCGCTTGCAAAGTTGGACTGTGGTTGCATTCTGGGAACTTGGTTGGTATTCAGTTTTCTATACTGATAGAATTTACATGATAAGTGTGGCTCACTCTGTGTAGGCTGTTTGTATAAACAGTGTGGTATATGCTAAACATCTACTTTCCTTCTAGGCATGTGGAACTTGCTACATACTAGGCAGATGGTGCCTATTGGACTAACGTCCCCTGATAAAAAACCATAAACTTTGGACATTAGTCTCTAATGAGTTTTCCTGGTGGACAACATTTTGCAGGTCTTGTCACAACTCTTTCCTAATAAGTTCATTCTATGTAAGTCCATCCTATGAACTTATTATGTTCATTCTATTTACTTGTTCATATGCCTATAAACTGGATTTGCAAGTTCATTCTATGAACTTACTATGTCACAACTCTTTCCTAGTAAGTTAATCCATGTAAGTAAGTACATCCTATGCTACTCCACTGGGAGAAGACTATTAAAAGTCAATCCCTTGTTTCTTCCAGACTTCTCCTATGTGCCTACTACCTTTGCTGATTTGCTTTGTATCTGTTCGCTGTAATAAATTTTTGCCATGACTACACGCTTAGTCCTATGACTCACTCTGGTGAATCACTAATCCTGGTAGTGGTCTTGGGGATTCCTGACACAATTGGATTTAAAAGTAAGATTCAGTAGAATGACTCTGATTCATTGTAATATGGCAGAAGCATTGTTTGTGAAAGGAAAGATGAAGGAGCAGTGGATGACAACTGATATGGTTTGCATATGTGTACCACTCAAATCTCATGTTGAAATGTGGTTCCCAGTGTTGGAGGTGTGACCTGGTGAGAGGTGCCTGGGTCATGGGGGCAGATCCCTTATGACTTGGTGCTGTCATTTAGCTAGCGAGTGAGTTCTTACAGGATCCGGTTGTTTAAAAAGCATGTGATACCTGCTCTCTCTCTTGCTCCTGCTATCATTATGTTAGATACCAGCTCCCCTTTCACCTTCTGCCATAATTGTAAGCTTCCTGAGGCCTTACCAGAAGCTGAGCTGATGCCAGCAGCATGCTTCCTGTACAGCTTACAGAGCTGTGAGCCAATTAAACTTTTCTTTATAAATTACCCAGTCTCAGGTATTTTTTTACAGCGATGCAAGAACAGACTAACACAACAACCTTTGATGCCTGGATGCCACAGAGTAATTCATGGTATAAAATATCAGCAGAGCTGCTGTCTGTTGTGAGAGTTAAAAGTTACCTGTGGAATTTTAAGATGGCATAGCCAAGCACAGCAGAGTTGGTTCCCTGGATCATTGGATGTTTTGGCTTTTCAGGCTAAAGTGAGAACATAAAAAGCAAACCCCATATGTCATCTTTGTTTTTTGTTTTCTCCTCTATGAGGTAAAAGAAAGGGCAGCACACACATTCCCAATGGGGAGCTTTGAATGGGCCATAAGTGTTTTAGTGTGTGTTCCTATCTCCTCTAAGTGGGAAGGAAGAAAGTTAAATCAGTGCTCAGGACTGGAGTAACACTTTAGATAAACCAGATGCATAAGAAAAAGTTTTTTAAAAGCCAGCCACAACTGCAGCATCCTCCAGCCACACTCCCTGCTCCACCTGGAATTCAACTTAGAACCTCTCAGAAACTGTGTTGTTTACCCTGTAAGTGCTGATTGATTGACAGGGGGTTGAGTAAATTTAAAATGAGTGAAAAAAGAAAAAGAATTAAAAATCAACTTTTGTTTTGTGGCTACTGTGTGTGGATATATAAATAAAAATTAACGTAAAATGTATATGCTTGTAATTTCATAAATGCTGAAGGAATCATCATGATCAGGGAAATATACAAAGAGCAAACATTAGTGAGACACAACTCCCTTGTTTTTGCCAGCCAGTGGGCAAACTGGAATTTAAACTTTTTAGTATTAGGAAGGAACCAAGTCTACGTAACTGATGATTTTTGGTATGATTATTGTCTATTAGAACCTCTAAAAAGAGAGACAGCGTTAGAAGATAGGCCATCCCAGATGGAAATACACTTCTGGAGTATTAATAATGGTTTTTAGTATGCTAATTGACCCTTGTTGAAATGAAATGTCTGACCTTTAGAGGCTGTTCATTTTTTTGTCCCAATGTGCATAATTTTTGAGGAGGCCAATTTGGACTCCAACACTGACAATATAAAAAAGTACTTAGGAAAGCCTTGCTTGTCACTTGAACTTGGAATACAGCTGTGTGATCTTGCAACATATCATCTTTGCTGATGCCTAGGAAAAAGCCTATTGCTTGGTTGGAATCCTGAAATTGCAAATGCTGATTGCCTGTACCTGACTGTAATGTGAATCCTGATACTGTTTGCTGTGAGCTGTTTCAGCCTCGGGAGTAACTATACTGAACTGAAATTGAATGAAATCGCTTCATTTAATAAACAGAACTCAGTCACAGAGATTGTTGCAGATTTAGTATGCTCCTCTATGAGATCATAGGCTATGAAAACATCCTGTATCTTTGTTGGACCATTGGGATTACATACAGCTGCCTGCAAAAAAAGGCTTATTCTCTAATGGGACCTTTTAAAATTGAACTGTTGAATGGCTCTTTATTTCTAACACGGAGACTAATTGCATCCTTAAATTGTAATTTCTAATGAAAGCCGCAAGTTTAGAGGAGGGCACAGCACAACACTGTGACTCCTGTACCTACTCATGACAGATTAGGCACTTGACTCCCTCTTGGAAATTGCTGGATGCTATTGACTTGCTGTGTTTGCCTCTCTGGATTAGTTGCACTTTGCAACAGCGGACTAAGCCTAAGTCTACTTCCTTTGCCTTTCTCCTGGTAGTTTGTACAGAAGTCCCTAGAAAGGCATTGTTTTTTCAGTGACTGTTCATTGGACAAATGATCAGGACAAAAGGGGTGCAGGTTATATAAACATGTTTTGAAAATTTTTTTATCAGAACATGGTCCAGTTAAGTCATGTAAAATTGTTTTTCTGTACAAATGTTTTGGTCCCTCTTGTATAAAACCCATCCAGATAAATGGTCTGGATGAGACAAAAAACAATTAGGAAAGATGTAAATTATGATTGCTGAATGAAGCACACTGACTTTGTAAAAACTGAGAAAAACAAAGAAAAACAAACCAGGCACCCATGGAGGCACAGGAGAAGGGAATTAGAGAGCTTTGTCAGAACTGCTTCTGGAAGCTTCCCCTCCTCCCCAGTAAAAGCATCAGTGTTATCTCCCAAGCTGCTGAGAATGCTTTGAATCCAAACTGACTGCTGAGCCTAAGATCTCACCTGACAGTGCTGACTATGAGACAAAAGGGAGTGGCCCCAAGTCCTGCTTTTTCTGTGAAGACCACCTCCAGATGATGTACACACACAAAACAGATGAACTGGTGTCACAGATGAGCAAAATTGTTTGGAACTGACTGCCTTGAGGCAGTCTGTCCAAAACCAAGGACTAAACTGAATTAATTGGACAAGACTGGGAATCAGTGGAAGGCCACTTTAGAGGCCCTGTTAACCTGTACATCTGACTAACTATGTCTTTCTTGGGATATCCTAACAACTGTGCACTCTTTTTCCATAGATACCACTTGTACCCTCTGGTATTGTACTTCCTGTGTGTGTGCTTTATCATCATGCTGCCTCAGCCCTGGAGAGCATTCAAGTCAGCTTCAACTTCCTGATCAGGGTTGTGCTTTGCTTAAATTGATGCCCCAATCTGTTAAAAAAAAAAAGTATAATACAGAAACCAAAGTAGGAAACCACCTGGCTTTCTAATATAGACCTCTATGGTTAATGGGATTTGTCTTAAACTGGTGAAATCCAAGATTTCTAAAGGGCATAAACTGAAATCAATACTGCAGGCTGGTATCTCCTGCTAAATGGGGTCTTACTGATAAAAATGCCTTGTCCAACAGCCAAGGGTATAGACTGTGCTGAAGAGCTTTAACATAGCAGGTCTGAGATTGATGTATGTTGAAAAGTTTGCTTGCAAGTTGGATCACTGGTTAGAATCTGGAAATTTGTCTGGTAACCAGTTTCCTACATTAATAGGATTCCTAATTGATACACATGGCTCACTGTGCCTCAATTGTTAGTAAAAGCATTGTGTTTTACTCTGAACACCAATTTTCCTTTTGAGAGTATAAAACTTTTTATGGGCTAGGCAGAGGGTACCTACATGGCTAGCCCCTAGTAAAAACCTTGGTCACTCAGTCTCAGATGAGCTTCCTTGTAGGCAACACCCAATAGGTGTTGGCGCAGCTCATTGCTGGAGAAGCTAAGTGTGTATAGTGGTGACACCTCTTAGGACTCTTGGAAGCTTGTACCTGGTGTCCTTTGTCCTTTGCCCCATGGGCCTTCTCCCTTTGCTGATTTTGCTTTGTGTCCTTTCACTAAAATAAATCTTAGCTGTCAGTATGACTGTATGCTGAGTCCTGTGATCAGTAGTGAATCTCTGAATTTAGGGGTTGTCTTAGACAACTCCATACAGTGGGTATTGAAAAGGATTTATTATGAAATTTGTGTTTGTATTAGGCAAATGGGGTGAGGATTTAAGCAAGCCTAGCTTGTTAGGAGGTGGGTATAATTCTATGATTGTCTTTTTAAATGTATTATCTAGAAATAAGGAAGATCAGAGTGAGGCTAACACTGTAGTTGGTAAAGTAACAGTAATTACTCATACTGGCCAGAATAAGGGAGTATTTGGTCATTTTTGTGCTCTGGACAATGTTCATGTGTTTTTCTATATTCAAACACAATTGCAGAGTAGCCCTTTTTGATCCATCACTGTAACAGAGTGGCCTTCTCTTAGGTTGGTGTTGTGAGATGGTTTATGTTAAACAGGAGAGCAACTGTTGAGTGCTAGGCTAGCTCTCCATATCAGTGGCTGCTTTTCTCTTACTCAAGACTATGATCTGTGGCAATTTTTCCTGTTGTTGGCTGAATTTTGAGAAATTTTCCTAGATGGCTTTTATAAATTTCACTGTCTAGATAAAGCATGAGGAGAAATTCAAGAGATTCAATGTTATTTCCAACATTGCTACTGATTCATCATGTGACTGAAGACATCATTTTCCAGATGAAGAAGCTGGAGAGGAGAATATGTTATAAGGATTTTATAATAAATTGTGGACTCATAATAAAAGTGTCAAGCCCCAAACAAAAAGACATTGATAAAACATGTTTTGAAAAAGATTAGATATGAGTTTAGAAATAAGTAATTTCTTTTTTTTGAATCAGGAATATAAGGTTTTATTTACAAGTAATTTTAAATTTTATTTAATTTTAATTGACAATTTAAAATTATATATATTTGTCATGTACAGCATGTTTTGAAATGTATATACATTGTGGGATGGCTAAATCAAGTTAATTAACGTGAATTGCCACATATCATTACTTTGTGGTGATGACACTTACAATCTGGAAATAAGTAATTTCTATCTGTAAGCACAAATATACTCTTTTATTCTCCAAAAGTTCATTTTGAGTTTAAATGATAGTAAAGCCATACAGGACAGGGACGTTATAACATAAAAATATAGCTAAAATTGTAGGTAGGATTTTATTTTCATTATTTAGTCCTATATGGTTAACAATAGGAACAACTATTAAATGTAATCTATGTAAGATGTAGGAATGTTGTGACTTTGTCTATGGAAACAAATGTCTGCTGGTTTACTTTTAGAGGATGTTATAGGGAGGATGGTGAGATAGTTGTTTTGGGTGGTGAAGTGGTATAAGTATACTGGGGATTTAAAAGCCCAGTGAAACCTCTTGACCTCTATGCATAAAGAAGTGAAACCCACCGCCTCATTTATTTGCTACTTCTTTCATTCTCTTATACAGATTCCAAGGGTACTATTTATGTATCAGCTATGCTGTCATCAGAAGACAATCTAGTCAATTCATTAGAGATTTTGTTTTTCGGAAAGCCCATGGATTATTCTCTAAATTTAATATGTTGAAATAGACCTATGGGATTTAAGTTGCTCTGTGTTTGGAAGATCTACTTCCGTGTAGATCTGAACTGTGTGTCTAAATAAATAAATACATAAAATCTGCCAGAAAGTATACATACAATACTTTTGTCATTGCTCTAATTTAACATAAGTTAGAGGGTCAAACTGGTTTTCTGATTTGATTCCATCATTTTAGAATTAGAATTATTATGAGGCTGTATTATTGTCAGTTATTTAAAGTTCTGCCATATTTATTTTTTTATTATACTTTAAGTTTTAGGATACATGTGCACAACATGCAGGTTAGTTACATATGTATACATGTGCCATGTTGGTGTGCTGCACCCATTAAGTCGTCATTTAACATTAGGTATGTCTCCTAATGCTATCCCTCCCCCCTCCCCCCACCCCACAACAGTCCCCGGTGTGTGATGTTCCCCTTCCTGTGTCCATGTGTTCTCATTGTTCAATTCCCACCTATGAGTGAGAACATGCGGTGTTTGGTTTTTTGTCCTTGCGACAGTTTGCTGAGAATGATGGTTTCCAGCTTCATCCATGTCCCTACAAAGGACATGAACTCATCATTTTTTATGGCTGCATAGTATTTACTTATTTGTTTTTAATTCTTTTTTTTTTTTTTCTGAGACAGAGTCTCTCTCTGTCACCCAGGCTGGAGTGCAGTGGCGAGATCTCGGCTCACTGCAATCTCTGCTTGGGTTCAAGTGATTCTCCTGCCTCAGCCTCCTGAGTAGCTGGGATGACAGGCACCTGCCATCATGCTCGGCTAATTTTTGTACTTTTAGTAGAGACGGGGTTTCACCATGTTGGTCAGGCTGGTCTCGAATACCTGACCTCAAGTGATCTGCCCATGCTGGCCTCCCAAAGTGCTGGGATTACAGGCGTGAGCCACCACGCCCGGCCAAAGTTCTGTGATATTTATAATAGAGGCAAGGGATTTCCATAGTTTAATGAAAGACAAGCCAAACAAACCTGCACTCTTTGGAAATTAGTAATTTGGGTTCTTTATATTTGTGCTTATTAAAATTTCCAAAAGTAAAACTTTTGCAAGGAAGGAGCTAGCAGTAGTTACTGAATTGTTATTGCATGTCAAGTAAAAACTTCTCTACTCATTTTATATAACTGTAATGTACATAAATTACATTTGCTTAAGGGCAATATAGTAATTGTAAGTTTAAACAGAAGTAGTTCAATACTGTTGTGTTTGTTATTATATTTGGATCTCATATGGATTTGTATCAGTCTTAGCCTTTGTAATTCTCTGAAAACCAGTTTTGTATCTCCCTGTCTTTTTTTTTTTTTTTGAGACAGAGTCTCACTTTGCTGCCCAGGCTGGAGTGCAGTGGCACGATCTCGGTTAACTGCAACCTCCACCTCCCAGTTCAAGCAATTCTCCTGCCTCAGCCTCCCAAGCAGCTAGGATTATAGGCACACACCACCATGCCCGGCTAATTTTTGTATTTTTAGTAGAGATGGGGTTTCACCATATTGGCCAGGCTGATCACAAATTCCTGACTTCAGGTGATCCACCTGTCTCGGCCTCCCAAAGTGCTGGGATTACAGGCATGAGCCACCGCACCCGACCCTGGTTTTGTATCTATCTCAAAGCACATTTAAAAAAAAAAAGAGCAACAGTAAAGAAAATTATACAATCATAAAAAACAAAACAAATGTATATTTTTCTCCTTTCACTCTCATAGAGCATGCTTTACACAAAGCTAGATGGTATAGCCCACTACACAGGTAGGTTATAAGGTATAGCCTATTGCTCTTAGGCTATAAACCTGTACAGCGTATGACTGTACTGAATACTGTAGGCAATTGTAACACTAGGGTAAGTATTTATGTCTCTAAACATGCCTAAAAATAGAAAAAGTACAGTAAAATATGGTATTATAATCTTATGGGACCACTGTCGTTGACCAAAACGTCATTATGTGGTATATGACTGTATATCCTATTGGTTCTGTTTCTCTAGAGAACCTAGAAATTGGATGACAGCAGCTGAGTGTTTTGAAACGCCTGGGGTGTGCAAACCATGTACTCAAAGAAAAAAATGTAAGCTAAGTGGGACCTGCTGGTGGACAGAGGACACTGAAAGTATTGAATCTTTTTTCCTGTGACCCGACTCCTTTCTGTATCTCTCTTGTCAATTGGGCTCCTTCTGAAGGGAGGTGAGTTATTTACTATTGGAAAGGCTGGGGCTTCTCTCTTCTCCTCTCATTCTCATTCATTTATTCATTTATGGTTTCTAATTATACAGCTCATGAATAGACTTATAAAAATAGATAGGAAATACTGGCAAATGTACATAAGAAAAAAGCATTGAAATTATCCCAAATTCCACAACTCCAGATATAACAACTGGCTATATGGCTTTATGGTATTTAAACATTGTTAAAGAAAAAAATGTTCTGATACCAATGAAACAGTCAGGAATACTTTATTAAGGACTATTGTGATAGATGGTATCTAGACTATCACAATGGGGAGAGAGATGGGCTTCAACTCCACGAACAGTAAGAACAAGTGGGGATTTGTAGCAAAGCAGCAGGTGAGGGTGGGGTTGGGAGGTGAAGAGTTAGAGGGGTAGGAAGGTGGGATGGTGTGCATTGCTTGGTGGGTGGAAAATTACTAAGAAGAGACATAAAGGGTAGGGAGGATTCTTGCTGAACTGACCTAATATGATTCTTGCAGAAGGCAGGCCAAGATGATCCTGTATCACTCAGGGGATGGTGAGGGATGAGGAATTTGATCAGATTTGGAGGGTGATCATATATCAAGATTGGGAAGATCCTGTCTAAACTAGCTTAGCAGGATTCTTGGTAAAACTGGACTAGGCAAGCTGGAGGACAAGGCCCATGGAGGAGGCTTAGTTGAAAAGAGGGCTTAGAAGAGCCTGTCTAAAGTTCAGTCAAGGAGAGTGTCTTTGTCACCTTTTAAACTTTGTCTATGCAAATTAGGGTGTGTGTGTGCTTGTGTGTGTGTGCGTGTAGGATGGTAGGTTGACAGGTGTACAACTAGATCAAAAGAGAGATTTAAAAAAAAAACAGAATTGGGATCCTAGTGTATATTGCTTAGTTCTCCTTGGCAACATTTCATTTAACGTAATCACTTTTGGTTTGAAGACTGCTTGTATGACTATAAAAAGAAATTTACAAATTCGAATTCATCTAAATGAACCTATCCTTTATTTTTTATTCATTTATTATTTATTAAACTAAGTCACTTAACTATCAATAAATAATATTTTACATAATAATTTTGAAGACCATTTATTGACATAGGAAGATGCTCATGATAGGAACCTAAGAGGGCAGGTATGGAAAAGTCAATACAATGATCTTAATTTTTTAAGTTGTGCATTTGTTGTACACACATAAAGAAGAAGAAAATGTACTGATACGATCACACTAATTCTCTCAGGATGGTGAGACTGCTAGTGGTTTCTGTTATTCACTATAAATCCTTCATTTTCCAAATTTTTGAAAGTAAGCTTGTATTATATTTATTATTAGAAAAAGAAAAAAGGTTTTGTAATTATAGAATTTAAAAAAAGAAAACAAAGCAATTTAGGACCTATGACTATGGAACTATGGGACTGAGGCATGTACCTGAACCTTTACTGAAACTTCACGTATTATTTGAGTTTTCTGCTTTCAGTGTATTTTAAATGAGATGTGTTTTAATAAAGCACACACAGTACACACACACACACACACACACACAATAGGAGTGGTTAAACATTGATAGGATATTTACTGAGGAAAACAACATCTTTTCTTTATATTCTATTTAAGCTCTTCTGTCCATTCTCCACACAAGACAGCCTTCAGGACCTATCAGTTGCGACTCCCTAACACGAGCCTTTCAGCCTAGTGGGAAGAATTTCACCCCTGTCCTCTTTCTACTCCCATTTCTTCTCTTCCCCTCTTCTTTGTCATTATCATCTAGGGGTTTTATTAAGTGGAAATCTGGATCTGCTGAAAGTGGCAAAGGCACCACATCTAACATAAGAAAACAACCAATCACCAGTCCCTAGAAACCCGTCATCTAATAGGGTGGCCCTGAGGTAGAGTGAGAAACACTGAACCAATAATACATTTATAATTTTCTAAAACTAACACACACACACACACATCTAAAAACCTGGAAACAAATACACTAAAACCCTAACTGTATTTATGTGATTGTTACACTAAACTGTTATTTTAAAAAACGCTTTATATCTGTAATATAATAACAAACCCTTTTTAAAAATTGAAATCTTTAAATTATAGGTGATCTATATTGAAATATCACCAAAAAATAAAAACCTGTTTTCCCTAGTATAGGTAATTTTAATGTCACATGGTATTCCCTGTTCTGAATAAATCATATTATGTCTTTCATCTATTCTCTAGTGCTGGGTCATCAAGTATTTCCAATTTATTCAGAATTTCAAGACAAATGGTTTGCTTTTCAGTAACATCACTTGACATATGAGCATCCTTTCCATTTTGCCTCCAAAAGAGCCAGCATTGAGAAAGGGTAATTGGCAATTCAGCAGCAGTGCTCTGGGTTATTGATAACCCAGATGTCAAGTGTGAACTTGTCATACATATGACTGTGGGCACTGGTCACCATAAGCCTTCCTTTCCCTCCATTGCCATGCCATCTCATCCCCCTGCACCCCAGTAAATACTAACAGGGTTGAACCAATCTAAAGTGAATGCACGCCCTTCATAGAGATTTTGAAAAGCCAAAATTAGAAAATAAAAGGTTAATGGGGAGTCACATCATCTAAAGCTCTTCACGGCTAATATTTTGATGTTTTTCCCCCTTTTCTTTTTTGTTCGCGTATTTAAATATAAGGCTTTGAGTCACGTTTCTGGCCTATAAAAACACCTCTCGCCTCATTTCTTTGCTCTTCTACATTAAAGTTTTCTCAGGCTTAAAACAGTTTCCGACCGCTTCTCCCCGACCAGATGATTTGCAGTAAGCCCCTCCCGTCTAGAAACTTTGGGAGCTGCTACCGCCAGGAAGGTGAGTGGCACTAGTAATGTGATGGATCTAATCATTTATTGGACGACGGTTTGTCAATCACAGCTACTCAGCAAATAGGGTGAGCTCTTAAGCAAAAAAGAGTTTAGAGAGTCATCTTCTGCGCAATCGGATTGTGGAACCTCCTCCTTTTGCCATGGCAGCTAGTGGGGAAAGCCCTTTAGCCCGCTACTCTTGCCTTCCACGGCTTCCGCCACCCCAGGCCAGCTTCCACAGCAGCTGTAGCTGCTTCGTTCCGCCTCCGTCTTAGCACCCCCAGGTGCCGGCGGCCCGGGCCAAGCCATCGCCTACAGTTCGGTGAGTGTTTCCCTGCCAAAAAGCTAATGATGGAAGGGCTCGGAGAACACAGCACAGCCGGTGAAATGGGCCCATTACTCGGCGCTGTGGCAGCCACAGCCTCTCCGCAGTCTTTGATGGAGTACTCCTCAGACGCAGATTTTATTGAGAGCCTGCCTCTGGTGGTTAAGTACCGAGTGTACACTCTCAAAAAGCTTCAGGCCAAATGTGCCGTGCTAGAGGCCAAGTACCTGAGGGAATTTCATTCTGTCGAGAGGAAGTTTGCCACCATCTATGGACCCTTATTGGAAAAGAGACGGCAGATCACCAATGCACTGTATGAGCCCACGAAAGAGGAGTGTGAGAGGTGAAGTCCAAGGTTGAGGACTATGAGTATAATGAGGTGGCCGGTGATTCTAATGCTCAGATGTATGGTGCAGAGGAGAATCCGGAGTATGAGGACTTGGTGGAGGATCGTGAGGAGGATTTCGAGGATGTCGGGGAGGTGTTTGGGGAGTATGAAGGAATCGAGGGACATAATGTGGACGGAGAAAAAGATAATCCTACAGGGATCCCCGATTTCTGGCTCACGGCTTTATAGAATGCCCAGGAGGTTGCCCCGCTGATTAAGAAATATGACGAGGCCAGGCGCAGTGGCTCACG
This sequence comes from Homo sapiens, assembly GCF_000001405.40. Classification (NCBI taxonomy): domain Eukaryota; kingdom Metazoa; phylum Chordata; class Mammalia; order Primates; family Hominidae; genus Homo; species Homo sapiens. The sequence goes on along the minus strand of NC_000023.11, from coordinate 73,127,266 downwards.
CCTGTAATCCCAGCACTTTGGGAGGCCGAGGCAGGTGGATCACAAGTTCAGGAAATCGAGACCATCCTGGCTAACACAGTGAAACCCCGTCTCTACTAAAAATACAAAAAAAAAAAAAAAAAAAATTAGCCGGGGGTGGTGGCACACACCTATAGTCCCAGCTGCCCAGGAGGCTGAGGCAGGAGAATCGCTTGAACCCAAGAGGCAGAGGTTGCAGTGAACTGAGATCGCACCACTGCACTCCAGCCTGGGCGACAGAGCGATATTCCGAAAAAACGAAACAACAACAACAAAAATATGACGAGCCCATTCTGAAGCTCTTGCAAGACGTGAAAGTCAAGTTTTCAAAATCAAACTAGCCACTCACTTTTACGCTGGAATTTCACTCTGAACCCAACGACTACTTCACAAATGAGGTGCTGACCGAAAGAAACATACATCCTCAAGTCTAAGCTCGATTAGTCTGACCCCCACCCCTTCAGGGGATCTGCGGTAGAGCGTTGCTTTGGCAGCATGATAGAATGGAAGAAGGGAAAGAACGTCACTGTGCAAACGGTCCTGAAGAGAGACACAGTTTTTGGGGGCTGATGTGTACCGCCACTCAGGAATTTCCCCAAGAGTCCCTTCTTCAATGCTCTCCAGTGGGGCCTAGATGCTAATGAGGATGAGGAAGACTTCTTCATCGCTCACACCTTGCACACTTTTGTCATCCCAAGAGCTGTGTTACACTTTACAGGAGAAGCCCTTGAGGCAGAGCAAGATACGATGATCAGGGAATGTAATAATCCGGTTTATGACAGAATGACTCAGGAGAATTGGGTGACTGCAGTTTATGGTGCTAAAGGCCAAAACCGAAACTCCCAGGCAGAAGTCAATGATTGTTGAAGCAGAATGGTTGGAGTATGTGGGCCTCCAGGTTAACAACTGGCTTTTACAATAACCAAAACTTAATCATTCGTTACTTACAGTCTTAACGTGTCTCTTCTTGGTAGTCTCAGTTTAAAATTATGTCCAAATATATTTAACAATGCATTTCATCTAGCACTCCAGTGGTGTAAACTTTGTCAACAATTTTATTAGGCAGTGAATTCTCAACGTATGTGAAGACCTTACTATTGTGAATCCATGGCTTTTGTCAGGTTGCTACTAGTCTGCATCTATGGAAAATTACCAGAACTTGTAACTAAGATCTATGTTTGGGTTTGTAAAATAAAGTGAGATAGCATCCTTTTCCTAGCCTTCTCATTGAGATAAATGGGTTTCATTATGCTTGCACTAGCAGTGCCTTCATCTCTTCGTTATAGAAATGCAACAGGTTATATTATCTAAAATACACTTGATTAGTGAAGCCGCTAGTATAAAAATAAACATTTATAGCAAATTCACATTTAATGTTAGTTACCTTGTTTGTAGGCTTTTATATTTTATGTTATATAGTGATCTACTCAAAACATAGTTTCTTTATTGCTGTTCAGTGAGTCATGGGTTAAAACCATTTTTCCTAAGGCCTGCCACAGACTGCACCATGTACTGCTGTAAAGTGAGGTTAACGTATGCATTTTTGTTTCTGGAATGTTCTCATCTTTAATGGAAATGGATTTCCTTACATTATTTTTAAGCTTTATTTCCCCATGTTTGTTCATTCCAAGATAAAATTACTACAGATTTTAAATATTGTGTTCCTTCTGAAGGTATTCAAGTGCCAGGTGGAGGATTTCGCTGGGAGGTCTCAGCAAGCCAGACTTATCCACTGAGCATAGTATGCACCATGCCTAAAGCCTAATTTACATTTTAGAGCACTCCAATTTTTAAAATGTATTTTAAAATCAGAAGAAAAATGAATATAATAATGTATGTGTAATAGTAAAGCCAGCCTGGATTGTATATGTCTTATACCAATGCAGATGTAAATATTATTTATATATGTATATATGGATGTCATAGTGGAAAGAGCCTAGGAATGTAAAGCTGCATAGATTTTATGAAAATCATAATGAGGCCCTGGGTCCCACCTTTAGAAAGAGGTGAAAGAGGAGGAGTATGGAATGGTTGAGAGGGGTAGTGATGTGACAAAGAAGAGAAGAAAAAGAGGAGGGAGGAAATGAGGGGACCAGCAGAGGTGGGGTTGTTAAGGGAGTGATGAATGTGGGTCCTCTAGGGGATAGTGAAAGGCCTGAGTGGCCAGAAAGGAGGGGGTTAATAGAATGGGCTGCACTGGGAGGGTTGGGGCCAGATCCCACTTGGGACCTGGCCTGGGAGAAGCTGGAGTAGGTTCTGCAGGAGAGAAAGAAAAGAAGGGGAGAGTATAGAGGAGTACAGAGGACAGTATAGAGTATAGAGGAGAGTATAGAGAGTATAGAGGAGTATATGTGAGAAGTGTACAAAGCAGAGAAGCAGGAGATGAAAGGATAAACCTCATTAGAGATGGAAGAGCATTCCTTGATTAGAGGCTGTAGAAGTTCTGGTTTTATGGTTTTATACATTTTGCAAAATGTATAAAATGTAGACCCAAAGGAGTCTAGAGGAGCATTGACTTATTTTAAGTTACCTTTAATTATGTTCTGTAATCGCCAAGATACATATATAGATGAATTAATTCATTATTTTTTGTTCAACAAACAACTTTCTATTGTACTATTTCTATGTGCCAGACACTGTTCAGAGCACTTTACAAATATTAATGTCTGTGATACTTGTTTTATAATTGAAGAAGAGGTAGTTTTCTCTTGTTTATAAAAGTAATAAATGCAGGAGGGAAGGCTATAGCAGGACAGAATTAATTATAATACCAACAAATAATCCCATCCCAGACCTTATTTAACTGCTAACAATTATATAATTTTGAATCCCGCTTAAAAAATTATCATCATAGCATTAGTGTTTTCCTGTATTAATACATTCTAAAAGCATAATCATTAATAATCATTTAGTATTCTAAGGGATGGGAACACAATTTAACTATTATTTTAATGTTGGTTATTTGATACTAATTTACATAATGAAGTTAGTAAATGTTCTGCCTTTTAATATTAAGACTTTTCATTTGAGTTCCTTTTTTCACTTTAGCCTCCAAAGCATTTGCAAGCTCTGTAAAGGGCTAAATGGCAAGCCAAAAGCAGGATTCATATCATTGATTAGCCAGGGGTTCATTGAGAAATATAGTTATTAAAATGTAACTTGATCATTCTCAAAGATAGTCACAAACCTTGAAGATGGTATTTGCCTACTCAATATGTATAACTAATCCTTTCCCTTCTTCCAGCACTGAAAATGTATCATATTTTTCACACATTTTTGCCAGGCAGGAACTTGAGAAATAGAGTCCTCCTGAGCCTTTCTAGGAAAAGCATAAATTTTAGGCCACCAAGAAATGAATGGAGTCTGTAGTGCAAAAGTGCCAATGGTAAGTATTAAATCAACTTAACTATAGGACTAAGACTAAAACAAACATATATACTATGGTTAAACAGAAAACAAATATAAGTATTATGCTGACACTTAACATAGGCATAATATAACTATCAAAAATTGGGACTAGAAAGGGGATTTCTTCTTTTATGGCTGGGGATGAAAAAATCTGCCAAGTTAACTAGTAGATACATAAGTATATAATAACATCGTCAGAAAAACAAGATAGTCAACAAAATTGGATAGTGATTTTTCCTATCATTACTCATCGTTGCCAGTCAGTGGCTACTTTATAAAGAAATCCGTAATTAGGCATCCAATAAAATTGTGGTAATAAATGTAACAAGTAGAAAAAAAGATAAACCTTCCAGATTATCAGAAGATTCAAAACTAAACTAAGAAAACAGGCCGTATAGTAAATAAGGAGAAAATACAAAAACTGAAAGTCTAACATAGATATGGTTAAGTGAAATAAGATGTGATATTTGACTCTTCCATGTGGCTGGGAAGCACTTCCTTAGATATCCTCATGGCTATCTCTTACCTCTTTCAAGCCTTTGCTCAAATGTCACTGTCTCAAAAAGGCCAACTCTGACCACCCCATTTTAAGTTGCATTTGCCTCAAACACATACTCACCCTTTCCCCTTACTCAGCTTTGACTTTCCCTATAGAAAGCCACTGTATGATTTACTTGTTGTTCATGGTGTTGATTGTCTCTCCTTCCACATTAGAATGTAAGCTCTGTGAGTACAGGGATCTTTGTTTATTGATGTTCATTGATCTTTGATCATTGTTCATTGATGTATCCAAGCACTTATAACAGTGCTTCATACAGGTACTGCTCAATAAATATTTGGGTTTTTTTCTTTTTTTTTTAATTTTTCTTTTTTTATCCTTCTGTATTATTATTATTTTTTAATTTTATTATTATTATACTTTAAGTTTTAGGGTACATGTGCACAATGTGCAGGTTTGTTACATATGTATACATGTGCCATGTTGGTGTGCTGCACCCATTAACTCATCATTTAGCATTAGGTATATCTCCTAATGCTATCCCTCCCCCCACCCCCCACCCCACAACAGTCCCCAATGTGTGATGTTCCACCTCCTGTGTCCATGTGTTCTCATTGTTCAATTCCTACCTATGAGTGAGAATATGTGGTGTTTGGTTTTTTGTCCTTGTGATAGTTTACTGAGAATGATGGTTTCCAGCTTCATCCATGTCCCTACAAAGCACATGAACTCATCATTTTTTCTGGCTGCATAGTATTCCATGGTGTATATGTGCCACATTTTCTTAATCCAGTCTATCGTTGTTGGACATTTAGGTTGGTTCCAAGTCTTTGCTATTGTGAATAGTGCCACAATAAACATACGTGTGCATGTGTCTTTATAGCAGCATGATTTATAATCCTTTGGGTATATACCCAGTAATGGGATGGCTGGGTCAAATGGCATTTCTAGTTCTAGATCCCTGAGGAATCGCCACACTGACTTCCACAATGGTTGAACTAGTTTACAGTCCCACCAACTGTGTAAAAGTGTTCCTATTTCTCCACATCCTCTCCAGCACCTGTTGTTTCCTGACTTTTTAATGATCACCGTTCTAACTGGTGTGAGATGGTATCTCAATGTGGGTTTTGATTTGCATTTCTCTGATGACCAGTAATGATGAGCATTTTTTCATGTGTTTTTTGGCTGCATAAATGTCTTCTTTTGAGAAGTGTCTGTTCATATCCTTTGCCCACATTTTGTTGGGGTTGTTTGTTTTTTTCTTGTAAGTTTGTTTGAGTTCATTGTAGATTCTGGATATTAGCCCTTTGTCAGATGAGTACATTGCAAAAATTTTCTCCCATTCTGTAGGCTGCCTGTTCACTCTGATGGTAGTTTCTTTTGCAGTGCAGAAGCTCTTTAGTTTAATTAGATCCCATTTGTCAATTTTGGCTTTTGTTGCCATTGCTTTTGGTGTTTTAGACATGAAGTCCTTGCCCATGCCTATGTCCTGAATGGCATTGCCTAGGTTTTCTTCTAGGGTTTTTATGGTTTTACATCTAACATTTAAGTCTTTAATCCACCTTGAATTAATTTTTGTATAAGATGTAAGAAAGGGATCCAGTTTCAGCTTTCTACATATGGCTAGCCAGTTTTCCCAGCACCATTTATTAAATAGGGAATCCTTTCCCCATTGCTTGCTTTTCTCAGGTTTGTCAAAGATCAGATAGTCCTAGATATGCGGCATTATTTCTGAGGGCTCTGTTCTGTTCCATTGGTCTATATCTCTGTTTTGGAACCAGTGCCATGTTGTTTTGGTTACTGTAGCCTTGTAGTATAGTTTGAAGTCAGGTAGCATGATGCCTCCAGCTTCGTTCTTTTGGCTTAGGATTGACTTGGCAATGCGGGCTCTTTTTTGGTTCCATATGAACTTTAAAGTACTTTTTTCCAACTCTCTGAAGAAAGTCATTGGTAGCTTGTTGGGGATGGCATTGAATCTATAAATTAACTTGGGCAGTATGGCCATTTTCACGATATTGATTCTTCCTACCCATGAGCATGGAATGTTCTTCCATTTGTTTGTATCCTCTTTTATTTCATTGAGCAGTGGTTTGTAGTTCTCCTTGAAGAGGTCCTTCATATCCCTTGTAACTTGGATTCCTAGGTATTTTATTCTCTTTGAAGCAATTGTGAATGGGAGTTCACTCATGATTTGGCTCTCTGTTTGTCTGTTATTGGTGTACAAGAATGCTTGTGATTTTTGTACATTGATTTTGTATCCTGAGACTGCTGAAGTTGCTTATCAGCTTAAGGAGATTTTGGGCTGAGATGATGGGGTTTTCTAGATATACAATCATGTCATCTATGAACAGGGACAATTTGACTTCCTCTTTTCCTAATTGAATACCCTTTATTTCCTTCTCCTGCCTGATTGCTCTGGCCAGAACTTCCAACACTATGTTGAATAGGAGTGGTGAGAGGGGGCATCCGTGTCTTGTGCCAGTTTTCAAAGGGAATGCTTCCAGTTTTTGCCCATTCAGTATGATATTGGCTGTGGGTTTGTCATAGGTAGCTCTTATTATTTTGAGATATGACCCATCAATACCTAATTTATTGAGAGTTTTTAGCATGAAGTGTTGTTGAATTTTATCAAAGGACTTTTCTGCATCTATTGAGATGATCATGTGGTTTTTGTCTTTGGTTCTGTTTATATGCTGGATTACATTTACTGATTTGCGTATGTTGAACCAGCCTTGCATCCCAGGGATGAAGCCCACTTGATCATGGTGGATAAGCTTTTTGATGTGCTGCTGGATTCGGTTTGCCAGTATTTTATTGAGGATTTTTGCATCGATGTTCATCAAGGATATTGGTCTAAAATTCTCTTTTTTTGCTGTGTCTCTGTCAGGCTTTGGTATCAGGATGATGCTGGCCTCATAAAATGAGTTAGGGAGGATTACCTCTTTTTCTATTGATTGGAATAGTTTCAGAAGCAATGGTACCAGCTCCTCTTTGTACCTGTGGTAGAATTCGGCTGTGAATCCATCTGGTCCTGGACTTTTTTTGGTTGGTAAGCTATTGATTATTGCCACAATTTCAGAGCCTCTTATTGGTCTATTCAGAGATTCAACTTCTTCCTGCTTTAGTCTTGGGAGGTTGTATGTGTCGAGGAATTTATCCATTTCTTCTAGATTTTCTAGTTTATTTGCATAGAGGTGTTTATAGTATTCTCTGGTGGTAGTTTGTATTTCTGTGGGATCAGTGGTGATATCCCCTTTATCATTTTTTATTGCGTCTATTTGATTCTTCTCTCTTTTTTTCTTTATTAGTCTTGCTAGCAGTCTATCAATTTTGTTGATCTTTTCAAAATACCAGCTCCTGGATTCATTGATTTTTTGAAGGGTTTTTTTGTGTCTCTATTTCCTTCAGTTCTGCTCTGATCTTAGTTATTTCTTGCCTTCTGTTAGCTTTTGAAAGTGTTTGCTCTTGCTTCTGTAGTTCTTTTAATTGTGATGTTAGGGTGTCAATTTTAGATCTTTCCTGCTTCCTCTTGTGGGCATTTAGTGCTATAAATTTCCCTCTACACGCTGCTTTGAATGTGTCCCAGAGATTCTGGTATGTTGTGTCTTTGTTCTCGTTGGTTTCAAAGAACATCTTTATTTCTGCCTTCATTTCATTATTTACCCAGTAGTCATTCAGGAGCAGGTTGTTCAGTTTCCATGTAGTTGAGTGGTTTTGAGTGAGTTTCTTAATCCTGAGTTCTAGTTTGATTGCCCTGTAGTCTGAGAGATAGTTTGCTATAATTTCTGTTCTTTTACATTTGCTGAGGAGTGCTTTACTTCCAACTATGTGGTCAATTTTGGAGTAGGTGTGGTGTGGTGCTGAAAAAAAATGTATATTCTGTTGATTTGGGGTGGAGAGTTCCGTAGATGTCTATTAGGTCTGCTTGGTGCAGAGCTGAGTTCAATTCCTGGATATCCTTGTTAACTTTCTGTCTCGTTGATCTGTCTAATGTTGACAGTGGCATGTTAAAGTCTCCCATTATTAATGTGTGGGAATCTAAGTCTCTTTGTAGGTCACTCAGGACTTGCTTTATGAGTCTGGGTGCTCCTGTATTGGGTGCATATATGTTTAGGATAGTTAGCTCTTCTTGTTGAATTGATCCCTTTACCATTATGTAATGGCCTTCTTTGTCTCTTTTGATCTTTGTTGGTTTAAAATCTGTCTTATCAGAGACTAGGATTGCAACCCCTGCTTTTTTTTGTTTTCCATTTGCTTGGTAAATCTTCCTCCATCCTTTTATTTTGAGCCTATGTGTGTCTCTGCACGTGAGATGGGTTTCCTGAATACAGCACACTGACGGGTCTTGACTCTTTATCCAATTTGCCAGTCTGTGTCTTTTAATTGGAGCATTGAGTCCGTTTACATTTAAAGTTAATATTGTTATGTGTGAATTTGATCCTGTCATTATGATGTTAGCTGCTTATTTTGCTCGTTTGTTGATGCAGTTTCTTCCTAGTCTCGATGGTCTTTACATTTTGGCATGATTTTGCAGCGGCTGCTACTGGTTGTTCCTTTCCATGTATAGCGCTTCCTTCAGGAGCTCTTTTAGGGCAGGCCTGGTGGTGACAAAATCTCTCAGAATTTACTTGTCTGTAAAGGATTTTATTTCTCCTTCACTTATGAAGCTTAGTTTGGCTGGATATGAAATTTTGGGTTGAAAATTCTTTTCTTTAAGAATGTTGAATATTGGCCCCCACTCTCTTCTGGCTTGTAGAGTTTCTGCTGAGAGATCTGCTGTTAGTCTGATGGGCTTCCCTTTGAGGGTAACCCGACCTTTCTCTCTGGCTGCTCTTAACATTTTTTCCTTCATTTCAACTTTGGTGAATCTGACAATTATGTGTCTTGGAGTTGCTCTTCTCGAGGAGTATCTTTGTGGCTATCTCTGTATTTCCTGAATCTGAATGTTGGCCTGCCTTGCTAGATTGGGGAAGTTCTCCTGGATAATATCCTGCAGAGTGTTTTCCAAGTTGGTTCCATTCTCCCCGTCACTTTCAGGTACACCAATCAGATGTAAATTTGGTCTTTTCACATAGTCCCATGTTTCTTGGAGGCTTTGCTCGTTTCTTTTTATTCTTTTTTCTCTAAACTTCCCTTCTCACTTCATTTCATTCATTTGATCTTCCATCACTGATACCCTTTCTTCCAGTTGATTGCATTGGCTCCTGAAGCTTCTGCATTCTTCACGTAGTTCTCGAGCCTTGGTTTACAGCTCCATCAGCTCCTTTAAGCACTTCTCTGTATTGGTTATTCTAGTTATACATTCTTCTAAATTTTTTTTCAAAATTTTCAATGTCTTTGCCTTTGGTTTGAATGTCCTCCCGTAGCTCGGAGTAATTTGATCATCTGAAGCCTTCTTCTCTCAGCTCGTCAGTCATTCTCCGTCCAGCTTCGTTCTGTTGCTTGTGAGGAACTGCGTTCCTTTGGAGGAGGAGAGGTGCTCTGCTTTTTAGAGTTTCCAGTTTTTCTGCTCTGTTTTTTCCCCATCTTTGTGGTTTTATCTACTTTTGGTCTTTGATGATGGTGATGTACAGATGGGTTTTTGGTGTGGATGTCCTTTCTGTTTGTTAGTTTTCCTTTTAACAGACAAGACCCTCAGCTGCAGGTCTGTTGGAGTACCTGGCCGTGTGAGGTGTCAGTCTGCCCCTGCTGGGGGGTGCCTCCCAGTTAGGCTGCTTGGGGATCAGGGGTCAGGGACCCACTTCAGGAGGTAGTCTGCCCGTTCTCAGATCTCCAGCTGCGTGCTGGGAGAACCACTGCTCTCTTCAAAGCTGTCAGACAGGGACATTTAAGTCTGCAGAGGTTACTGCTGTCTTTTTGTTTGTCTGTGCCCTGCCCCCAGAAGTGGAGCCTACAGAGGCAGGCAGGCCTCCTTGAGCTGTGGTGGGCTCCACCCAGTTCGAGCTTCCCAGATGCTTTGTTAACCTAAGCAAGCCTGGGCAATGGCGGGCGCCCCTCTCCCAGCCTCGCTGCTGCCTTGCAGTTTGATCTCAGACTGCTGTGCTAGCAATCAGCGAGACTCCGTGGGCGTAGGACCCTCCAAGCCAGGTGCCGGATATAATCTCCTGGTGCGCCGTTTTTTAAGCGCGTCGGAAAGCACAGTATTCGGGTGGGAGTGACCGGATTTTCCAGGTGCCGTCTGTCACCCCTTTCTTTGCCTAGGAAAGGGAACTCCCTGACCCCTTGTGCTTCCCGAGTGAGGCAATGCCTCGCCCTGCTTCGGCTCATGCACGGTGCACGCACCCACTGACCTGTGCCCACTGTCTGGCACTCCCTAGTTAGATGAACCCGGTACCTCAGATGGAAATGCAGAAATCACCTGTCTTCTGCGTCGCTCACGCTGGGAGCTGTAGACTGGAGCTGTTCCTATTTGGCCATCTTGGCTCCTCCTCCCTGTGCCACATTTTCTTAATCCAGTCTATCATTGTTGGACATTTGGCTTGGTTCCAAGTCTTTGCTACTGTGAATAGTGCTGCAGTAAACATACGTGTACATGTGTCTTTATAGCAGCATAATTTATAGTCCTTTGGGTATATACCCAGTAATGGGATTGCTGGGTCAAATGGTATTTCTAGTTCTAAATCCCTGAGAAATTGCCAGACTGTCTTCCACAAGGGTTGAACTAGTTTACAGTCCCACCAACAGTGTAAAAGTGTTCCTATTTCTCCACATCCTCTCCAGCACCTGTTGTTTCCTGACTTTTCAATGATCACCATTCTAACTGGTGTGAGATGGTATCTCATTGTGGTTTTGATTTGCATTTCTCTGATGGCCAGTGATGGCGAGCATTTTTTCATGTGTTTTTTGGCTGCATAAATGATCTTTAAGGCTTTTGAAAAAAAAAAAGAAAACCCCATTGTCGCAGCCCAAAAACTCCTTAAGCTGATAAACATCTTCAGCAAAGTCTCAGGATACAAAATCAATATGCAAAAATCACAAGCATTCTTATACACCTATAATAGACTAGCAGAGAACCAAATCATGAGTAAACTCCCATTCACAATTGCTACATTGTGTCTAAATGGGGTTTACCCAGAAATACAAGATTCACTTAACTTTTAAAAAACAGACAATATAATTCATCATGTGAACTAAAAACAGAAAAATCATATGATCATCTCAATAAAGCATTCATAAAATTTAACACCATTTCATGATAAAAGGCCTCATCAAACTAGGAACAGAAGGAAACTTAACCAGATAATGGACATCTATGAATAACTGACAGCTAACCTTATACTTATTGCTGAAAGAGCAAGTCATTTCCCCTTGAGATCAGGAATAAGACATGGCTGTTCACTCTACCACTTCTATGGGCCTTCTAGCCAGGACAATTATGCCAGTAAAAGAAATAAAAGGCATCCAGATAGGAAAGGAAGAAGTAAAACTATCTTGCTGCAGACGGGAATTTTGTATGTAGAAAATCTTAAGGAATCCATAAAAGAGAAACTAGAACTAAGAAGTCAGTTTAGTAAGGTTTCAGGATACAAAATCAATATAAAAACTCAATTTTATTTATATATAGTAGTAAAAGTGGTAAGAAATTGAAATAAATTTATAACAGCAAGCAAAAATATGAAATTCTTAGGGATAATATTTTCAAGATATATATATATATTGAAAACTGCTGCTGAGAGAAAGTAAAGAAGACCTAAGCAAATTGAGAGACATTTCATGTTCACTGGTCAGAAGACTCAGTATAGTTAACATGTCAATTCTCCCAAATTGAACTATAGAATTGATGCAATCTCATTCAATATTCCAGATGGGATTTTTGCAGAATAGACAAGAATATTCTAACATTTGTGTGGAATTACAAAGGGCCTGGAATAGCCAATATAATCTTGAAAAAGGACAGAGTTGGAGAATTAAGACTTACTATAAAGCAACAGTCACCAAGACAGTGTGATACTGCATAAAAATAGGAAAAAAATGGATGATGGAACAAAATAGATAATGCAGAAATAAAATACCCATATAAGGACAACCAATTTTTCAACACAGATATGAAGACAATTCGGGGTAGAAAGGATAGACTTTTTAACAAATGGTGTTGAAACAATTGGGTATTTATAACCCCTCAAAAAAAAAAACATTGTTCCATACCTCATACATAAGCCAAAATTGACTCAATGTAGACCACAGACCTAAATGTAAGCTTAAATTCTAGTCAAAAACATATGAAAATCTGTTATGACCTTGTGTTAGGCAAACTTTTCTTTAATGCAACATGTAAATGATAAAGGGCTGTTATCCAGAACATACACATAGAACTATGTGTATATTCTCAGTAATAAAAATACAACCAACCAAATGGAAGAAGACCAAATATTAGAGCAAATTACTTTACCAAAGAAGAGACATGGATGAGAAATAAGCACATGAAAATATGTTTAATATTTCTGATCATGATGAAACTACAACTAAACACCACAATTTCATACCACTATACATGTGTTAGAATGGCTAAAATTAAAATGACTCTCCATATCAAGTGTGGGATAGGATGTGAAGGGACTGGAACAGTCATATACCACCGATAAGCATGTAAAAACGGTACAATCACTTTGGAAAACAGTTTTTGCAACATGTTAAAGAGTTAAATATACACTTATATGCCTCGGGTATTTCATTCTAAGGAATTTACCCAAGCCAAATGAAAGCATATATCTACACAAAACTTGTTCATGGATGTTCATAACAGCTTTATTTGTAATAGCCAAAAATTAGAAACATCTTAAATGTCCATCAACAGGTGAATGAATAAACCATTGCATATCTATACAACAGAGTACTTATCAGCAATCAATAAGTCATCACTATTTATTAATATATTATAACACAAACAACACAACACATTCCTTACAACACAAAGAATTTCAAAATAATTATTCTGATTGAAAGAAGCCAGGCCAAAAGAAGTTCATATTGTGATGTGTGTATGTGTGTGTGTGTGTGTGTGTGTGAGACAATCACCAGTTGTGCATAATTCTAGAAAATGAAAAGTAATCTATAGCCACAGAAAACAGATCAGTGGTTGCCTGGTGATGGGGAGGACAGTGTGAGGAAGAATTACAGGGAGGGAATGGAAGGGGCATGAGTAAATATTTTTTATCTTAAATTCACTGTTGAGACCTACTGCTCAGAAAAAAAGACTCCTTTCAAAATATTACTACCCATTGACAATGCACCTAGAACTCTGATGGAGATATACAAGGAGAGTAATGTTGTTTTCAGGCTAGCTAAACACAACACCATTCTGTAGCCTATGGATGAAGAAGTAAGTTTTATTATTTAAGAAATGAATTTCATAGGGCAAAACTGCCATAGATGGTGATTCCTCAGATGGATCTGGGCAAAGTACATTGAAAATCTTCTGGAAAGGATTCACCAGTCTAGTTGCCACTAAGAATATTTGTGATCAAATATTAACATTAACATTAATGGGAATTTTGAAGAAGTTGATTACAACCCTAATAAATGACTTTAAGGAGTTCAAGACTTCAGCTGAAGAGGTAACTGCACATGTGGTGGAAATAGCCAAAGAATTAGAATTAGAAGTGGAACCTGATGATGTGGCTGAATTGCTGCCATCTCATGATAAAACTTGAATGAATGAGGAGTTGCTCCTTACAGTTAAGTAAAGAAAGTGAATTCTTGAGATGGAATCTACTCCTGGTGAAGATGCTATGAACATTGTTGAAATGACAACAAAAGATTTAGAATATTATATAAACTCAATTGATAAAGCAGCAGCAGAGTTTGGGAGGATTAATTCTGATTTTGAAAGAAGTTCTGCTGTGGGTAAAATGCTATCAAATGGCATCACATGTTACAGAGACATATTTTGTGAAAGAAAGAGTCATTTGATACTATAAATTTTGTTACTGTTTAATTTTAAGAAATTATCACAGTAAACCCAACCTTCAGCAACAATCAGCCTTATCAGTCAGTACCCATCAACATTGAAGCAAGAGCCTCCATCAGCCAAAGGATTACAACTCACTGAAGACTCAGATGATCATTAGCATTTTTAACAATAAAGTATTTTTAACTAAGGTTTGTACACTGTTTTTTTTTTTTTTTTTCCTTTTTCAAGGCATGTATTATACCATGGGCAATCTCTTACAGAAGTACAATAAGCCAAAGTACTCACATAGTCATAACGTTGCTTAAAATAGTAAAACACTAAAGGAAAAAAGTCTAAATGTCCATTGACGAAAGAATAGACACATTAGTTTTGTTATATTTACAGAATGGAATACTAGACTACATTTGTAATTGTTGAATTGTAGCTCTACACAACAACATGAATTGATAATATACAAATATTGAGCGAGAACACAAATTGCAGAAGGCTGCTGTATGAGGGATCTCCAGAGAAACAGAACCAGATTTCATATATATATATAGAAAGAGAGAGAGAGAGAGAGAGAACAATGATTCAGCGCATGTATTTACGAGGCTGGCAAGTCCAAAATCTGTAGAGCTGATGTTCCAGTTCAAGTTCAAAGGAATAAGCTACTGTAGACACAGGAGGTGTCAAAGTTTCAGTCCAAAGGCTCTCAAGCAGGAAAATTCTTGCCTACTTGGAGGAGGGGTGGCCTTTTTCTAGTCAGGCCTTCAGTTAAATGCATAAGGCCCACACACTGGGTAGGGGGAGAGGGGACAACTGCCTTACTCAGTCTAACAATTTAAATGTTAATTTCAACCAAAAATACCTTCACAGAAACTCCCAGAAAAATTTTTGACCAAATATCAGGGCACTCCATGGCCCAGTCAAGTGGACATATACATTAATCTTTATACCTATGTATAGTGCTCCTTTTTTATAAAGCATAAAATTAAGAAATACTAACCATTAAGCTATTTAGAAAGTGTTATAAACTATAAGTGTACAAAACTGCAATAGTTAACAACAATAAACAATGAACGAATACCTACACAAATCTGAAGGAAATAAATTTTAATCCAAGTTTAGAGAATGTGGAGGTGTGTCAAGGAGGGAAGACATCACTGTGCAACGTCAGTAACTTTAATTTTTTTTTTTTTTTTGTAAAGAAGTGAGAGGATACAATTTATTTAATGGATATAAGAGATTATAGTCACTATCTTCTTTTTTTTTTTAATAATTTTTTTTTATTATACTCTAAGTTTTAGGGTACATGTGCACATTGTGCAGGTTAGTTACATATGTATACATGTGCCATGCTGGTGCACTGCACCCACTAACGTGTCATCTAGCATTAGGTATATCTCCCAATGCTATCCCTCCCCCCTTCCCCGACCCCACCACAGTCCCCAGAGTGTGATATTCCCCTTCCTGTGTCCATGTGATCTCATTGTTCAATTCCCACCTATGAGTGAGAATATGCGGTGTTTGGTTTTTTGTTCTTGCGATAGTTTACTGAGAATGATGGTTTCCAATTTCATCCATGTCCCTACAAAGGACATGAACTCATCATTTTTTATGGCTGCATAGTATTCCATGGCGTATATGTGCCACATTTTCTTAATCCAGCCTATCATTGTTGGACATTTGGGTTGGTTCCAAGTCTTTGCTATTGTGAATAGTGCCGCAATAAACATACATGTGCATGTGTCTTTATAGCAGCATGATTTATAGTCCTTTGGGTATATACCCAGTAATGGGATGGCTGGGTCAAATGGTATTTCTAGTTCTAGATCCCTGAGGAATCGCCACACTGACTTCCACAATGGTTGAACTAGTTTACAGTCCCACCAACAGTGTAAAAGTGTTCCTATTTCTCCACATCCTCTCCAGCACCTGTTGTTTCCTGACTTTTTAATGATTGCCATTCTAACTGGTGTGAGATGATATCTCATAGTGGTTTTGATTTGCATTTCTCTGATGGCCAGTGATGATGAGCATTTCTTCATGTGTTTTTTGGCTGCATAAATGTCTTCTTTTGAGAAGTGTCTGTTCATGTCCTTTGCCCACTTTTTGATGGGGTTGTTTGTTTTTTTCTTGTAAATTTGTTTGAGTTCATTGTAGATTCTGGATATTAGCCCTTTGTCAGATGAGTAGGTTGCGAAAATTTTCTTCCATGTTGTAGGTTGCCTGTTCACTCTGATGGTAGTTTCTTTTGCTGTGCAGAAGCTCTTTAGTTTAATTAGATCCCATTTGTCAATTTTGGCTTTTGTTGCCATTGCTTTTGGTGTTTTGGACATGAAGTCCTTGCCCACGCCTATGTCCTGAATGGTAATGCCTAGGTTTTCTTCTAGGGTTTTTATGGTTTTAGGTCTAACGTTTAAATCTTTAATCCATCTTGAATTGATTTTTGTATAAGGTGTAAGGAAGGGATCCAGTTTCAGCTTTCTACATATGGCTATCCAGTTTTCCCAGCACCATTTATTAAATAGGGAATCCTTTCCCCATTGCTTGTTTTTCTCAGGTTTGTCAAAGATCAGATAGTTGTAGATATGCGGCATTATTTCTGAGGGCTCTGTTCTGTTCCATTGATCTATATCTCTGTTTTGGTACCAGTACCATGCTGTTTTGGTTACTGTAGCCTTGTAGTATAGTTTGAAGTCAGGTAGTGTGATGCCTCCAGCTTTGTTCTTTTGGCTTAGGATTGACTTGGCGATGCGGGCTCTTTTTTGGTTCCATATGAACTTTAAAGTAGTTTTTTCCAATTCTGTGAAGAAAGTCATTGGTAGCTTGATGGGGATGGCATTGAATCTGTAAATTACCTTGGGCAGTATGGCCATTTTCACGATATTGATTCTTCCTACCCATGAGCATGGAATGTTCTTCCATTTGTTTGTGTCCTCTTTTATTTCATTGAGCAGTGGTTTGTAGTTCTCCTTGAAGAGGTCCTTCACATCCCTTGTAAGTTGGATTCCTAGGTATTTTATTCTCTTTGAAGCAATTGTGAATGGGAGTTCACTCATGATTTGGCTCTCTGTTTGTCTGTTGTTGGTGTATAAGAATGCTTGTGATTTTTGTACATTGATTTTGTATCCTGAGACTTTGCTGAAGTTGCTTATCAGCTTAAGGAGATTTTGGGCTGAGACGATGGGGTTTTCTAGATAAACAATCATGTCGTCTGCAAACAGGGACAATTTGACTTCCTCTTTTCCTAATTGAATACCCTTTATTTCCTTCTCCTGCCTGATTGCCCTGGCCAGAACTTCCAACACTATGTTGAATAGGAGTGGTGAGAGAGGGCATCCCTGTCTTGTGCCAGTTTTCAAAGGGAATGCTTCCAGTTTTTGCCCATTCAGTATGATATTGGCTGTGGGTTTCTCATAGATAGCTCTTATTATTTTGAAATACGTCCCATCAATACCTAATTTATTGAGAGTTTTTAGCATGAAGCGTTGTTGAATTTTGTCAAAGGCTTTTTCTGCATCTATTGAGATAATCATGTGGTTTTTGTCTTTGGCTCTGTTTATATGCTGGATTACATTTATTGATTTGCGTATATTGAACCAGCCTTGCATCCCAGGGATGAAGCCCACTTGATCATGGTGGATAAGCTTTTTGATGTGCTGCTGGATTCAGTTTGCCAGTATTTTATTGAGGATTTTTGCATCAATGTTCATCAAGGATATTGGTCTAAAATTCTCTTTTTTGGTTGTGTCTCTGCCCGGCTTTGGTATCAGAATGATGCTGGCCTCATAAAATGAGTTAGGGAGGATTCCCTCTTTTTCTATTGATTGGAATAGTTTCAGAAGGAATGGTACCAGTTCCTCCTTGTACCTCTGGTAGAATTCGGCTGTGAATCCATCTGGTCCTGGACTCTTTTTGGTTGGTAAACTATTGATTATTGCCACAATTTCAGAGCCTGTTATTGGTCTATTCAGAGATTCAACTTCTTCCTGCTTTAGTCTTGGGAGAGTGTATGTGTCGAGGAATGTATCCATTTCTTCTAGATTTTCTAGTTTATTTGCGTAGAGGTGTTTGTAGTATTCTCTGATGGTAGTTTGTATTTCTGTGGGATCGGTGGTGATATCCCCTTTATTATTTTTTATTGTGTCTATTTGATTCTTCTCTCTTTTTTTCTTTATTAGTCTTGCTAGCAGTCTATCAATTTTGTTGATCCTTTCAAAAAACCAGCTCCTGTATTCACTGATTTTTTGAAGGGTTTTTTGTGTCTCTATTTCCTTCAGTTCTGCTCTGATTTTAGTTATTTCTTGCCTTCTGCTAGCTTTTGAATGTGTTTGCTCTTGCTTTTCTAGTTCTTTTAATTGTGATGTTAGGGTGTCAATTTTGGATCTTTCCTGCTTTCTCTTGTAGGCATTTAGTGCTATAAATTTCCCTCTACACACTGCTTTGAATGCGTCCCAGAGATTCTGGTATGTGGTGTCTTTGTTCTCGTTGGTTTCAAAGAACATCTTTATTTCTGCCTTCATTTCGTTATGTACCCAGTAGTCATTCAGGAGCAGGTTGTTCAGTTTCCATGTAGTTGAGCGGCTTTGAGTGAGTTTCTTAATCCTGAGTTCTAGTTTGATTGCACTGTGGTCTGAGAGATAGTTTGTTATAATTTCTGTTCTTTTACATTTGCTGAGGAGAGCTTTACTTCCAACTATGTGGTCAATTTTGGAATAGGTGTGGTGTGGTGCTGAAAAAAATGTATATTCTGTTGATTTGGGGTGGAGAGTTCTGTAGATGTCTATTAGGTCTGCTTGGTGCAGAGCTGAGTTCAATTCCTGGGTATCCTTGTTGACTTTCTGTCTCGTTGATCTGTCTAATGTTAACAGTGGGGTGTTAAAGTCTCCCATTATTAATGTGTGGGAGTCTAAGTCTCTTTGTAGGTCACTCAGGACTTGCTTTATGAATCTAGGTGCTCCTGTATTGGGTGCATAAATATTTAGGATAGTTAGCTCCTCTTGTTGAATTGATCCCTTTACCATTATGTAATGGCCTTCTTTGTCTCTTTTGATCTTTGTTGGTTTAAAGTCTGTTTTATCAGAGACTAGGATTGCAACCCCTGCCTTTTTTTGTTTTCCATTTGCTTGGTAGATCTTCCTCCATCCTTTTATTTTGAGCCTCTGTGTGTCTCTGCACGTGAGATGGGTTTCCTGAATACAGCACACTGATGGGTCTTGACTCTTTATCCAACTTGCCAGTCTGTGTCTTTTAATTGCAGAATTTAGTCCATTTATATTTAAAGTTAATATTGTTATGTGTGAATTTGATCCTGTCATTATGATGTTAGCTGGTTATTTTGCTCATTAGTTGATACAGTTTCTTCCTAGTCTCGATGGTCTTTACATTTTGGCATGATTTTGCAGCGGCTGGTACCGGTTGTTCCTTTCCATGTTTAGCGCTTCCTTCAGGAGCTCTTTTAGGGCAGGCCTGGTGGTGACAAAATCTCTCAGCATTTGCTTGTCTATAAAGTATTTTATTTCTCCTCCACTTATGAAGCTTAGTTTGGCTGGATATGAAATTCAGGGTTGAAAATTCTTTTCTTTAAGAATGTTGAATATTGGCCCCCACTCTCTTCTGGCTTGTAGGGTTTCTGCCGAGAGATCCGCTGTTAGTCTGATGGGCTTTCCTTTGAGGGTAACCCGACCTTTCTCTCTGGCTGCCTTTAACATTTTTTCCTTCATTTCAACTTTGGTGAATCTGACAATTATGTGTCTTGGAGTTGCTCTTCTCGAGGAGTATCTTTGTGGCGTTCTCTGTATTTCCTGAATCTGAACGTTGGCCTGCCTTGCTAGATTGGGGAAGTTCTCCTGGATAATATCCTGCAGAGTGTTTTCCAACTTGGTTCCATTCTCCACATCACTTTCAGGTACACCAATCAGACGTAGATTTGGTCTTTTCACATAGTCCCATATTTCTTGGAGGCTTTGCTCATTTCTTTTTATTCTTTTTTCTCTAAACTTCCCTTCTCGCTTCATTTCATTCATTTCATCTTCCATCGCTGATACCCTTTCTTCCAGTTGATCGCATCGGCTCCTGAGGCTTCTGCATTCTTCACGTAGTTCTCGAGCCTTGGTTTTCAGCTCCATCAGCTCCTTTAAGCACTTCTCTGTATTGGTTATTCTAGTTATACATTCTTCTAAATTTTTTTCAAAGTTTTCAACTTCTTTGCCTTTGGTTTGAATGTCCTCCCGTAGCTCAGAGTAATTTGATCGTCTGAAGCCTTCTTCTCTCAGCTCGTCAAAATCATTCTCCATCCAGCTTTGTTCTGTTGCTGGTGAGGAACTGCGTTCCTTTGGAGGAGGAGAGGCGCTCTTCGTTTTAGAGTTTCCAGTTTTTCTGTTCTGTTTTTTCCCCATCTTTGTGGTTTTATCTACTTTTGGTCTTTGATGATGGTGATGTACAGATGGGTTTTCGGTGTAGATGTCCTTTCTGGTTGTTAGTTTTCCTTCTAACAGACAGGACCCTCAGCTGCAGGTCTGTTGGAATACCCTGCCGTGTGAGGTGTCAGTGTGCCCCTGCTGGGGGGTGCCTCCCAGTTAGGCTGCTCGGGGGTCAGGGGTCAGGGACCCACTTGAGGAGGCAGTCTGCCCGTTCTCAGATCTCCAGCTGCGTGCTGGGAGAACCACTGCTCTCTTCAAAGCTGTCAGACAGGGACACTTAAGTCTGCAGAGGTTACTGCTGTCTTTTTGTTTGTCTGTGCCCTGCCCCCAGAGGTGGAGCCTACAGAGGCAGGCAGGCCTCCTTGAGCTGTGGTGGGCTCCACCCAGTTCGAGCTTCCCGGCTGCTTTGTTTACCTAAGCAAGCCTGGGCAATGGCGGGCGCCCCTCCCCCAGCCTCGTTGCCGCCTTGCAGTTTGATCTCAGACTGCTGTGCTAGCAATCAGCGAGATTCCGTGGGCGTAGGACCCTCTGAGCCAGGTGTGGGATATAGTCTCGTGGTGCGCCGTTTCTTAAGCCAGTCTGAAAAGCGCAATATTCGGGTGGGAGTGACCCGATTTTCCAGGTGCGTCCGTCACCCCTTTCTTTGACTCGGAAAGGGAACTCCCTGACCCCTTGCGCTTCCCAGGTGAGGCAATGCCTCGCCCTGCTTCGGCTCGCGCACGGTGCGCACACACACTGGCCTGCGCCCACTGTCTGGCACTCCCTAGTGAGATGAACCCGGTACCTCAAATGGAAATGCAGAAATCACCCGTCTTCTGCGTCGCTCACGCTGGGAGCTGTAGACTGGAGCTGTTCCTATTCGGCCATCTTGGCTCCTCCTCCTTGTACACTGTTTTTTAGCCATAATTATATTGCGCAGTTAATAGACTACAGTACACTATAAAGATATAATAACTTTTATATGGACTGGGAAACCAAAAAAATTGTGTGATTCACTTCATTGTGATATTTGCTTTACTGTGGTGGTCTGGAACAAAACCTGAAATATCTGCAAGGTATGCTTGTATATATTGAAATTTTCCTGTGTGAGTTTTGGGTTGTTTTTTTTTTTTTACCATTTTGTCAAAAATGAGATCAAACACTTTACATTTTTCTGGAACTTCTACATTCACAGAAAAGGATAACACACATAGATCAGATAAATTGTTTTGATTAAAATTTGCACAAACATCCACATTAAAAATAAACTGGACCTCATGTAACAATTCCCTGATTGTGTCAGATGTTTTATTTTTACAGATAAAAGACCTCAGTCATTCTTACTATTTTTCCCTGTCTGTAATGTGTTTCTTTTATTAGCCTGCTTTGAAGAATTTTTCTTTACTTCTGTATGTTAGGCAATTTGTTTATTGTAGGTCTTGGTGAGCCCTTCATTTTGCTTCCTGTTTGGAGTTCATAGAACTTCTTGCAGCTGTGAGTTTATCATCATTTTGCTTCATATTTGTAACATTTTTTAACCATTATTTCTTCAAATATTTTTCCATTCCCCACGCCCTACTCCCTTTTTCTTCAGAAACACTAATTACATGTAGGTTTAGTAACTCAATATTGGCCTACAGGTCAGTGAGTTTTATTCCATTATTGTTTCTTTCATGTTTGAAGCTTTATTGAGGTATAACTGACGTACAACAATAGATACATATAAAGTAAACAACTGAATAAGTTTTGACATATGACCCATGGAATTTAATCTCCAATGTGGGAATATCGAGAGATGGGGCCTTTAAGAGGTGACAGGGTCATGAGGGTTGAGCCCTGATGAACTAATATGTTAATAGATTAATGGGTTATCATAGGCATGGGAATGATGGCTTTATAAGAAAACATAGACTTGAGCCAGTACACTCAGTCCCCTCACCCTGTGATGCCCTATGCTGCCTTGGGACTCTGCAGAGAGTCTCCAACAACCAGAAGGCCCTCACCAGATATGGCTCCTTGACCTTGGACTTCTCAGACTCCATAACTGTAAGAAATAAATTCCTTTTCTTTATAAATTACCCAGTTTCCAGTGTTCTGTTAAAAGCAACAGAAATCACACTAAGTCAAGGCCTTAGGATTTTTGGAATGATAATGATCAATTCCAAATTTCAGCATTAATTTCAACATGAAGTCACCAGCTGCATTAGCTTCTAACAAGACACTTAGCCTGTTCACTGAAGTTTTGAAACTAGGCATTAACCTCGCCTCTCTAGCTATAAAAGTAATAGGTGCCATCTTCTTCAAATATAAGGCTCTTTTGCCTAAATTGAAAATCTGTTTAGTGTAGCCACCTTCATCAATAATTTTAGCTAGATTGTCTGGATAATTTGCTGTAGCTTCTACACCAGCACTTGCTCCTTCATTTCGTACTTTTATGTTATGCAGATGGCTTATTTCCTTAAACCTCATGAACCAAACTCTGCTAGCTTCCAAAATTTCTTCGGCAGCCTCCTTATCTCTCTCAACCTTCATAGAATTGAAAAGAGTTAGGACCTTGCTCTAGATAAGGCTTTGGCTTAAGGGAATGTTGTGGCTGGTTTGATCTTCTATCCAGACCACTAAAACTTTCTTCATAACAGCAATACTGCTGTTTTGCTTTTTTATTCATGTGCTCACTAGAGTAGCACTTTTATTTTTTTTTTAAGAATTGATCTTTTACATTCACAACTTGGCTAACCATTTGGCATAAAAGACCTAGCTTTTGGCTTCTCCTGGATTTTTATATGCCTTCCCCACTAAGCTCATTTTTAACTTTTGATTTACATTTAGAGGAATGGAAATCTTTCTTTCACTTGAACAATTAAAGGTCATTGTAGGGTTATTAGTAGGCTTAATTTCAATAATATTGTCTCTCAGGGAATAAGGAGTCCCAAAGAGAGAGGATAGATGGTGGAGCAGTCAGAACACACACAACATTTATCAGTTAAGCCTGCTGTCTTACATGGGTGCAGTTTGTGTTGCCCCAAAACAATTATAATAGTAACATCAAAGATGTCTGATCACATATCACCATAATAGACATGACAGCAATGAAAATGTTTGAAATATTGGGAGGGTTATCAAAGTGTGACAAGGAGACACAAAGTGAACATATGTTAGAAAAATGGAGCTGATAGACTTACTGGACACTAGGTTGCCACAAACCTCAAGTTTGTAAAAAAAATACATTATCTGCAAACCACAGTAAAACAAAGCACAATGAAATAAAGTATGCCTGTGTTTATATGAACTTGAGGAAAGCATAAAATAAAACAGATAATTGTGTTCTCTGTAATCTCAAGTGTGTGAGATTGGATGGGGTTGCCATAGTAAGGGTATTGTTAACCTTTAAAAAAATACATGTCTGCATTGTTCTGTCTGTTTCAATAGCATTCAACCAAATATTAATTCGGTAATATTTATAGACTCTGATAAACCAAGAGAGGGCAACTCAGTGTAAAATAACATGGTGATCACAGGATCAACTCTGGAACAAGACTGCCTTGCTTTGAATCACATTACAGACTCTGACACTTATTATATGTGAGATCTCAGGCAGGTTATTTAAACACTCAGTACCGAAAGTTTTCCTATTTGTAAAATGGACATTATAATAACACTTATTTGAGAGGTTGTTATATGCTTTAGTGGTGTAATAATCAATTGCCTGTCTACCATTTAAGTGCTTGTGTGTGAGAGAGACATAGAGTTTGTATTTGATGCATAATTCAAATATAAATCAAGCTCAAATGTGGAAGAGGAGTAGAGCAAGATTGTGGAATAGAAAGCTTCACCGATCATCCCCCCTGCAAGGACACCAAGTTAACAAATATCTACACAGAAAAAAAAAAACACCTTCATAAGAACCCAAAATCAGATGAGCACTTATAGTACCTTGTATTAGTCTGTTCCCTGATGCTATAAAGAAATACCTGAGACTGGATAATTTATAAAGAAAAGAGGCCTAAGTGGCTCATATTCCACAGGCTGTATAGGAAGCATAGCAGCTTCTGCTCAGCTTCTGAGGAAGCCTCAGGAAACTTACAATCATGGTAGAAGGCAAAGGTGGAACCAGCACTTCACATGGCTGGAGCAAGAGGAAGAGAGAGAGGAGGGAAGTTCTACACATTTTTACATAACCAGATCTCCTGAGAACTCACTCTGTATCAGGAGAACAATCCTAAGGGGGATGGTGTTAAACTATGAGAAACCACCCCCATGAGTCAATAACCTCACACCAGGCCCCACATCCAACATTGGGGATTACAACTAGACATGAGATTTTGGCAGGGACACAAATCCAAACCATAACATATCTGGTTTTAACTTCAAATCACTGAAAAATGCACTGAAGAGATACAAAAAACAGTCCTGAATCAACCCCTCCCCTTCCTCCCCACCCCACCCCCCACCACCACAGAGGCAGTGTAGGGTGGACAGCATCTCTCAGCACTGGGGGAAGGAGAACATAGCAGTTGTGAGGCAATGAATTCAGTGCTGCCTTGTTAGAGCAGAAAGGAAAACTAGACCAAACTCAACTAATGCCCATCCTCAGAGGGAGCATTTAAACCAGCCCTAGCCAGAGGGGAATCACCAACCACAGGGACTAAACTTGAGTAGCCACAAACCTCTGCAACAAGAATTACAGCATTCTGGGTCTCCAAGTAAACTTGAAAGGCAGTCTAGGCCATAAGGACTGCAACTTTAAGGTGAGACCTATTGCTGAATTAGGCCCAGAGACAGTGGTCTGGGGTAGGGGGGCACATGACATACAGAGACACCAGCTGGAACAGCCAAGGGAGTGATTTCATTATCCCTCCACTAACCCCAGGCTGCACAGCTCATAGCCCCCTTTAGGTTTAGGACCCCTTCCCTCCACTTGAGGAGACAACAGGGAAGAGTGGGGAGGACTGTGTCTTACATCTAGGATATCAGCCCAACCGCAGCAAGATAGGGCACCAGTCAGAGTCAGGAGACCTCTGTTTCAGGTCCTGGCTCCCAGATGACAATTCTAGACACACCTTGGGCCAGAAGAGAACCTATTGCCTTGAAGGAAAGAACCAAGCCCTGACAGTATTTATTACCTGCTAACTGAAGAGCTCTTGTTCCCTGAAAAACCAGTAGTGATACCCAGGTATTACATCAAGAGCCTTATATGAGCCTCTGAGACTTACTGGCTTCAGGTAAGACTCAGCACATAACCAGCTCTGGTGGCTACGGGGCAAAACTCCTTCTGCTTTAAAAAAGCATAAGGAAATGTAAAGAGGACTTTGTCTTGCACCTTAGGCACCAGCATGAATATAGGAGGATAGAGCACCAAGTGGGCTTTTGGGGTCCCTGATTTCAGGACTTGGATCTTAGATGGCATTTCTGGACCTGTCCTGAGCCAGAGGGGAGCCCACTGCCCTGAAAGGTGAGTCCCAGGCCAGGCAGCATTTATGACAACCTGACATAAAATAATTTGAGCCTTAAGGAAACATCCATGGTAGTCTAGCAGTACTCCTCAGGGCCTGGGGTGGTAGTGGCTATGGAGTGATGTTTCTCTGCCTTTGGAAAGGAGAAGGAAGAGTAAAAAGGACTGCATCATGTAGTTTGAATGCCAGCTCAACCACAATACGATAGAACACTGGGTAGATTTCTAAGGTTTTTTACTCTAGTCCCTGACTCCCAGATGGGACACCACTTCTAAGACCACTTTGGGCTTTAGGAATCTCGCAGCCAAGAAGGGAAGGACACAGGCCTGGCTGGTTTTGCCACTTGTTGATTATAGAGCCCCAGGGTCTTGAGAAAATATAGGGTTATAGCAGGCCTTGAATGAGACCCACCACTGTGCTGGCTTCAGGTCTGACTCAGTGCAGTCCAACTTGTGGTGGACACAGGGGTGCTTGTATTACTCCACTCTCAGCTTAAAGTGTCACAGAACACAGAGAGAGGTTCTGTATGGTTGGTAGAAAGTAAAATAAAAAAGAGACCAAGGGTATCTGCCTGGTAATCCAGAAAATTCTCCCAGGTCTTGTGCAAGACCATCAAGGCAGTACCTCTATGAGTCTGCAAGAACGACTGTGTTTCTGGGCTTGGGGTGTCCCCTAAAGCAGATACAGCTCAGATCACAACACCCAAGTCCTTTCAAAACTTTGGGAATCTTTCACAAGAAGGACAGCTACAAATAAGCCCAGAAAGTGAAGACTACAATAAATACCCAACCCTTCAATGACCAGACAGTGAAGAAAACCTACTAGCTTTGACACTATCTAGGAAAACATGAACTCACCAAATGAACTAAATAAGGCCCCAAGGATGACCATTCCCGGAGAAACAGATATGGGAACTTTCAGACAGAAAATTCAATATAGCAGTGTTAGGGAAACTCACAGAAATTCAAGATAACACAGAGAAGGAATTCAGAAGTCTATCAGATAAATTTAATAAAGATATTAAAATAATTAATAAGAATCAAGCAGAAATTCTGGAATTGTAAAATGCAATTGGCACACAGAAGAACACAACAGAATTATTTAATAGCAGAATGGAAGAAGCAGAAGAAAGAATTAGTGAGCTTGAAGACAGGCTATTTGAAATTACACAGTCAGAGGAGACAAAGAGAAAAGAATAAAAAACAATGAAGTACACCTACAAGACCTAGAAAATAGCCTCAAAAGAGCAAATGTAAGAGTTATCGGATTTAAAGAGGAGGTGGAGACAGAGATAGGGGTAAAATGTTTATTCAAAAGGATGATAACAGAAAAATTATCAAACCTAAAGGAAGATGTAAATATCAAACTACAAGAAAGTTACAGAAAACCAAGCAGACATAATCCAAAGAAGACTACCTCAAGGCATTTAGCAATCAAAATCCCAAAGCTCAAAGATAAAGAAAGAATCCCAAAATCAGTAAGAGAAAAGGAACAAATAACATGCAATGGGGGGCTGGAGCCAAGATGGCCAAATAGGAACAGCTCCAGTCTACAGCTCCCAGTGTGAGCGACGCAGAAGACAGGTGATTTCTGCATTTCCAACTGAGGTACCAGGTTCATCTCACTGGGTAGTGCCGGACAGTGGGTGCAGGACAGTGGGTGCAGCACACCATGCGTGAGCAGAAGCAGGGTGAGGCATCCCCTCACCCGGGAAGTGCAAGAGGTCAGGGAATTCCCTTTCCTAGTCAAAGAAAGGGGTGACAGACGGCCCCTGGAAAATCAGGTCACTCCCACCCTAATACTGTGCTTTTCCAATGGGCTTAACAAATGGCACACCAGGAGATTATATCCCACACATGGCACGGAGGGTCCTATGCCCACGGAGCCTCGCTCATTGCTAGCACAGCAGTCTGAGATCAAACTGCAAGGCGGCAGCAAGGCTGGGGGAGGGGCGCCCCCCATTGCGGAGGCTTGAGTAGGTAAACAAAGCGGCCAGGAAGCTTGAACTGGGTAGAGCCCACCTCAGCTCAAGGAGACCTGCCTGCCTCTGTAGGCTCTACCTCTGGGGGCAGGGCACAGACAAACAAAAGGCAGCAATAACCTCTACAGACTTAAATGTCCCTCTCTGACAGCTCTGAAGAGAGTAGAGGTTCTCCCAGCATGCAGCTTGAGATCTGAGAATGGGCAGACTACCTCCTCAAGTGGGTTCCTGAGCCCAGAGTAGCCTAACTGGGAGGCACCCCCCAGTAGTGGCAGACTGACACCTCACACGGCCAAGTACTCCTCTGAGACAAAACTTCTAGAGGAACGATCAGGCAGCAGCATTTGCAGTTCACCAATATCCGCTGTTCTGCAGCCACCGCTGCTGATACCCAGGCAAACAGAGTCTGGAGTGGACTTCCAGCAAACTCCAACAGACCTGCAGCTGAGGGTCCCGAGTGTTAGAAGCAAAACTAAAAAACAGAAAGGACATCCACACCAAAAACCCATCTGTACGTCACCATCATCTAAGACCAAAGGTAGATAAAACCACAAAGATGGGGAAAGAACAGAGCAGAAAAACCAGAAACTCTAAAAATCAGAGCGCCTCTCCTCCTCCAAAAGAAAGCAGTTCCTCACAAGCAATGGAACAAAGCTGGACGGAGAATGACTTTGACAAGCTGAGAGAAGAAGGCTTCAGAAGATCAAACTACTCCAAGCTAAAGGAGGAAGTTCGAACCAATGGTAAAGAAGTTAAAAACCTTGAAAAAAAATGAGACAAATGGATAACTAGAATAACAAATGCAGAGAAGTCCTTAAAGGACCTGATGGAGCTGAAAACCATGGCATGAGAACTACGTGAGGAATGCGCAAGCCTCAGTAGCTGATGCGATCAACTGGAAGAAAGGGTATCAGCGATGGAAGACAAAATGAATCAAATGAAGCATGAAGAGAAGTTTAGAGAAAAAAGAATAAAAAGAAACAAACAAAGCTTTCAAGAAATATGGGACTATGTGAAAAGACCAAATCTCCATTTGATTTGTGTACCTGAAAGTGATGGGGAGAATGGAACCAAGTTGGAAAACACTCTTCAGGATATTATCTGGGTAAACTTCAGAAACCTAGCAAGGCAGGCCAACTTTCAAATTCAGGAAATACGGAGAACACCACAAAGATACTCCTCAAGAACAGCAATCCCAAGATGCAAAATTGTCAGATTCACCAAGGTTGAAATGAAGGAAAAAATGTTAAGGGCAGCCAGAAAGAAAGGTCGGGTTACCCACAAAGGGAAGCCCATCAGACTAATAGTGGCTCTCTTGGCAGAAACCCTACAAGCCAGAAGAGAGTGGGGGCCAATATTCAACATTCTTAAAGAAAAGACTTTTGAACCCAGAATTTCATATCCAGCCAAACTAAGCTTCATAAGTGAAAGAGAATTAAAATACTTTACAGACAAGCAAATGCTGAGAGATTTTGTCACCACCAGGCCTGCCCTAAAAGAGCTCCTGAAGGAAGCACTAAACATGGAAAGGAACGACCAGTACCAGCCACTGCAAAAACATGCCAAATTGTAAAGACCATCAAGGGTACGAAGAAACTGCATCAACTAACGAGCAAAATAACCAGCTAAGATCATAATGACAGGATCAAATTCACACATAACAATACTAACCTTAAATGTAAATGGGCTAAATGCTCCAATTAAAAGGCACAGACTGACAAATTGGATAAAGAGTCAAGACACACCAGTATGCTGTATTCAGGAAACCCATCTCGTACAGAGACACACATAGGCTCAAAATAAAGGGATGGAGGAAGCTCTAACAAGCAAATGGAAAACAAAAAAAAAGCAGGGGTTGCAATCCTAGTCTCGGATACAACAGACTTTAAACCAACAAAGATCAAAAGAGACAAAGAAGGCCATTACAAAATGGTAAAGGGATCACTTCAACAAGAAGAGCTAACTATCCTAAATATATATGCACCCAATAAAGGAGCACCCAGATTCATAAAGCAAGTCCTGAGTGACCTACAAAGAGACTTAGATGCCCACACATTAATAATGGGAGACTTTAACACCCCACTGTCAACATTAGACAGATCAACGAGACAGAAAGTTAACAAGGATATCCAGGAATTGAACTCAGCTCTGCACCAAGCGGACCTAATAGACATCTACAGAACTCTCCACCCCAAATCAATAGAATATACATTCTTTTCAGCACCACACCACATCTATTTCAAAATTGACCAATAGTTGGAAGTAAAGCACTCCTCAGCAAACATAAAAGAACAGAAATTATAAACAAACTGTCTCTCAGACCACAGGGCAATCAAACTAGAACTCAGGATTAAGAAACTCACTCAAAACCACTCAACTACATGGAAACTGAACAACCTGCTCCTGAATGACTACTGGGTAAATAATGAAATGAAGGCAGAAATAAAGATGTTCTTTGAAACCAACGAGAACAAAGACACAACATACCAGAATCTCTGGGACACATTCAAAGCAGCGTGTAGAGGGAAATTTATAACACTAAATGCCCACAAGAGGAAGCAGGAAAGATCTAAAATTGACACCCTAACATCACAATTAAAAGAACTACAGAAGCAAGAGCAAACACTTTCAAAAGCTAGCAGAAGGCAAGAAATAACTAAGATCAGAGCAGAACTGAAGGAAATAGAGACACAAAAAAACCCTTCAAAAAATCAATGAATCCAGGAGCTGGTATTTTGAAAAGATCAACAAAATTGATAGACTGCTAGCAAGACTAATAAAGAAAAAAAGAGAGAAGAGTCAAATAGACGCAATAAAAAATGATAAAGGGGATATCACCACTGATCCCACAGAAATACAAACTACCACCAGAGAATACTATAAACACCTCTATGCAAATAAACTAGAAAATCTAGAAGAAATGGATAAATTCCTCGACACATACAACCTCCCAAGACTAAAGCAGGAAGAAGTTGAATCTCTGAATAGACCAATAAGAGGCTCTGAAATTGTGGCAATAATCAATAGCTTACCAACCAAAAAAAATCCAGGACCAGATGGATTCACAGCCGACTTCTACCAGAGGTCCAAGGAGGAGCTGGTACCATTGCTTCTGAAACTATTCCAATCAATAGAAAAAGAGGGAATCCTCCCTAACTCATTTTATGAGGCCAGCATCATCCTGATACCAAAGCCTGACAGAGACACAAGAAAAAAAGAGAACTTTAGACCAATATCCCTGATGAACATTGATGCAAAAATCCTCAATAAAATACTGGCAAACCGAATCCAGCAGCACATCAAAAAGCTTATCCACCATGATCAAGTGGGCTTCATCCCTGGGATGCAAGGCTGGTTCAACATATGCAAATCAATAAATGTAATCCAGCATATAAACAGAACCAAAGACAAAAACCACATGACTATCTCAATAGATGCAGAAAAGGCCTTTGATAAAATTCAACAACACTTCATGCTAAAAACTCTCAATAAATTAGGTATTGATGGGACGTATCTCAAAATAATAAGAGCTATCTATGACAAACTCACAGCCAATATCATACTGAATGGGCAAAAACTGGAAGCATTCCCTTTGAAAACTGGCACAAGACAGGGATGCCCTCTCTCACCAATCCTATTCAACACAGTGTTGGAAGTTCTGGCCAGGGCAATCAGGCAGGAGAAGGAAATAAAGGGCATTCAGTTAGGAAAAGAGGAAGTCAAATTGTCCCTGTTTGCAGATGACATGATTGTATATCTAGAAAACCCCATTGTCTCA
Source organism: Homo sapiens (assembly GCF_000001405.40). Taxonomy (NCBI): domain Eukaryota; kingdom Metazoa; phylum Chordata; class Mammalia; order Primates; family Hominidae; genus Homo; species Homo sapiens. The sequence goes on along the minus strand of NC_000023.11, from coordinate 73,095,833 downwards.
GCCCAAAATCTCCTTAAGCTGATAAGCAACTTCAGCAAAGTCTCAGGATACAAAATCAGTGTGCAAAAATCACAAACATTCTTATACACCAATAACAGACAAACAGAGAGCCAAATCATGAGTGGACTCCCATTCACAATTGTTTCAAAGAGAATAAAATACCTAGGAATCCAAGTTACAAGGGATATGAAGGACCTCTTCAAGGAGAACTACAAACCACTGCTCAATGAAATAAAAGAGGATACAAACAAATGGAAGAACATTCCATGCTCATGGGTAGGAAGAATCAATATCGTGAAAATGGCCATACTGCCCAAGGTAATTTATAGATTCAATGCCATCCCCATCAAGCTACCAATTACTTTCTTCACAGAATTGGAAAAAACTACTTTAAAGTTCATATGGAACCAAAAAAGAGCCCACATTGCCAAGTCAATCCTAAGCCAAAAGAACAAAGCTGGAGGCATCATGCTACCTGACTTCAAACTACAATAAAAGGCCAAAGTAACCAAAACAGCATGGTACTGGTACCAAAACAGAGATATAGACCAATGGAACAGAAAAGAGCCCTCAGAAATAATGCTGCATATCTACAACTACCTGATCTTTGACAAACCTGACAAAAACAAGAAATGGGGAAAGGATTCCCTATTTAATAAATGGTGCTGGGAAAACTCGCTAGCCATATGTAGAAAGCTGAAACGATATCTTCCTTACACCTTATACAAAAATTAATTCAAGATGGATTAAAGACTTACATGTTAGACCTAAAACCATAAAAACCCTAGAAGAAAACATAGGCAATACCATTCAGGACATAGGCATGGGCAAGGACTTCATGTCTAAAACACCAAAAGCAATGGTAATAAAAGCCAAAATTGACAAATGGGATCTAATTAAACTAAAGAGCTTCTGCAAAGCAAAAGAAACTACCATCAGAGTGAACAGGCAGCCTGCAGAATGGGAGAAAATTTTTGCAACCTACTCATCTGACAAAGGGCTAATATCCAGAATCTACAATGAACTCAAACAAATTTACAAGAAAAAAAAACAACCCCATCAAAAAGTGGGCAAAGGATATGAACAGACACTTCTCAAAAGAAGACATTTATGCAGCCAAAAGACACATGAAAAAATGCTCATCATCACTGGCCATCAGAGAAATGCAAATCAAAACCACAGTGAGATACCATCTTACACCAGTTAGAATGGCGATCATCAAAAAGTCAGGAAACAACAGGTGCTGGAGAGGATGTGGAGAAATAGGAACACTTTTACACTGTTGGTGGGACTGTAAACTAGTTCAACCATTGTGGAAGTCAGTGTGGCGATTCCTCAGGGATCTAGAACTAGAAATGCCATTTGACCCAGCCATCCCATTACTGGGTATATACCCAAAGGACTATAAATCAGGCTGCTATAAAGACACATGCACACGTATGTTTATTGAGGCACTACTCACAATAGGAAAGACTTGGAACCAAGCCAAATGTCCAACAATGATAGACTGGATTAAGAAAATGTGGCACATATACACCATGGAATACTATGCAGCTATAAATAAGGATGAGTTCATGTCCTTTGTAGGGACATGGATGAAGCTGGAAACCATCATTCTCAGCAAACTATCACAAGGACAAAAAACCAAACACTGCATGTTCTCACTCATAGGTGGGAAGTGAACAATGAGAACACATGGACACAGGAAGGGGAACATCACACACCGGGGCCTGTTGTGGGGTGGGGTAAGAGGGGAGGGATAGCATTAGGAGATATACCTAATGCTAAATGAGGAGTTAATGGGTGCAGCACACCAAACTGGCACAGGTATACCTATGTAACAAACCTGCACGTTGTGCACATGTACCCTAAAACTTAAAGTATAATAACAATAAAATTAAATTTTAAAAGAAATCTGACATAGAAAATTAAAAAAAAAAAAAAAACATGCAATGGAGCTCCAATACATCTGGCAGCAGAAATTTCAGCGGAAACCTTACAGGCCAGGAGAGAGTGGCATGACATATTTAATATGCTGAAGAAAAAAAATATTTTAGTGTAGGAAAAAAATTGTTCCCTTTGAAATGCATGTATGTAAAGATTTACTTTCAGAAGTTAAAAAATAAAGTGAAAAACGTAAGATGGCACATTGTTTACAAATATTTAATATTAATATGCGACCTTATGGTAGTTATAGCATTATTTTAATATTAAATGGCAACTGTAGGTAGTATAGTAAAGCCATTTAGGTACACGACAGAATTATAAACTAACTGAAAAGTTAGATAAAGGTAGCCTTTCATAAGATGCGTGAAAAAATATATCGAAACTTCTCTTATATACTATAACCAATATTTTCTTTCACAATCCAGAATTTTTCTCTGAATAATTTTCTTATAAAATATTTATAATAAGCAATGTCTGGAAATGATAAAAACCCTCAACAATGGAGGACTGAAATAAACTTTTATATTTTTAATTGTAACAATTTTAGCTATTGTAGAGTGTACAATTCAGGAGCATTAATTACATTCAGAATGTTGTGCAACCATCACCACTATACATTTCCAAAATTTTTTCACCATCCCAAAGAGAAACTCTTTACTCATTAAACAACACCTCCTTATTTGTCCCTCACTCCAGCCCATGATATCTTTTACTCTACTGCTTTATACGTTTTTATCTTCTAGGCAGCTCATATTAACGGAAGCATAAAATACTTACATCCAACTGATCTTCGACAAAGCCTACAGAAACATAAATTGGGAAAAGGACATCCTGTTCAACAAATGGTGCTGTAAAAACTGGCAAGCCACATGTAGAAGATTAAAACTGGATTCCTATCTCTCACCTTATACACAAATGAACTGAAGATGGAGCAAAGACTTAAATCTAAGACTAGAAACCATAAAAATTATCAAGATAACATCAGGAAAACTCTTCTAGACATTGGCTTAGGCAAAGAATTCGTGGCTGAGACCCAAAATCAAATTCAACGAAAACAAAAATAAATAAATAAGTGGGACCTAATTAAACAGAAAAGCTTCTGCACAGCCAAAGAAATAATCAGCAAACAGACAACCTACGGAGAGGGAGAAAATGTTTACAAACTATGCATCCAACAAAGGACTAATATCCAGAATCTACAAGGTACTCAAATCAGCAAGAAAAAAAAAATCCCTTCAAAAAGTGGCCAAATGACATGAATAGACAATTCTCAAAAGAGGATAGACAATCAGCCAACAAACATGAAAAAATGCTCAACATCACTAATTATCAAGGAAATGCAAATTAAAGCCTCAATAAGATATGGCCTCACTCCTGCAAGAGTGGCCATAATTAAAATGTAAAAAAATAATAGATGTTGGTGTGGATGTGGTGAATAGGGAACACTTTTACACTGTTGGTAGAAATGTAAACTAGTACAACCATTATGGAAAACTGTATGAAGATTCCTTAAAGATCTAACAGTAGAACTACCATTCAATCCAGCCATCCTACTACTGGGTATCTACCCAAAGGAAAAGATGTCATTATGTGAAAAAGACATGCACAAGCATGTTTACAGCCACACAATTGCAAAAATATGGAACCAACCAATGGGCCCATCAAACAATGAGTGTATAAAGAAAATGTGGTATATATATATACCACATTATATATATATATATATGTGTGTGTGTGTGTGTGTGTGTGTGTGTGTGTGTGTATACGTATATATACACCATGGAATAGTACTCAGCCATAAAATGGATGAAATAATGTCCTTTGCAGCAACTTGGATGGAGCTGGAGGCCATTATTTTAAGTGAAGTAACTCAGGAATGGAAAACCAAATATTGTATGTTCTCAATTTCAATTAGGCTCTAAGCTATGAGGATGCAAAGACATACGAATGATATAATGGACTTTGGTGACTCAGCAGGGAATGGTGGAAGAGGGATGAGCAATAGAAGATGGCATATTAGGTACAGTGTACACTGCTTAGGTGACGGGTGCACCAAAATCCCAGAAATCACCACTAAAGAACTTATCCATGTAACCAAAAATCATCTGTACCCTAAAAACTAGTGAAATAAAAATAGAAATAATTTCAAACATAGACAAGTTGCAAGACTAGTACAAAATTGTATGCTCTTCACCCATATTCACCAACTGTTAGTCATTTTCCACATTTGCTTTATCATTTTCTCTCTGTAGGCACACATATATTGCTTTTTTAAAATATAAGTTTCAGATATCATGTCCCATTTACCACTAAATGTTTCAGAGGGTGTGCCAAGAACCATCTCTAAAACACAGTATAGTAATAATAATAAAAAAGAAAAACTGGGAAAAGCAATGAATATAAATTGGTGTTGGCAGGCATATAATGTATAAAAATATAGTTTGTATGACAATAATAGCATAAAGTAGGTAAAAGAAATGAAGCTACATAAGGGAAAATTGTATGCTATTCAAGTTGGTATTATTCTCACTAGATTTTTAAAGTTAATATGTTAATTGTAATCACAGAGTAACCTCTAAAGAACTAACTCCGAATAATGTAGTAAAAGAAATGGCAAGGGATTTAAACTAGTGTACTAAAATACCTACTGAACACATAAGAAGATTGTTATAGAAGGATAAAGGGAGAAAAGATAGATAATCTATAGAAATCAAATTGAAAAGTTTCAGATGCAAACCCTAATTTAAAAGTAGTTATATACAAATGTATTAAACACTTCAACTAAAAGCATCTATTAGCAGATGGATAAAAAATAAATGATCTATATAAATGCTCTCAATAAGAACTACACCTTACAATAAATGAAAAAATGGTTAAAAGTGAAAAAATAGAAAAGATACACCATGCAAGTAGTATCCAAAAGAGACTGGGAGTGGTGGTAATAGTATCAGACAAAACAGACATAAATTTTTTTTACTAGATACCAGGAAAAGGAGGAAGAAAAAAAAAGAATAAAATTTTTTTACTAGAGAGAAAAACATATACAGTTGATCTTTGAACAACACAGGGGTTAGAAGCACTAACTCACCAGGCAGTCAGAAATCCATGTATAGCTTTTTACTCCCCTAAACTTAACTTTTAATAGCCTACTGTTGACCAGAAGCCTTACTGATAACATAAAGTCAATTTACACGTATTTTTATGTTATATGTATTATATACTATATTCTTACAGTAAAGTAAGCTAGAGAAAACAAAATGTTATTAAGAAAGATAAGGAATAGAAAATATATTTACTATTCATTAGATAAAAATGGATCATCATCATAAATGTCTTCATCCTTATCATCTTCACGTTGAGTAGTCTGAGGAGTAGGAAGAACAGGAGGAGTTGGTCTTGTCTCCGATGTGGCAGAAGTGGAAGAAAATCTACATATAAGTATACCAGTGCAGTTCAAACCCATGTTGTTCAAGGGTCAACTGTATTTTATAAAGACAAAAGGCTCAATATATCAAGAAGACATAATAATTCTAAACGCATGTGCACATATCAACAGAGTTGAAAAATACGCAAAGCAAAATCTGAGAGAATTGAAAATAAACAGCTCAGTGAAGAAGTTGGAGACTTCAATAACCACTTTCAATTTCAATAATGTATAGAACAACTAGTCAGAAAATAAAATAAGAAATATGCATAAAAGGCTTGAGCAATGCTGTACACAGGCTAGACCTAACAACACTCCACCCTAAAGCAACAGAATGCTTGTTTATCTTGAGTGCATATAGAATATTCTCCTTGATAGACCACATGCTATATCATGAAAGGAGCCCTAATATATTTAAAATCATTGAAATCATACAAATTGAGATGTTTCTATCATGTCTTCATATTGTTGATTGTATGGTATCTGATAAAAAAAAGTCTGCTGTCATTTTTCATCTTTTTTATTGAGTTCATAATGTAGCTTTTTTTCTGTGTCTGCTTTTGCTTTATTTAGGTAAATTCACATAACATAATTAACCATTTTAAAGTGGACAATTCAGCGGCACTTAGCTCACTTACAATGCTGTGCAACCATATGAATATTAGGATCAGTTTTTTCATTTTTGAAAAAGTCAGTATTTTGATAGAGATTGTATTGAATTTGTAATTTTGGAGTATTACCAAATCTTAACAGTAAGTCTTCCAATCCATAACTATAGGAAGTTTTCTATTCATTTACACTTTTTAAAATTTCTTTCAGCAATGTTTTAGTTTTCAGAGTACAAGACTTCTACATTCTTGGTTAACTTTATTGTTAAGTATTTTATCACTTGATTCTATTGTAAATGAAATTGTTTCTTAATTTTATCTTGATACTGTTTACTACTAGTATATAGAAATACAAATTTATTTTTGTATGTTGGTCTTGTGATTTGCTGAATTTTTTAATTAGCTGTAATATTTTTTCATGGATTTTGTAGAATATTCTATAGGTAGGATACTGTCATCAGCAAAGAGACATAATTTTACTTCTTCTGTTTCAGGTTGGGTGCCTTTTTTTTTCTTGGCCAATTGCTCTGGCTGGAGCGTCCAGTACAATGTTGAATAGAAGTGATGACAGCGAGCATGCTTGTTTCTGATGTTAGGAAACAGCTTCCAGGTTTTCATTATTGAGTATAATGTTAGCTGAGGGTTTTTCATAAATGCCCTTTACCATGATCAGAAATTTTTCTGCTATTCCTACTTAGCTGAGTGGTTTTTTTAATTGTGGGAGAGGGTTAGCTTTTGTCAAGTCAAATGCATTTTCTGCATGTATTGAGATGAGGTTGTGCCATTTTTTCTTCATTCTATTAAAAAGTGTACTACATTGATTGATTTTCATATGTTGAACCATCCTGGCATTCCTTAGATAAATCCCACTTGTTCGTGGTGTATAATTATTTTAATGTATTGTTGCATTTGGATTGCTAGTATTTTGTTGAGAATTTTAAAATCAATAGTAATAAGGTAGTAGTAGTCTACTTTTTTCTCTGGTGGAGTTCTTTAACTAGCTTTGACATTCTATTTTCCTCTTTTTAATTTGGTCTTGAGATCTCCCTTAGGAGGATGGCTAAAAACTCCAGCCCTTCCAGTCAGGGCTTCAAGGTATTTGGTCATGAATGTTTACAGTATATCTTTTACAGGATGCTTCTTTTATCCTGGTGAATGGCCTAATTCCTAAGTGTCTGAACCATGACCAGATGTCCCTCTCACAGAAAACTTGTTTTCACTGGTAGACATCATGTGGCTCTTGTCTGATCTGTGTCATTTATTCCTACCAAGATATATCCTCTCTAGGAGAGCCCAGACCCAGAAAGAAGATAGGTTCAGGCGTCTTGGTCAGGTAAGACAGGGGAGGCAACTCAACAACACACATAAAATAAAAGAAACAGCATATTCATTTATTTAGTTATTCATTGCTTTCTTTCATCATAGTTTTGTAGCTTTCCTAATATAGGTCTTGTATATATTTTGTTATATTTATACCTATGTATTTCATTTTTGAGGACGCTAACGTAAATGGTATTTTGTCCTTTTTAATGCACAAACACCAATTTTATTTTTTGATAATGGCAACGAGCAATACAAGAAGGAAATTAAAACAATTCTATTTATAATAGCATCACAGAAAAAAATACTTACCAATATACTTAACAAAAGAAATGCCAAACCTATACTCTGATAACTACCAAACATTGCTGAAAGACATTAAAGAAGATAAATGGAACAACATTACATGTTAATAGATTGGGAGACTTATAATGTTAAGATGCCACTACTCTCCAAATTGATCTGCAGATTAAAATTCTACTTTTTCATTTCTTGTATATAGGAAAACAACGGACACTTTTCATATTAAACTTGTATATATATTGCTGAAAAGAAGTTTCACTCTGTTGCCCAGGCTGGAGTACAGTGGCATGATCTTGGCTCACTGCAACCTATACCTCCCAGGTCCAAGCGATTCTCCTGCCTCAGCCTCCCAAGCAGCTAGGATTTTACAGGTGCGGGCCACTGCACCCGGCTAATTTTTTGTATTTTTAGTAGAGACGGGGTTTCACCTTGTTGACCAGGCTGGTCTTGAACTCCTGACCTCAGATAATCTGCCCGCCTCGGCCTCCCAAAGTGCTAGGGTTACAGATGTGAGCCACAACGCCCGGCCATTAACCTTCTATTCTAAAACCTTGTTATAATCATTTATTAGTTCCAGGAGGTATTTTTTGTTGACTCTTTTGGATTTTTTAACATAGATCTTGTCATTTGTGAACGAAGACAATTGCATGTATTCCTTCTTAATCTGTATACTTACATTTTTATTGTCCTATAGAATTATCTAAGACTTCCAGTAAAATGTAGAAAGCAATGGTGAGAGGGGACATTCTTACTTTGTTCCTGCTCTTAGAAAGAAAGCTTCAAATTTCCAACCATTGACTATCATGTTAGCTGTATTTCTTTTGAAGATATTATTTACCAAGATGAGGAAGTTATCCTGTATGTCTCGATTATTTGGGGTTTTGCTCATGAATGAGAGTTGGATTTTGTCAAACACTTTTTCTTCATCCGCTGATATAGTCATGTGATTTTTCTTCTTTAGCCTGTTGAAGTGATGGGTTACATTAATTGATTTTATTTTAAAAAGTAAAGTAACTGATGTTACAATTGACTATATAAATACGTAATACACAATATGATATTTTGTTATATGTATAGATTTGGGAAAGTAAATCAAATTAAAACATTCATTATCTCACATACATTTTGTGATGAAAATATTTAAAATCTACTTTCACCAATGTTTAAGTATACAATAAATTGTTACTAAATATAGTTTCTGTGTCATACAAAACATCTCCTGCACTTAGTCCTCCTGTCTACATTAATTAATTTTTTTTAATTTAATTTACATCAGGATTAACCGCCCTCTAGTGGCCCACCTTAAAGTGTGAAGAAATGTGACCCTTGTGGACAACATTATTAGAGATTCATTAAAGGGTAAAAGGCTTGTGTTGCTTTTCAAAGCCCAAATAATTCAACTAAGTTTTCAGAAGTGGATGTCAATGAGCAGCAGTCTGTTTGGAAAAGAGGATATAGAAAGAGGGAGGAGAGGCTAAGGGAAGGGGAGGGGTGCTAACATCCTTATTTTATGGGAAACTGACGAAGGTGTACGCTAGAGACTGAGAGTTAAGCATATCACTTAAAGTCACTGGAGTCACCAATAGAAGAACTAAAGATCAAAAGGTATAAAAATTGCCAGAAGGAAAGACAGGGCAGATTGAAGATAGTGTGAGTGAGTTAAATCCTCCTCTCTGGTAGAGGATGGTCACTTGATGATGTCTGAAGTTGATGAATTATTGAATTAGCAGATTAGGCATTTTCTTTAGATATAAGGAGGTAATGGTCAGAACACTGCAAACAGAAATTGTTAAAGTGGTCTACTCTGGGAAGCACAGTTGGGGAGTAGGAAGTGATGGGACCTTGAATCTTTGTTTTTTATCATAAGCTCCTTTGTACTTTCTGATCATCACTATTATATTTACCATGTGCATACATATATATTTTTAATTAAGAACTATTATTTGGAGACAGTTTTAAAAAGATGATCTGTATGGGAGGAAGTCCCAAGGTTAATCACCTTGACATTAGCAAGATTTTACCACATTGAAGGAGATTTCGTTTTACATCTATTAAACAAAGCGAAAACCTAAAATTGATCAGCAGCTCATGATACTGGAGATCAGCCAACTCACGCTTCAGTAATCCATGCATGCATCACATCACAATGGTGAATATTGGTAATATTGTTCCAGAGACATCATGGAGACATCAAAGTGTGTTCAGTAGCCTGCAGCAAAGAAGCTGAAGGAGTGTATTACCTTACAGTAAATTACCTCTCAAATGGCCCCCAAGATGTTGCTCAAAAGGATGAATAGCAGTTGACAGAAAATTCTCTCCTGTCTCAATACCCCATTTTGTTGAGATAGTGTTATTAAATCTTCTGGGTGGTTTCCTTGAGTACAGAAAATGCCATGCTTTCATGTGTTAATTAATGTGCGGACCCTGAGCCTCCAGAAAATAAATAACTGGATCATTAAAAGGTCCTATGGTTGGGACTAGTACAGAGAAGCTCAATGAGAGTGTGAGCTAAGCGAGTTCAGGCCAGAGAACCCAGAGGATCAGACTCCCTCTGTACTGACACTTTGCTCCTGGTTAGAGAGAAAATTCCAGGCTGCCTGGAGCACCAGAAAGACAAGACACTGGACCTTCAAAAACCAGCTGAACAAGCACAACCCCAGGACAGAGGGCAATAAGATTAATAAGGAGTCTCTTGTATTGGGCATTGAATGCATGCCAGGCACTGTGAAAAACATTTACCATACATTATCACTTGTTATCCTTATAAATATCCCTTTGTACAGATGGGGACTCCAAAGCTAAGATGGAAAAAAGGGGGGTAAAGTACCTTGACCAAAGTAAGCACAACTCTTAAGTCATGGCCTGGGGTGTATCTGTAGGTATATTGTTATAAAATCAGTTTTGTGAACTGCCTAAAATTATAACAAAGAAGGGCATGAGTTAAGGCTTCAAGCGTGTGTTAGAAGGTGAATTGGTTCTCAGAGAGAAAAATATCTGGAATGCTATGCAAAAACCATCAGTCAATACAGCCCTTTGGCTCGGTTTCTAAGCAGAGCTGGGGCAAAACTGCTTGTCACAAATGAAATTTGTAAGATGCTTAATTAGGGTTTCTGAAATTCAAACTCTGAGCACACACTGAGGCTCAAGAATGGTTAAGTGTTTTGCTCTGAAATTCAGCCTACTAGTCAATCTGACTCCAAGGCCCATCTCCTTTTGTTTGCACCAAAATGACAACAAACCTGCTTTTCTCGCCTGGTAATAGCACATTCTGGAAATCCCCTTAAATCAGCTTATATAGAGATAACTCATACTTGTTAATGGTTGCATAATAATCCTCAGAATGGCTGCACTGCCAATGTATCAGTCACTCCTCACCTGATGCATACTTGCTTTGTGCCCTGATTTGCCCAATATGAGTGTTTCTGTGATAAACATACTTGTACATATTTCATCACCTCCCGGGGTTCTTATTTCTCCAGGACTGACTACCATTCCATCCCTGCCCCATATACAAATCTGTCTCCGTCAACTCTTCACTTTATAAGGACCCAAAGGACCATTTGCTAAATTTGTTGTATTGACTCAGGACAACTTAGTAATCATTGTTATCGTTTATTAAACAACAGGGCCACATTCAAACGCTTTCCAATTCTCTCTAAATAACAGCCTAACGCTGACGTTTTTGTTGGCCTGTATCTCATAATTATTTTTATTTAGAGGAATTTGGTAGTGGCGGGGTTGGGGTGGGAGGTGGTGTGTGGACGGTGTGAATTGACAGAAACAATTTCCCTACACCAAAATACAGGTATGTTTTCATTCTCTATGCCCCTAAACACCCTCCCTGCAGCTATGCAACGAGCAATTCACGGGAAGAGGCTTCTTTACATAGACCCCTGTTTTTGGTGTTTTGATTTACTTTTGTGTATAGAGTTGATCTGTCCCTCTTCCCATTGGTGTCCTCCCCCCCCACCCAACCCTAGTCCTCTTCCTTCTTCCTTCTTTTCTTCTCTTCTCCTCTGCTCTCTGAACTGCATCCCCACTCCTTCTGATTTCTCCCTCCTGAAAGGAAAAAGGAGATGGGCCACATGAAATAGCAGAGCAGTGCCTACCCCACTCTTCGAAGTTCTCTGCATCCGAACCTCTCTCTCTTTTGAAAGCTCCACTGAGAAATGATCAGAGAGTGAAGTCCAAAGCCAAGCACACAAAGTCGTTGTTGTCCCATTTTAAACCAACTCCCATGCACGTACAGCTAGGAGCATTGAGAGCAGAGTCTGAGTGAGGATATTGAGGCTGGTGATGAAAAGCCTTGGCGAGAAGTTTGGACATGTTCGGACATGCAAGGCCTTAGAGAGGAGTCCTGTTCACTGTCCAGTCCTTCTGAATCTATTTTGCTGGCTTGTGCTCCCCACCCAACTTCTAAGTGTCAGAGTATCTCAGGGAGTAGCCCTGCACCTTCTTCTCCTGGCTATACTCTCTCTAGGTGATCCTACTCAGTTTTGTGGCTTTAGACCCTAACTGTGTCCTGTTGTCTCAACAATTCTGTTTCTCCAGCCTCTATGGATGACAAGCAGACCTCAGTAACTAAACCTGTGCAAATAGGAGCTCTTGACACACACCCCCATCTGTCTTTCTCCCTTCTCCAAATCTACCATGCCCACCCACTCTCTGTCTTTCCTATGACCGTACATAGACCTCTGAGATTGCCTCGAATCCACTCACAAGCGCTGTCTCTTCCACTTCCAAAATATCATGTGAATCCACACACTAGTCTCCACATTGATGCTTCCAGTCTGGGCCAAGCCCCTGCTGTCTCTGGACTGGACTACTGCAAGAGCCTCCTAACTGGTCTCCCTGCTTTCCTTTGTGCCCTGCCCACTTGTGATATTGCCCACACAGAGCAGCTAGAGAGAAACCACTGAATGGGCATTAGATTATGCTACTACCTGCTTCAATCCTTTCTCTGGCTCTCCTGAGCTCTCTGAAGAAGAACCAGACTCTTCATCATGGCACCACCCACCACTGCGCCTTCCTCCCTTTCCTTCCTCTATCCCCTCTCACACTGGGCTCCATGCAACATTGGCATCCTTTCTGCCCCCACCCCCACCCCCAGCACCCTCTCTTTTCTGCCACAGGGCCAGGGGAATTGCCCTTCCCTCTGCTGGGCAGGTTTCCCCCCTGGTTCCTTGAAAGACTGGTGGCTTATCATTGTCCTCAGAAAGGCCTTCCCTGAGCTTCATGTCTCCCGTTTTGCCACTTTTCTGGGGTTCTAGGCAATATGTACCAAATCATCTTGTTTATGTCCCCGAGAGCATTCATAGCAACCTTTAACTGTTTTCATATTCCCTGATCTGTCTATTGTCTGTCTCCCCACTAGAAAATAAGCTCCCTGAGTTCAGGGACGGTCTGGCCGGCAGAATACTTGGTACATAGAAGACCCTCCAGGAATATTCATTGAATCACTGAATAAATAAAATCAACAGCACTTCCTCCCACGGGAAAGGAAACTTCCCCTCCCTCCATTGAGGCTCCACAGGGCTCTTTATTTTTGCCCCTGTCACAGTGTGTAGTGGTCAGAACACATTCCATTTGCAGGTGGCAGAAACTGACCACAACGTAACTTTAAAAATAAAGAATAAAAAGGAGATGGAAACTCGACTCCATGGAAGCCCCTGAGAAAGGACTTGGGGAGCAGTCCCTGCTGTGTCCTTGTCACTTTGGTAGCCCTGCTCCTGTTGCTAGAGGTTCAGGATCCTAGGAATTGTTTTCAGGTTTGGGGATTTGCTAGCCATAGCATGACTTCCCTGAACTTCCTTCTCCTGCTGTTTCACTGATTTCTGTTGGCCCTGTGTACTGGAAGGCAACGCCAGAGACAGAGATCTTGCTGAGTCCTGGTCCTCGACTTGGTCTTCCTTGTCATTTCTGTTTCCTAACAATGGGCCGAGGAGCTCTTCTCATCCTCGCCACATCCCCTACCCCTCTGCGAGCATGGCTTCCCCCTTGGCCTCTGCCTTCTCAGGTCCCTCTTGGACACCAACCTGGAAATGGTGAGGCACAGCTTCATCTTCTCCCTGCCTGCAAGCAACCTAGACCCCCAGGAGATGGCTCTTAACAGCGGTGACAGTGATCACCTTGGTCAGGCATGCGCTGTACAGCAGGCTTTTCCTAGGTCTCTGTCCCTTGCCTTTGCCGGCACTAGCCCTGCCTAGAGGCAGAGAGCTGGACTTTGCAAGCTGGAGAGGTACATGTCTGTGTATCTGCTTCTCAGCCACCTTGGGATGCTTTCCAGCCAGCGACGAAGAGTTCTCACTGCCTCGCACCCCACAGTGACTCAGTCACTTCCTCAGGTTCACGGTTGTTCTATCATGTATGACTGCCAAGATCCAGCCATCACTGCAACCACAGAAAACAGCTTTACTTACCCAAAGAAGGCAGAGGAGGAGAGGATGAGAGAATACGTGCTGGGCAGGTGAAATTCTATGGCCACCGTCGTCCAATCACATAGCACTTACAGTCCTCTGCTGACACTTCTGTTCTCTGTGGGGGCAGACTGAGCTTTAGCAGAGTGAAGGCATCCTGAGGGAAGGCACTATGGTTTTCTCTTTTTAAACATCTGGCCCCACTGGCTCACGGTAAACGTGAGACCCCTATTTATGGAATGAAAAGGAATAGAGGGAAGGATTGTTCAGACTCTTTTTGAATTGGTCACATCTGACTTTCTTCCTTGTGTTCTGTCAGCCCTGTCTTGGTTTTGTACATGCGTGTACATGTAAATGTGCACTTATACATGCACATTGATGTTTAATTTGTACTCATTCTAAAGTTCTCATCATACTGCTTCCCTCCTTGAACATGCTGAGTGGTCCCCGTGACCTTGGGTATACAGTCGAAGCACCTTAGCTTGATTCTCAGGGCCCCACACCTTCCAGCCCTGTCTGCTACCATGTGCTCTTGGAGACCATGAGCTCTGTCCCTGCCAGATTATTAGGCATGGCCAGAAGCGACCAAGCATGTGCTCTCATGACAAAGGGCCTTGGGCACAGACTGATCCCTCTGCCTGGAGTGCCTTCCTTCCTGCCTTGACATGGTGGACTGCTCCTCATGTTTCAGAGCCCACCTCGGTGGTTCTGTCTTTGGTGCAGCCTCACCTAATTGCTACTAAGAAGAGTTAGTGGCTGGTCCTCCTCTCTGGAGGAAGTGGGACTGTAGCTTCTGTTACACTCAACTCTCATGGTTGCTCCCTTGTCTATACCCCCAGCATTTGGCTCTGTGTGGCCTCTCTGCTCTCACTACACACACACTGCTCACCTCTTCTCACCCTGCTCCACACCTCCAACACATCAACAGTCCCTGCTCACTTACCACATTGCGGGCCCCTTAGCCCCCAGCACCAAGTACCTGATAAGCTTTCCATAAATATTAGATGGTGAACTGGGACCAGGCACTTCATTCTAGAGAGAGAGCTCAGGTTTTGTTTTGGTTTATCCTTTGAACCTGAATATGTACTTCTTGGTCCAGGTTGGGAACCTCAGCGCCTTGAGAGCAGAGTCAAGAATAAACAAGCGCCTGGCTCTGGACCAGGCCCTGTTCCCAGTCCTGGGTTTGGCTTTCCTCACCTTATCATTGAGGACAGTACTAGAGACAGGGTGCTCTTGATTCCCCCACTTCCAGACTGCATGTACTGAGGCCTTGAGTGTATTCTCAAGGCCACCCCACCCTCTCCTGCAAGGTACTTGATTTAACCATTTAAACGTTCCATTATGTGGAGAGGGGATAAAAATAACGCTCCCTTCTGAATCGAACCCTTATCCCTTCGGTCTACAGCGGAGCCCTTTCCCTGGCGTCCTTTTCATAAATATCCAGGCGACCCGAGAGACTGAGCACTCCCACTCCCGCTCCCGCTCCCGCCCCTGCTCCCGCTCCTGCTCCCACCCCCGTCATCTCCCACCGCCCGCAGCCCGGCAGCCCCGCAGCCCCGCAGCCCCGCAGCCCCGCAGCCCCGCAGCCCCGCAGCCCCGCAGCCCCGCAGCCCCGCAGCCCCGCAGCAGCCACAGGGGGAACCAAAGAGACAGAAGCCTTCCCAGCTGCCCGGACGACAGACGCCAACACCCCCCGCCCCCCACCACACGCCGCCTGCCCGCCCGCACCCCGCACCCTGCGCGCTAGCCCACGACCGAGCGGCGGCGGCAACAGCAGCTGGCTGCAGGCTGCGGCGACTCGCACCGGCGCGCTCCTGGCAGCACTTGCCATCCCAGGTGACTTGAACTCGCCAGTTCGGATCCCCTGCGCCAGCTCCCGCTCGCGCATCGGGTCTGTGTTCCCGCACCCACCCGCCCTCCTGCCCTCCCGCCCTCCCCCGCCTCTCCGTCCCCCAGCTCGCGGGAAGGGAGGTCGCGGCAGCGGCCCGGCGGCAGCGGCGACCGTGGCGACAGCAGCGACAGTGGCGGCGGCGGTGGCGGCAGCGGCTGCGGCGGCGGCGGAGGCTGCGGCGGCGACCGTGGCAGAGGCGGTGGCGGAGGCCTCCGTGGCGGAGGCGGAAGCAGAGGTAGAGGCTGAGGTGGAGGCCGAGGCCTCAATAGAGGAGGCAGCATCGGAGGCCACCCCGGGGGAGGCGGAGGCCGCCCGGGTGGCAACGGTGGTGGCGGTGGCGGAGGGCAGCGCGGCCGAAGCCGCCGCCGCAGCGGAGGCTGCGGGGCCCCCCTTGGGGGAGGCGGAGGCGGATGCGGATGCGGATGCGGATGCGAAGGTGGCGGCCGAGGTGGCGGCCGAGGTGGCGGCTGCGGCGGCCGCCGCGGATGCAGATGCGGATGAGACCCTCGGTGACTGTGAGGGGAACCCAGATTTTCAGATGGCCTCCCTGTACGTGGGCGACCTGCACCCTGAGGTGACCGAGGCAATGCTGTACGAGAAGTTCAGTCCAGCTGGGCCCATCCTCTCCATCCGCATCTGCAGGGACAAGATCACCCGCCGCTCATTGGGCTACGCGTATGTCAACTACCAGCAACCGGTGGACGCCAAGCGGGCCCTGGAGACCCTGAACTTTGATGTCATAAAGGGCAGGCCAGTGCGCATCATGTGGTCCCAGAGGGACCCGTCGCTCCGCAAGAGCGGGGTGGGCAACGTCTTCATCAAGAACCTGGGCAAGACCATCGACAACAAGGCGCTGTACAACATCTTCTCGGCGTTCGGCAACATCCTCTCCTGCAAAGTGGCCTGTGACGAAAAGGGGCCCAAGGGCTACGGGTTCGTGCACTTCCAAAAGCAGGAATCTGCGGAGCGGGCCATCGATGTGATGAATGGCATGTTCCTGAACTACCGCAAAATTTTCGTCGGGAGATTCAAGTCGCATAAAGAACGAGAGGCCGAAAGGGGAGCCTGGGCCAGGCAGTCCACTAGTGCTGACGTCAAGGATTTCGAGGAAGACACCGACGAGGAGGCCACCTTGCGATGAAGACATCCCAGGAGCTAGCCAGCCAGCAGAGCCAAACCTTGGCTCACACCCGGTTTACAACCCCCCACCCCCAGCCCTCCCCCGCCAACCCACCAGCAGTGTATTTATTGTATTGAGAGTGCAGGTCTCTCTCTCTCTCTCTCTCCCCTTCTCTCTCCCCGCTTCCTATTTTCTCCCTCCACCTCTCCTCTCCTTCCCTTCCTCTCCCCCGCCCACCCCCACCAAGGGCGTTGTGAATAATCTTACTAATCTGTGCCATTTGTAGGTTAAAGGCTGCCTCTTCTCCCTGTGGTTTGATTTAAAAAGCATTTTCATTCTCTCTTTGTTTACTGCACAGGTGGTACAATTTCATGGTAGAATCATCAGAAAGGAGAAGGATATCAGATGAGGGAAGAAACAAGAGAGTAATTGCTCCCCTGGTCCTACTCCCCAGAGAGAACCACTTTTACCTTTTTGGTGTGCTGCTTTTCCAGGCTCTCTTCTCTCCCTCTCTCTCCTTTGCTCACCCCCACCCCGCCTTCCCTTTTAACACACCGTTATAGAATGGTTCATGTATGTGGTGTTTCTTAACCTGCTTTTTCAGCAACTAAAACCAAACAAAAATCAACCCATTGAACTTCTTTCCATGTTATCAACAGGCTTATGAAACGTCATCTTCAGTGCCTGCAGAGTGCTCCAGTGTATCCGTGGACCTTAACATTTCTGTAATCATTCCCGCATTGTTGGACATTCAGGTGGTGCCTAGTTCTTTCCCTGTGTTTAAGACCAACATTGCGTGCTCTGTGCTTTGATGAGTGAATCCTTCCTTGTCAAGCCAAATCTTTGCTAGCATCCCGGTGGTCTCCTTAACTGCGGACTTGCAAGATCCACATATAGACATTTTAAAGACTTTTCCTGTGTGTTGCCAAAAGGCCCCCTTCATAAGCATTGTACCGATTTGCACTCGTGCCGGCCAGCGCAGCTAGTAAAGAGTATGCCCGTTTCCCCTGCATAGTCTCCTGGTCACTGTAATTGATCGTGTGTGTGCGTGCGTGTGTGTGTGTGTGTGTGTGTGTGTGTGTCTTGGCCAGCTTGGCGGGCTACAAAGGGTGTTTCGCTGTCCTCGGTAGTTTTGCTGGAAACAAACACTGCTTATGACCCCATTCCCCTGTGCCCTCTTCCTGTCCTTTTCCCTGTTGTCAGAAAAGTAATTCAGCGTCATTGCAAGAAAAAAAAATCACAAAGCAGACAAGTTACCAGAAGAAAATTAAAGTCACCAGTAATCATTTCTGATGATTACACACACATTCCAGAAACATTTTCATGCACACCTCTCTGATATTTTCTAGAACTACCTGAAACATTTTTGTCTGTAGGTCTAGTTTTTTTCTTATGCATATATCATATATGTATATTATGATGTACAGACTGTTTTTATATCTGCTTTTCACACATACATGTGTGTGTATATTTATACACACACATATTCTTGAACTTCATTTCATGTCATTAAAGATACTTTTAAAATATTTTCTCTGGCTCTTAATATTCTATTGAATTCACGACTAGGTAGAAGGTTAGATATATGTGTGTACATATGTATCTATGTCTATATCTCTGTGTGTTCGTGTGTCTTATGCATGTTTTATTTTAACTCTTTCCTCATTGAACATCTAGATTGTTTCTGCTTTTCCTTTATGTAATCTAAAGCTGCCATGAAGTTCCTAGTGCACAAAACATGCTGACTTTCAAGATTATTTCCTGATGAGTCATTGCTAAAAGTAGAATTCATGTGTCAAAGTACATGGCAGTTTGAATGTTTTTTTGGAGGGGAGGAAGAATGTGTTATTCAATGGCCACCTGTAAATATAGTACAAGTTCATCTTCATAAGTTGCATCAGTGTTGTTACAGGACCCAGATACCTGGACGATTTTCTGCACTTGCTATTACATTTGTTTCTACAATTCACCAGTATTTTCTCAGGGACACAGGAGCTTTTTTGTTTTTATTTATGTTATACATTTATTTTTATACAAATTGTACAAAATTATAATAGAAAATATTTTTTAAAAATTGCTAATGTAAGAAAAGAAAGTTGAAATCCTAATACCCCTCCTAATACTACTACTTGACAAAATAAATTTTCAATAATAGGTATCTACCTACCTTTGTATTTATAACACAATATGCATTGTTTCATTGGAGGGTATTTCACTATTACAATTATCTGGGGTCATCTCTGTAAATCATTAAATATTGTCCTGCAATTCTGTTGTTACATATATTCTGTCATCAGGATAAGCTATGATTTCTGCAACCAAGCATCCTTTGGGGCTATGTTTAAAAAGATTCTGATTTTTTTCCCTCATAAGATCAATTCTATGATGAACAACTTTTTACCTGAATGCGTAGGTATATTTTATTGTTTTTTATTCCTTACTAGTGGAATTACAGAGTAATAGACACGAACGTGTTAAATATTTTTCTTGGTCTTTATATCCACTAGTTTATATCCACTACAGTGGTGGATATAAACATGTAGAAAAGTGCTTGTATCATGTCCCACCTTCTTAAATTGATCAAAGTATTTTTAAAGTTTTGTTAAGCTAAAAAAGCATATCAATTTTTCTATTATTTCATTTTACAAACATTTTTAAAGAGGGAGATCTAGTGCATTAAAATATAGATCAAAACCACTTTAGATTATTTTTTATACAGGCTGCTACTATCCATCCATAAGCATTTAAAACCAATTACAGAATTATACTGGCATATTTTGTCATTATTTGCTTTTCAATATCTTGCAACATCTAAAACATCCATGGCTATTCAGTTTTCTCCTGAAACCATCATTGTATAAGACTGGAATTTTATTTAGGAGTTTACCTATTAAGGATATTAAAGTAGTTTCTAAGATTTACCCCATTAAACCCAAGGTATGATGAACAATTTTGCAGTTGAATTGCCTCCCTCTCCTAGAGCAAAGCATTTGATATTTCTTTGCTTTGCACAGGGTGTAAATGAACAATTAAAAAATCAAGACAAGCATCAGAAATAATAATTTTAAGAGAACAAAAAGGAGCATCTTTTAAAAACCACTTAGAAATAAAATAGTTTTACAAACTCTATAAAGTGAATAAAACAGAGCCACTGCCTTGGTGGAAGAAACAAGCTAATTTATGTTTAATACTTTGATGCAGACCCTTCATTCAGTTCAAGGCAACTTTGACAATTTGGCAAAGCTGAAAAACAAAGAAACCCTTGTTTTAGGGTTTATTCTTGTAAGGTATGGATTGCTATTATTTCTTCATAGAAGTTATATGTTAAAATATATCTGTTATTTTATTTGTTTAACCCATCACAGAAGGGGTTCAGAAATAGCCCCCTATGCACCAAAGCAAACAGCTACTGGTATGACACAAAGGGTCCATGTTCAGTACACAGAGAGATCTGTCCTCAGCTTTGATCCAGTCAGAACAAAGTCTTTCTTATCATTACTGGGAAAATAAGCTAAGAGTAATGCAAGAGAGACAGGCAAATCAGTCTGTCAATTTCTACAAAGAAGACAGCTGGAATTCTGATGAGGATTGTGTGAAATATATAGATCGATTTGTGTACTATTATCATCTTAAAAATACTGTTTTCCAACTTATGAACATGGATTGTCTTTGTATAGAACATTTTTCTTTCAACAACGATTTGTAGTTTTCAGAGTAGCAGTTCGCAATTACTGGGTTAAATTTTTTAAGTATTTAACTCTTTTGATGCTATTGTAAAAAGAATTGATTTCTTAATTTCAGTTTTGGTTTGCTCATTGCTACTGTACAGAAGTATAATAGATTTCTGTATATTGACCTTGTATCTTGCAACATTGCTGAAGTCATTTATTAGTTCTAATATATATTTGCTGAATTTTCTAGGATTTTCTATATAAAATCATGTTATTACAAAGCTATAGTAATCAAAACAGTATGATACTGGCATAGAAACAGACACATAGACCAGTGGAACAGAATAGACAGAAAAAAAAACCTAGGCATATATGGTCAACTAATCATCAATAAAGGCACAAAGAATACACAACAGAAAAAGGATAGCCTCTTCAATAAATGGTGTTGGGAAAACTGGATATGTGAATGCAAAAATCTTGGATGCTTATGTTACACCATACAGAAAAATCAACTCAAAATAGACTAAAGATTTAAACATAAGACCTGAATCCATAAAACTCTCAGAAGAAAACATAGAGGGAAACTGCTTTGGTCTTGGCAATGATTTCATGGACATGACACCTAAAGCATAGACAATAAAAGCAAAAATAAACAAGTGGGAATACTTCACATTAATAAGTTTCTATGCAGCATAAAATAAAAAAAAACGAAAAGGCAACCTAAGGAATGAAAAAAATTTGGAAAACATATATCCAATATGGAGTTAATATCCAAAATATATAAGGAACTCACACAATTCAATAGCATAAAAAACAAAACAAAATGAAACAAAACAACCTGAATTAAAAATGGGCAAAAGACCTAAATGGACATTTTTCCAAGGAAGACTTATAAATCACCAACAAGTACATGTAAAGATGCTCAACACCACTAATCATCAGCATCAGGGAGATGCAAGTCAAATTCACAATGAGATAACACCTCACACCTTTAGGATGTCTATTTTCAAAAAGGGAAAAGATAGCAAATGTTGGCAAGGATGTGGATAAAAGGGAATCCTTACACATTGTTGGTAAGAATGAAAGTGAGTGCAACCATTATGGAAAACAGTATGTAGTTTCCTGAAAAAATTAAAAATAGAACTACCATATAATCCAGAAGTCTCACTTCTGAGTATACATCCAAAGGAAAGAAAATCACTATCTGGAGGAGGCATCTACAATGCCATGTTAAATGCAGCATTATTCACGATAGACAAAATAAAGAAACAACCTAAGTGTCCATCAGCAAAAGAATAAAGAAAATGTGGTGTGTATACACAATGGAATATTATTCAGCCTATGAAAGAAGGAAAGTCTGTTATTTCTGACAACATGGATGAACCTGAAGCACATTATTCTATGTGAAATAATCCAGGCACTAAAAGACAAATACTGTGTGATCTCACTTATATGTGGAATCTAAAAAAGTTGAACTCATAGAAATAGAGAGAAGGGTGGTTACCAGGGGTTGGTGGCAGGGTTGGGGGAAATGGGATGTTGGTCAAAATGTACAAATTTGCAGTTATGAGGTGAGTAAGTTCTGCAGACCTAAAGTATAGCATGGTGACTATAGTTCATAATAATCTATAGTATACTCGAAATTTTCTCAGATAGTAGATCTTAAGTATTCTCACCACAAAATAAAAATTGTGTGAGGTGATGAGTATGTTATAAGCTTGATTGTGGTAATCATTTCACAACACATACACATATCAAAACAACAGCTAGTACACCTTGAATATATACAAGTTTATTTCACAATCACATCTCAATTAAGTGAAAAAAGATCACATCATCTGTGAATAGAAGTAGTTTTAATTCTTTCTTTCCAGTCTGGCTGCATGTTATTTCATTTTCTTGCCTAATGACCTTAGCTAGAAAATCCAAATACGATGTTAAATAAAAGTGGTGAAAATGAATATCTATGTCTTGTTCCCAATGTTGGGGGAAAAGTACTAAGTCTTTCACCATTAAGTATGATGCTTACTGTGGGGTTTTTGTAGATCTTTTTTTCAGATTGAGGAGGTACTCATCTATTCCTGAATTACTGAGTGTTATAAAAGAGTTTTAGATTTTACCAAATGCTTTTTCTGGATTTGCTGAGATAATCCTTGTGAGTTTTTCCCCCATTGTTCTAATGATCTGGTATATAACATTAAGTAATTTTCAGATATAAAAACAATGTATAATTCCTTGGATAAATTCTGTTTGGTAATGTATAATCGTCTTTATGTATTATTGAATTCAGTACGCTAGTATTTTTAATCTAAACATTGTTGTGGTCAGGTATGCCATAACGTGAAATTCACCATGTAAACCATTTGTCAAGTTCAGTGGTATTAAGTACATTCACAATGCTGTGCAACATTCACTACTACATATCTCCCAAACTCTTTCATCATCTCAAACTGAAACTCTGTGCCGACTAAAAAGTAACTACCTATTCCGTATTCCTCCCTTGCCCCAGCCCCTGGTAAACACTATTCTGCCATTCTGTCTGAAAAAATTGACAATTCTAGGTGGGTCATACAAATGGAATCACACAATATCTGTTCTTTTGTGTCTGACTTATGTCACTTAGCATAACCTCTTCAAGGTTCCTCCATGTTGTAGCATTCATCAGAATTTCATTTTTTAAGGTGGAAGAATATTTTGTTGTATGTATGTACCACATTTTATGAGAAAGTATTTTTAATTGTGGTGAGAACACAAAACATGAGTTCTGCTCTCTTAACAAAAATTTTAAATGTACAATACATTATTGTTGACTATAGATATGATGCTATGCAAGCACATCTCAAGAGCTTATTCATCATGCTTGACTGAAACTTTATGCCCATTGATTCCATTTTCCCACACTCCTGCCCCTGGCAACAACCATATCACTCTTTGATTCTATTAATTTGACTATTTTAGATACCTCATACAAGTAGAATCATGCAGTATTTGTCTTTCAGTCACTGGCTTATTTCACTTAGCGTAATGTCCTCAAGATTCATTTATGTTGTCACATATTACAGAATTTTGTGTGTGTTTTTAAGACGGAATAGTATGCCATTTCATGTATATACCACATTTCTTTATTCATTCATCCATCGATGGACATTGAGGTTGTTCGCCCATATTTGCTATTGTGAATTATGCTTCAATGAACATAGGAGTGTTAATTTACCTTAGAGATCCTGATTTCAAGTTTTTTGGATAAATATCAGAAGTGGAATTGCTGGATCATATGGTAGTTCTATTTTTAATTTTGCAAGAAACCTCCATATTATTTTCCCTAGCAGCTGTACTGTTTTGCATTCCTACCAACAGTGTGCAAGTGTTTTCTTTTCCCCACATCTTTGCCAATATCATTGTCTTCTGTTTTTTGATAATATCCATCCTGACAGGTGTGAAGCAACACTTCACTGTGGTTTTGGTTTGCATTTCCTGGATGATTAGATATGTTATTACTTTTTCATATACATGTTGGCCATTTGTATGTCTTTTGAAAAAACATCTATTCAAATTCTTAGCCCGTTTTTAAATTCAGTTACAGGTTCCTTTACAATTGAGCTGTAGGTGTTACTTATATATTTTGTGAATCAACCCCTTATCAAATGTAAGGTTTGCAAATATTTTCTCTCATTCTGTAAATTGCATTTTCACTCTATTGTTTCCTTTGCTGTTCAAAAATCTTTTTAGCTTGATGTAGTCCCACTTTTTGTTTTATATTTTTATTGCCTGTGCTTTCGGTGTTATATCCATGAAATCATTGCCAAGACCAAAGTCATGAAGCTTTTTTCTTATGTTTTCTTATAAGAGTTTTACAGTTTCAGGTCTTGTTTTAAGTCATTTCTAGTTGATTTTTGTGTATGGTATAAGATAAAGATGCAATTTTATTCTTTTGCATGTCAATATTTGGTTTTCACAGCACCATTTATTGAAGAGATTGTCCTTTCCCCAATGTATGTTCTTGGCACCTATGGCAAAAGTGAATTGATTGGAAATGTGTGAATTTATTTCTGGGTTTTCTATTCTCTTCCATTGGTCTATGTGTCTGTTTTTATGCCAGTATTATGCTGATTTGGTTAACATAGTTTGCAGTATGATTTGAAGTCAGGTAATGTGATCCTTCCCACTTCAATGAAACTGATTCCATGTTCTCCTGGGGTGTAGAAACTTTTCAATTAGTTTTTGGTTTCTCAAAAAGGAAATTTGTCCATTAATTCATGCTCAATTGGTGTGTTTGTTGGGGAAAGGAGAGTTTCTGCTTCACCATGTTGTGAACTCTGGGTTTTGCTACTATTTTGTTGAGGGTTTTTTTCCTAAAGAAATGAGTATATAAATATGTCTACATTCATAAGACATATTGTTTTGTAGTCTTCTTGTGATATCTTGTTTGGTTTTGTTATCAGGATAATATTGGCCTAATAAAATAATTGGGAAGTGTTTTCTTCCTTTCTGTTTTCTGGAAAATATTGTAATAATTTGGTATTAACTTTTCTTTTTTTTTGTTTTTATTTTATTTTATTATTATTATTCTTAAATTTTATATCTTTTTTTTTAGTATTTATTGATCATTCTTGGGTGTTTCTCAGAGAGGGGGATATGGCAGGGTCATAGGATAATAGTGGAGAGAAGGTCAGCAGATAAACACAAGAACAAAGGTCACTGGTTTTCCTAGGCAGAGGTCCCTGCAGCCTTCGGCCCTGTTTGTGTCCCTGGGTACTTGAGATTAGGGAGTGGTGATGACTCTTAACGAGCATGCTGTCTTCAAGCATC
This sequence comes from Homo sapiens, assembly GCF_000001405.40. NCBI lineage: Eukaryota > Metazoa > Chordata > Mammalia > Primates > Hominidae > Homo > Homo sapiens. The sequence goes on along the minus strand of NC_000023.11, from coordinate 73,070,324 downwards.
TGTTTAACAAAGCACATCTTGCACCACCCTTAATCCATTTAACCCTGAGTTGACACAGCACATGTTTCAGAGAGCACGGAGTTGGGGGTAAGGTTATCGATTAACAGTATCCCAAGGCAGAATAATTTTTCTTAGTACAGAACAAAATGGAGTCTCCTATGTCTACTTCTTTCTACACAGACACAGTAACAATCTGATCTCTCTTTCTTTTCCCCACATTTGCCCCTTTTCTTTTCGACAAAACTGCCATCGTAATCATGGCCCATTCTTGATGGTCGCTGTCTCTTCAGAGCTGTTAGGTACACTTCCCAGATGGGGCGGCCTGGCAGAGGCGCTCCTCACTTCCCAGACAGGGCGGCTGGGCAGACGTGCTCTCACTTCCCAGACAGGGCGGCCGGGGAGAGGCGCATCTCACTTCCCAGATGGGGTGGCGGCCAGACAGAGGCGCTCCTCACCTCCCAGACGGGGTGGCGGCCAGGCAGAGGTGCTCTTCACATCCCAGACGATGGGCAGCCGGGCAGAGGCACTCCTCACTTCCCAGACAGGGTGGCTGAGCAGAGGCACTCCCCACATCCCAGACGGGGTGGCCGGGCAGAGGTGCTCCTCACCTCCCAGATGGGGAGGCCAGGCAGAGATGCCCCTCACCTTCCAGACGGGGCAGCCGGGCAGAGGCGCCCACTTCCCCGACGGGGCAGCTGGGCAGAGGCACTCCCCACCTCCCAGATGAAGGGCGGCCAGGCAGAGGTGCTTCTCACCTCCCAGGCGGGGCGGCCATGCAGAGGCGCTCCTCACCTCCCAGATGGGGCAGTGGCCGGGCAGAGACGCCCCTCACCTCCCAAATGGGGCGGCTGGGCAGAAGCGTTCCTCACCTCCCAGATGGTGTGGTGGCCGGGCAGAGATGCCCCTCACCTCCCAAACGGGGCAGCCGGGCAGAGGTGCCCACTTCCCAGATAGGGCAGCCGGGCAGAGGCGCTCCCCACCTCCCAGATAAAGGGGGGCCGGGCAGAGGCACCCCTCACCTCCCGGGTGGGGTGGCCAGGCAGAGGCGCTCCTCACCTCCCAGGCGGAGTGGCCGGGCAGAGGCACCCCTCACCTCCCAGACGGAGCGGCCGGGCAGAGGTGCCCCTCACCTCCCGGATGGGGTGGCCAGGCAAAGGCGCCCACTTCCCAGATGGGGCAGCCAGGCAGAGGCACTCCCCACCTCCCAGACGGGGTGGCCGGGCAGAGACGCCTCTCACTTCCCAAATGGGGCGGCCAGGCAGAGACGCCCCTCACCTCCCAGATGGGGCGGCCGGGCAGAGGCGCCCCTCACCTCCCGATGGGGCAGCCGGGTGAGGCGCCCACTTCCCAGACGGGGCGGCTGGGCAGAGGCACTCCCCACCTCCCAGACAAAGGGCAGCCGTTCAGAGGTGCTCCTCACCTCCCAGGCGGGGCAGCCGGGCAGAGGCGCCCCTCACCTCCTGGACGGGGCGGCCGGGCAGAGGTGCCCACTTCCCAGATGGGGCAGCCGGGCAGAGGCACTCCCCACCTCTCAGATGAAGGGGGGCTGGGAGAGGGACCCCTCACTTCCCAGGCGGGGCCTCCAGGCAGAGACGCCCCTCACCTCCCAGACAGGGTGGTGGCCAGGCAGAGGTGCTCCTCACTTCCCAGATAGGGTGGCAGCCAGGCAGAGATGCCCCTCACCTCCCAGATGGGGTGGCCGGGAAGAGGTGCTCCTCACCT